>NC_000011.10:111111818-111414848 GCF_000001405.40 Homo sapiens
CATTACCAAGGACGCACAACTCGGAAAGAACCAAAATTAATTTACATTTTGGTTTCATCATTTCTAGTCTTTGATTTATGAAAAAGTGTATGTGTGCATATATTGTGTATAATACATATTATATTTCATACATAGTTACATATATATATATATATACAGTGGATAAGTATAAGTGCAGCTAATAGAATGAGGGATCAAATAAGGCCTCCTTAAATGTTGCTCTTTACCCATACTGAGGGTAACACTTAAGCTGAATCCTGCAAGATGAGTACAAGCTAGCAAAATAAAAGGGGGGAGAAGGAGGAAGGAGCATTCTAGATACAGAGAATAGCACAAGCGAAAGTCCCAAGACAAAGGGAACATGGAGCCTTAAATGGAAGTAAGAGGAAATAAGAGTAGAACAGAATGACTGGAGCACAGAATGCTGAGGGCGAGAGGAGTGCAAGGAAGAGGTAGGAAAGTAATGGGTAGTGAAGGTCTCAAATAAGACAAGGTAACAATTAAGACTTAATTCCAGGGCAATGAGAAATCACAAAAGGCTCCAGCTAGAGAAGTATCATGATCAGGTTTATGTTGTTAAAACCTGACTATGATTGCTATGTAGAGACTGGAATGCAGGCATGTTCAGTACGTGAAGGGTAAAAAGAGAAGGTGGGTGGTGACCATCAAATTCAGGGATCCAGGGGCTTGTTATCAAGTCCCAGCTCTCCTACTAAATAATGATAATGGCTATCATTTATTGAGAAGTCACTGAGTGCCAGGCACTGCTGCAATTATTTTACCTATAATAACTTATTTTCTCCTTCAGAAACTCTACAAGTCAGGAATCATTACTATCTCCATTTAAAAAAAAATAAAAAGAAAACTGAGGCACAGAGAGGTTATGTACTTTGCTCCAAATCACTTGGGTAGTCAGTTACAGAGCTGGGATTTTAAACCAGGCAGCCTCGTTTCAGACTATCTGCTAAACCACAGTATTACACTGCCTCTCATGCTCTACTGCATACCCCAGAGAAGTCATAAAACACAGTGTTTCCCCTGCCAGGTGGAGAAAACAAGGGGGTTGAGCTGAATCAACACTTATTTCAGACCTTCTGATTCCACTACTATGATTTTGCCTGGAAAACCAAGATTCTGAAGAAGTTTTTAAAAATTTTTTTAGAGACATGGTCTCACTCTGTTGCCATCCTGAAGGGCAGTGACAAAAATCATAGCTCACTGCAGCCTCGAACTCCTGGGCTTAATTGATCCTCCTGCCTCAATCTCCCAAGTAGATGGGACTACAGGTGCACACCACCATGCCCAGCTGAGTTTGTTGGTTTTTTAATATTTTTTTTAGAGATGGGCTCTTCCTACATTGCCCGGATTTGCAGCCTGTTCTTTACTCAGTGGGAATGTTTGGGGCCTGAGAGAAGTAACCACAGCCCCAGACTATGGCTGGACTGAGAATCCAGCCAGGAGTCCCTAGAGACACAAGTAGATATCTACACCTTATATGCTTTTCTTTCTGATTTCAAGATCTGCTATATTACACACTTCCCACCCTACCCCTATTCCCAAGACAATTGACTACACAACACAGCCATCCTCCAAGACTCCAGTCTTCACCTTGATGAAACCAACATGTACATTAATTATGGTTACTTCTGAGTTGTAGAACCATGGTAACTTTTGTAATATCTCTCTCTCTTCATTTTCTTTTTAAATTTTTACATAAGGAACATGTGTTAGTTACTTAATTGAAAAAAAATTTTTAATGTATTCTTAGCAGGCATCTAACATTTTTGGCACTCTGCTCAATGGTTATTTTCTGAAGACTCAATACAATAATTATATTTTTAATCTGGCTCCCCAAAGTAACATTTAATTTACAAAAGAGTCAAACTTAAAATAGGCCAAGCTATATGTCTTATAAGTAAGAAATAAAAAAAATTACAGAATCTTAGAGCTGAAAAGCTCTCCAGCATCATGTAGTCCAGTGATCTTTAAACTGTGTGACTTTGAATCTTAGAGCTCTGCACATAAATGTCTTGGAGTTAAGGTAGAGAGCAGGGGAGATTATATGTGTGTGGATCTAGGTCCTCCATCTCTTCTGCAATCAAAAGATCCCCCTTTTATATTGTTTGTGTATAAAAGAAGTGTTTCTTGTTCTAGGATGTATCTGGAGTCCATTTACTTCTCTCCATCTCAATTGCCATCACTCTAATTCAAATACCATCGTCTCCATACTGGATTATCATTATAAACTTATTACTCAGTGTCTGCTTCTATACCTGTCTCTTTCTCCAATTTCATCTCATATCACTCCCACTTTAGACTTCATTTAATGTATTCAAGACATCCTTGCTTTTTATTTGTCCTCTAAATATATCTATATTAGCCAAAATAGGATAAGGTATACTAAGGTAACAAACAACCTGAAAGTGTCAGTGGTTTCATAAAATGATTATTTCTTACTCATATCAGGGTCTGATGTGCCCTCCTCTAAGAAGTGACTCAGGGATTCAGGATCTCTCCATTTGAGACATCATCACCTTCAACACAAGCATTCATGATTTCCTTGAAAAAAAGAAGATGGGGAGGGGGCTTCCCTGAGCCTAAAAAAGGAACAAAGACCATTGACCAGAGATCAGTCACAAGATCTCAACCTAACTGCAAGAAAGGCTGGCATATATTGTCTTTCAGAATGCCCAGAAAAGGAAATTGACACAATTGGTGCACAATTGATGAGAATACAGTGTGGTCTCTATCACACCAACTCAGCTAACCAACTTGCATTTGCTGTTACCTCTATATGGAACATTCTTCCCATAGCTTTTTGCCTAACTAAATCCTTCTCATCTTTCAAATTTAAGCTCAGTTTTAATCTCCTTTAAGAGGTCTTCTCTAATCACCTTTACCAAAATAGTTCAATATAGCAGAGACTGCTAGTTATCTCTTATTATTGTTTCTCCCTTCTAGATTTGGCAAAGAGAACCTTTATGTATAGCAGAGCATGTGGTTGTGGAGCTAAAAACCTACATTTCCCATTCTTCTCTGCAGCCTGCTTTGGCCAAGTGGAAAAGTTTTGGCCAATGAGATGTAAGTGTTAGACATAAAACTTCTCGAAAGTTTCCATAAGAAAATTGAGTGCCTCGGCTTTCCTTCACCCCTTCCTCCCTTCTACTACCTGTGTGGATGGAGCCTGTATTAATCCCAGCAGCCATCTTGGACTAAGAAGCAACATTCTAAATAGGGCAGAGGATCCATTAGAGTGAACTTGTGTCTCTCGTGATTTTGTGGTGCCGCTAGAGCTGACCTGGCCTTCTAATCTCAAGATTTCTTGCATGAAAGAGAGAAATTAACTTCTATCTTGTTTGAGACACTATTATTATCTGTAAACTACTGCTTCAGTACAACCTCCTAATAATGCAGATAAGGAAACTGAGACCTTATGGTTCTGTGGCCATAAAAATGGAAGTCTGCGACACAATTAGTCTTCTGACTTCGGTTTAGTATTCTTTACACATTAACAGTCTTCGCGTGAAGATTTCAGGAAAAACAGAAAACAACCAAACACGCTGAATGACTCACATTTCTGTGAAGCACAGGCATATAAGACATATGTAATCCCTGCCCTTGTCACGTCAGATGGATAAACAAATAATTTTGATACAACATGGTAATATAATAGTAGACATTTGTACACATGCATGGTAGCACAGAAAACTGAGGGAAAGGGATTGTTTCATTCTGCCTTTCACTGTAAGAAGGCAAGAAGTAAACAGGAATTGGGCCTTGAAGGATGAGTAGGAATCTTCCAGGTATAAAGATAGAAGGTAGGGAGTGAGAGGTGTATTGCAGGCAGATGAAACCAGAGTACAGAGGCATGAGAAAACATAGAATATTTATGGAATGATAAGAGGGGGAAGAGCAGAAAAGTGACAGAGCAGAAACATGACAGACGAGTCTAGAAATTTAGGCTACAGGCAGACTCTGAAGGTCCTTGTATGCAAACACTGGACTAGATCCCATAGGCAAGGAAAGTTCATAATATGAAAGTGACTCTAGTGGGTTTTTATTGATTTTGGAGAGCTATTATTTCCCCTTCCTAAAAGATGCCTAATTTCTTTTATGACTCTTTCACAATATAAATAGTCTGATGGGACCCACTGAGGGGATCCACTTGCCCTTTTCCCTGGAGAGCCATGTGACCCAAGCTCATCCAACCACATGCTTCTGTCTTCAACCTTGAATCTTGAGCAGAAAAACAGAGACCACAAACAGCTGTCTCTGCAGTCATCAGCAGGTCAGGGGCTTCACCGTAACCCTCTGTCATGAGAATGTTTTGTGGCCTCCTCCATCCAACCTCAACTCAGCCAGCCCCCAGGGTGACTTGGTTCTTATCCTTTGTCCTAGAAGGAAATGTCTGTCTCCAACTCCTGTGCTTTCTGTAAGAAGCAGTTTTCCTAAACTCTCCTAGCCTTGTGTCCCACCTTTCCTTTCCTGTCACCATAGAGGTGAATTAACTGGTTGGTCGTACATTTCTGATGCAGTGGGGCTAAAGTACAGTCATCAGCATGAAGAGTATAGTCTCTTTATTCTTCCTTCTCCATCCAGACTGGGAAAAAAGTGATAACCCACACATTCCCTCAGTTATTGTTCCAGGATGGAGTTTGGGGAGGCAGAGGTTAGCACACTAATTTTGACTCTTTCACTAATCTACATCCAGCAACCTCAACTTTTGTCAGTAAATGTTTACTGACTCTTTATCTTATTCCTCAATTGGTTCAGAGGTTAATCAGCAAAGACGGGGCTAATTCCTAGGCTTCCTAAAAGACCCCAACAACCTGTATTAGCACAGTTAACCTACAGGGCAATCCAATTGGGAAAGCGTTATCAATGTCCCTATAAACAACCGGAAACTCTGCCCAGGCAACAGAGCCAAAGCCTGAACTCTCATTTCCTAGCTCAAGATCCTATACTTTTTTCTTAAAAAAAGATCATCCAACTGGCTTTGTGACCCCCTCCAGTTACTATTCCAAAATTCTATTTTACAAATTCACAGGGATCAGTGATCATTTTGTCTTTTTCAAGACAGGAAATTCATGTTTCCCATAAGGAGTGATGTAGGCCTGACCCAGATAAAACCAAGTGGGCTGTCTCTGGATCTTACTTTCCCCTAGATTCACAGAGCCAGGAGCAAATGCTGAGAAGGAAGTGTGCCTTAGCACAGGGTACATTGGATTCCTGAGTCTTCCTTAATTAAAAGGGGATTTAGGGAATTTATTTTTATCAAGATCCTCAGATGATTCAGAAAACAAATTTTTTTGAGATAAATGATCACGTTACTGGGAATAACAGGAGATATTATTAGGGGGTTCATAAATATTTAGAGAATGACAAAGAATTTAAGTGATGCAGCATACAATATTTTCCTTCCACTAAAAAATAAAAGTTCAGGCTAAGAGAATATCTTGAAAGACATCGCAACTATTTCATTCCCATCCTTGCACAAAACTATGCAGATTAGGCCCTGAGATGAGGCTATAAAAAGGAGAGCAAATCATCCAACTTTTTTTCATATTTCGTCCTGATTTTAAATGTTAAGTGAAATTCAAGTAAGTTGAACTGGAAAGCATCCTTTCAAGATCGTCTTTCTGGATTCATAGACAAACTCCCAAGAGAACACTAGCAGTTTGTATGCTCAGCCATTACAGTACCCTTATTAGTACTAGGTCTTGCTATTGTTCAGGGATTATCTGCAGTTTGCCATCTCTGTAAATCATCAAGTCATGTATTTCAGGACAGTAGCTGACTTTATAAATCATCTATTTCAACCTATGCTCTTGACCAGCAGTTAAGCACAAACTAGAGCAGTAATCACTCATTCATGGCCAACCAGCCAATTAAAGGCACAGGTAGGACTCATCTCTTGCCCCTGGAAGTTGCAGGGTTTTTGTTTTTTGTTTTTTGTTTTTGGGATGGAGTCTCGCTCTGTCCCCTAGGCTGGAGTGCAGTGGCACGATCTCGGCTCACTACAAGCTCTGCCTCCCGGGTTCAAGCCATTCTCCTGCCTCAGCCTCCCAAGTAGCTGGTACTACAGGCGCCCACCACCACATCTGGCTAATTTTTTGTATCTTTAGTAGAGACAGGGTTTCACCATGTTAGCCAGGATGGTCTCGATCTCCTAACCTCATGAAGTTGCAGGTTTTTCATTATATCACATGACACTTAAGGGAGGAATTAGAAGATTTTTTTTTCTCTTTTGACACTTGTAGCTCAGGGTGGAGATGAGTGAGGAAAAAAACAGTTCTTCTAATAGCTGGTGATATTGTTTGGATTTGTGTCCCCACCCAAATCTCATGTTGAATTGTAATCCCCAGTGTTGGAGGAGAGGCCTGGTGGGAGGTGATTTCCCTTCCTGGTGGAAGGCGACTGGATCAGAAATGCAGATTTCCCCCTTGCTGTTCTCGTGCTAGTGAGTGTATTCTTGAGGACTTGATTGTTTAACTGTGTAGCACTCCCCCTTCGCTCTCTCTTCCTCAGGCTCCAGCCATGTAAAATGTGCCTGCTTCCCCTTCTGCCATGATTGAAAGTTTTCTGAGGCCTCCCCAGCCATACTTCCTATACAGCCTGCAGAACCATGGGCCAATTGAACCTCTTTTCTTTATAAATTACCCAGTCTCAGGAAGTTTTACAGCACTATGAGAACAGACTAATACAGTTGGTAACAACATTCCTCTT
This sequence comes from Homo sapiens, assembly GCF_000001405.40. NCBI lineage: Eukaryota > Metazoa > Chordata > Mammalia > Primates > Hominidae > Homo > Homo sapiens. Next base: position 111,118,545 of record NC_000011.10, read on the forward strand.
GGTGGCTGCCTTTATTTGAGAAAATACCTGCCATAAATAATACTGTAGACTGCCACAAATAATTCCATAAATACTACCATAGACTGCTCAGGTTGCCATAAATAACAGTTTGGCCTATCATAAATAATACCATAGACTGGGTGGCTTAAACAACAGGTATTTATTTTTTCACTGTTCTGGAGGCTTGGAAGTCTAAGAGTGCCAGTAGGGTTGAGTTCTGGTGAGGGCTCTTTCTGGCTTGAAGGTAGCCGCCTTCCCACTGTGTCCTCACACAGCAGAAAAAGAGCACACACAAATTTTCTGTTGTCTCCTCTTATAAGTGTGTTAATCCCATGATGAGAGCCCCACTCATGATCTCATCTAGTCCTAATTATTTCCCAAAGGCCCCATCTCCAAATACCATCACACTGAGGATCAGGGCTTCAGCATTTGGATTTGCAGGGACACAACTTAGTTCACAGTATTAAGGCAGGTGGGAGGAAGCTGAGACTCTGAGGGCACTGGTGAGCTGAGACATCAAAATCAATCATTACTCTGTTTTAGGTCAGGTGTGGCAGCATGCACCTGTAGTCCCAGCTACTCGGGAGGCTGAGGTGGGAGGATCACTTGAGCCGGGAGCATCGAGGCTGCAGTGAGCCATGATCACACCACTGCACTCCAGCCTGGGCAAAAGAGTGAGACCCTATGTCAAAAAATAAAAATAAATACATAAATAAGATCATTGCATTGTTTTGCATGAGAAAGAACTGTTCCACTTAAGAAAAAACAGTTATGTGGAGGTGCTGTGTGTGGAGGTTATAAGAACTAAAACGACAAAGAATGTGAGAAGCAAGGCCAGGAGAGCCTTGCTGACTTGAGGCGGGGGTACCTTGTGATCAGTGATCAGGGGTGAATCCCTGGGTGAAATTCCTGAAGGACTTTGATGGGTGGATGACTGGCATTCAGTTCTAAGTCTGTTTCCATTTGCTCTAGTGAAAACCCCTCTTCTACTCCTCAAAGTCCTGGTTGATTTTACCATACACAATATGCTCTGCAGAGTGGGTCTTTTTGTGGCAATCAAAGACGGAGCCTACTTTTCTATCTTAGCCTTCTGTGGACCAGGGAGCAATATAGAGCTGATAAAACGAGCCATTAACTGTGAAAAACCCAAAGATGACCGGGGCAAGGTAACCCCTCTCGCTGATCCAGACTTCCACAGGGGCATGAAGCCAGGAGCAGGGAGACCCCAGCTCACTTGGGTTAAACAGGCAGAAATAGCGCAGGTATTTACTCAATGTGGAATTTATTTAAAGACTTTATCAAAGCCTACCTTTAGAAGATGCTGTATGGAGAAAGAATTCCCTCGTTGAGTATTTTCAGGTTGCGTCAAGACTCCCAGCTCCCTGCTAAGCATTTCCTCCTGAGGCAGCTGATATCAGCTGTCCTCTCTTCTCTCTTAGTCAGCAAGAAAAGCCAGGGGGTTCCTTTCTTTTCTTTTCTTTTTTTAAGGCTAACATATACATGGACTGTTTTCTTTCTTTGAGGGTGGGAGAAAGGGAAAACTTAAGTCATTTGTCTTTTCTTTCCCATAAGTGATCATATAGTATCAAATACTATTCAAGTATTTGCAAAATGGTTACACTTCTGAGGCACATGTTGTTCCCCCTCCCAACCCTTCTGAAAGAGGACTCCAAATGTAATAAAGTGGGCTCCAGAGAAATCCGTTTGTTTATTCCAAATATTTCAGCTAACGAGAAAGCAAATTGGAACTCCCTTTCCTCAGGGGCTTTGCAGCCAAGCTCTCTGTCACGGCCCTTGGCACGGGCACTCTGGTCTGTTCCCTCTGCCTCCTGGGTCCTGTGGGGCTCACGCTCTCTCCAAGTTTGTCATTATGAGAAGCGCCATCCCTCACATGGGGCTCACTCCTGCAGATGCCCAAAGTGTGCCCCCCCGCCAGCCTCTCCAGTCCTACCTCCCTCGCTCCACCGCAGCCCTCCCTCTCTGCAGGGCTCCCCGCTCATCTGTCATCCTTCTGTGTGGCTCTTGGCAAGAAGCTTCTTTTGATGGATCCCACAGACTTCTGACCCCACTTTGAAGTCCCTATAGCTTAATCAAACATGCCTACCTCAAGACTCAGTGCTGCCCCTTTAACTGGCCTACAAAGTCTTTAGGGCAACCCGAGGGACCCGAGGGGCTCAGTTGCCTCCTGTGTGACAGAATAATAAGGAGGTCTGGGGGAAAAGAAGAGAAGTGAGTGTTATGTTCTTTTCCAGGCAGCACTGAGAAAGCCAGGCTTCCTCTTGGAAGGAAATAGGGCTGCTGCTGCTAGCCACCACCCTCCAGCTCCAAGGACAGGAGAGCTCAGGCTTGGTGGTAGGCTTGGGCTAGATCCCAGCTCTGTGCGGCTGCGACTAACCTTGGGCAGGCCACTTTGGCAGAGTTCATGACTGTTACTCACCTTTTAAGGTCATCGTGACTAAAGAATTTAGCATATGTACCCCATAAATATGTACAACTGTACCCCATAAATATGTACAACTGTTATGTGCACATAAAAAAAATTAAAGCAAGCTTAGAAAAACTTTAAGTACTTAGCACAGTATGTGACCAAAAAAAGTACGATCTCAAAAAGCATTCACTATTATTGTTACTTCCAGTGGTCAACCTCAGTGAACTATAAAGCATTTACTGGAGAGCCCACTTTTGCTGTTCCCACTGAGTTTTTAAGAGTCCAAGAGCAAGGAGAAGTAAATTTTTGCTGTTTAAGATTATACTGCATATTCATATCACATTAATTATCAGTACTGCAAGTCCTAAGGTTACAGAATATTCATAATGATGATAATTTAAATGGCTACTATCTATTGTCCATTTGCCTTGGACTAGGTACTGGACTGATCTATTGAAATATACCAATACTATTTGGATAAGTTTTATACTTTACATTTTACATAAAAGGAAACTGAGACTCTGGAAATTTGCATGACTTATTTAAGGGTCACATCACAGCCTCAGCAGGAAATAGCACAGCCCATCTACACGAGATAATGATGCACCCGGAAACTAACAACAGTGAAAAACTGTTATCAACCCTAGGCTCAAAGGAGTTGGGTGAGGGGCAGAGGGGAGGAATTATGTTATCACACCCCAGGGAGAGCTGGAGCCATAGAAGAGAATCCACCCACCATTACCTGCTGCCATAGCAGGGAGGCAAGGAAGGAACAGAGGGAAATGGTGCACTGGGGTTAAATACCCCATACACCAACCACTCTCTCTTCCCAATCTCTGATATCTTGCTGGTGCCTCCCACTGGCTGAACTCCATAGGAAGCCAGAGGACAAGGGAGCTGGAGTGATTCGGTCTATAGAGATCAGCCTCCCTGGGCACAGGGAAAAGCAGAGGAGGGATAAGAATGGATGGTGGCCTGAGGGGTGCAAATGAAGAAAAACCAACAAGAGTCGCCAACTTCTAAATGGGAAATCTAGGACCTCAATCAATTTGTTAGTCCAATACCAAGCACAGTCTCCACCACCAGAAGATAGTAAGTAATACAGGGTGGTTGAGTAAACTAGTCATCCTAGGGTGGAGTCCAACTATAAAAGTAGTGAGGGAAAATTACAGAATACTACAAAAAAGAGTATAAACCAAAAATAAAATGTTAAGCCCCTCAACTGACTGAGTGGATTCCCCTCTTGGCCAAAGGAATCCCAAAGAAACCTGAAAAAGTAGCTCAGGCCATGACACAAAGAGAGGGTTGGACATGCCTCATTATACCCTCCTCCCTTTGGAGTTTAGACACAACTGACCAGCACCAATATTAAAACAGAGATCTTGTGGTCAGGCATGGTGGCTCACACCTGTAATCCCAGCACTTTGGGAGGCCAAGGCAGGTAGATCACCTGAGGTCAGGAGTTCAAGACCAGCCTGGCCAACACAGAGAAACCCCATCTTTACTAGAAAATACAAAAATTAGCTGGGTGTGGTGGCAGGTACCTGTAATCCCAAGTGAGAGGCTGAGGCAGGAGAATTGCTTGAATCCAAGAAGCAGAGGTTGCAGTGAGCTGAGATCGCACCACTGCACTCCAGCCTAGGTGACAGAGTGAGACTCTGCCTCAAAAAATAAATAAATAAATAAATAAATAAATAAATAAATCAGAGACCTTAAGACTGACAAAACAGAATCTCTGTAGCAATAAGATGCCAAATTTCAACTTGACTCTGGTATAGCATCACATGACGGATAACAGGCTCTGAATGAAATCAAAGTATTTTACCCCAAAATATATTCCTTTGACATATTCTAAAAAGGCCCTAAAAGGCTATCTGTTATGGGGAAAGTTTAATTCTGGAGAGAATCTCCTTCCTTTACTAGGTCTTTTCCTGGAGAGTTTGACACCTTTTAGGATCAGATGAGAGACATTCACCATCTCTTCACTCTAGGTAGCAGTCTTCTTCTACAGGACAAGAATGTTGGCTTTTATGACTCCCTTATCTAAACTAAATAATTTATTTATGCTGAATTCAACTCTTTAGGCAGAGCTTACTCTTTCAACCAATTGCCAATCAGGAAATCTTGGAATCCACCTATGACCTGAAAGCCCCCACTTCGAGATGTCCTGCCTTTCCGGGCCAAACCAATGTATACCTTCCATGTATTGATTTATGTCTTTGCCTGCAACTTCTGTCTTTCTAAAAGTATAAAACCAAGCTGTAACCCAACCATCTTGGGCACATGTTCTCAGGACCTCCTAAGACTGTGTCACAGGCCATGGCCCTTAACCTTGGCAAAATAAACCTCTAAATTGATTGAAATGTGTCTCAGATACTTTCTGGTTCACAAAAGCAATAGAAAGAAAATAAATCTGAATCGAATTCAGGGTCCACTACTGAAACACTTTGTGACACTGGGCAAGTTTACTCAGCCTTCCCAAGCCATGGCTTCCTCATCTGTGAAGCTAGAAGAATTGTCCTAGAGCATATGTCTATTGTCAGAATTAAGTGACATAAAGGATAAAAAGTGAAAGGCACTGTCACATTGGTTACAAGAGCTGACTTGGGAACCAGACTGCCCAGTTCAAATTCTGGTTCCCCCACTTCCTACCTGGATTACCTGAGACAAGGTAGTGAACCTCTTGGTGACTCAGTTTTCTCTGCTGTGAAATAGACTATAATAAGAGCATGTACCATATAGGGTTGTTGTGATGATCAGATGACTTTCTGAAAAACACTTAGTAAAGTTACTTGACACTTAATAAGAGCTCAGCAAATTTTGGCTGCTTTTACTGAAGTACTTCACACACTTCCTATTGCACCACGAGTAATAACCTGGAGTTCACCTTCTGGGTGGGGTAAGAGTAAGAATAAGATCTGTGCTTTTATGTCTTTTGTTTCTCTTCTTTCCAGAACACTTGGACCCTATGTCAAAACCCAGATCCAAAGATTTATCCTTGCTTTGTTTCCCAGAAGGAAGCAAATGACTTTCAGTATCTCATTCATGTAGTAAGTTTTCTGACATTTTGTTGTAGACAGGCATTGCATTGCATGCCACACAGCTTCAGCTATGTTGTTGCCTCTCATCCTTCTCTTTGACTCCTTTGCATGGTGCCTGTCCCCTAGTTCTCAGCTCACTGTGAAACTGATAGTCCCCACTGTGCTTAGCACTGGAGAACTGCAGGCCAGTCTGTCACTAGCTGCTATTTTTGGGGAAAGCAGCCCTGCCAAGCCACCTGCCTCAGCCCACACCCCAACCTCACCCTCCCACACAGTAGAATTCTGGTGAATTCAATATTCTCCATCTGGCTACATGGCACTCAGTAGATTCAACAAACACCTACCATGTGCTAGAAACTCTTCAAGGCCCTGGAGATATAGCAATGAAAAAGTAGGCAATGATGCCTGCCCTTGTAGAGCTTATATTCTGGTAGGAAAGCTATGGAAAAGAGTGAAGCAGAGAAGGGGGATAAGGTGTTATAGCATAAGCATGAGCGGGGATTACAACTTTCAATAGGGTGGTCTGAGAAGACCTTATCTATACGGTGAAATAGTATGAAATGTTTCACAGATTTGCATGTCACAATAAATGTTAGTTCTTAATATTATTATCGGTCCAAGAAAACATAAGTTTCTGACAAGCTATATACTCAATTGCTTTCTCTCTACTGATGCTGGGGACATGTAACAGGCAAGGTTTGAGAATCACTGCCTGGATACTGGGGGGTCATTGCAAGGATAGAAGATAATATAGGGTAACCTGGAGCACCACAGACTTCTCTCTGTTCAGCTGCTCTCAGACCCAGCACTTTGAAGGCTGAGATATAGAGCAGCTGTCACAGAGAACTGGAACACTCTTGGGAATAGGGACTCTCAGCTCATGTAATTCATTTTTTTCTGAGTATAATTAGGAAGTAAGTGTTAGCTGGATTGCTGACATCCAGTATGGACTCCCCTGTTAGGGAGAGCTTTGAAATAAGTCATTTCAAAGGCTGCAGCTTCCCTCATTGCCATCTATAGTTTAATGACCTTGGTTTGATGTGGAATAGGTCAGAATAGACCAGATTACACTGACGTAGTAAATTAACTGAATGAAATCCCAGGAGTTTAAGAGAACAAAGATTTATTTCTTCCTCATGTAACCTCCATGGTGGGTCTCACTGACCCTTTAGGACAGGTATTACCCACAAGGTGATTCAAGGATTCAGGCTGCTTCAATCTTGTGGCTCCATCAATTCTATACAAGGTTCCCTCCTCAATAGCAGAGGAATACAGCACATCAGGATTTCACACCTGCTCCTCTGTGTTTCAGCCTGGAAGTGGTGAGCATGCCTTCTGCTCATATAGATTCATTGGCCAGGACTAGTAACATGGCCTCACCTTCTGAAGGTAAGGCCAAGTGATTAGTTGCCTACAGGAAAAAAAGTGAGCTGAATGTTGGGAAACATTAGTAATGTCTACTGCAGTCACTTGTCCCTTCTCCAGGCAAATGGGCAAGACAGTAGAAATGGTTGTACTCCATGCACATAGTTTCAGCCTTGCAGTTTTGTACAGAAAGAATGGCTTAGAGATATTTACTCTGGAAGGTATATGTTAGAGCTCCCTGGACAACTTCCCAGGACACACCCGAAACAAAACATGACTATAAGCTTCTTAAAAGTTATTTTCAAACTTAATGACAGTGTTATTTCTTAAAGAGATAGTCCACAAATTTATGAAGACCCCATAGCTGTAGCTTGCCGAAACTCATACCAAGTGAATACATAACCTCGTCCCAAGAGCAAGGGATTATTTAATTAGCTTCCTTTAGGGGTTGTATTGATTAAACGACTCAGTTATACAAAACACTCATGACCCCTGGTTACCTATATCTGATACTTATTGGTTCCCACAATTTGCCAAGTATTAGAGAAGGTCTTCTAGAAGAGATAGTCTTAAGCTTTCTTTATCATGTTGATTTCCCACATTATGAGATTATCCTTGCCTCCAACTGGCACTGGGCAGTCATAGCATTAAAACTCACACTATGGGTTAGTTTTGGTGAGTGGAAGGGAGTGGGGGAAAGTTATGCTAACTCAATCATGAGTAGTGATAAGCACCTGCCCATCATATCACCTAAAGTGGTGCTATTACTGTTCATAGCATCTGCTTTCTCTAAACTCCTCTTATGCATGGGATCCCATTACACAAACTTGCCCTACACATTAATGACATCCACATTCAACACTGTCTTCATCAGCTTCACTTCTCTATCTTCTCTTAGTAGTGGCTCAGTAATTACTTAACATTTTCTGATATGTTAACATCCACAGGAAGGGTTCTTCTTGGGCACTTAGGGGATTCATGAAAGGACTTCTGGTGGGGGATATAATCCTAGGGTGACCAACTGTTTCAGTTTTCCTGTCCTGGTATTAGAACTGAAAGTCCTGCATCCCAGGAAACCCCTCAGTCTGGAGCACACTGGGACGGTTGCTCACCCTACATAAACCCAAAGAAATTATGTGGATATTTTGGTGCATGTACAAATATACATTTTCCTAGAGAGTCCAGGGGCTTTATTTACATCCTCAAAGGGCTCATAAAAAGTGAATAAAGCCACCGATTTCCAATACTGTGGAAGAGCAGAGGATTACAAACTTCTAATACTCCTTCTCACTCCTACAACTCCACAAATGGCAGCATGATTCTATCTCTGTTAGCATTAGGATTAATCTGCAAATAATATGGACAGTACAGAGGACTGTGCAAATACTCATTTTACTTCCATTACTTATACTCATTCATTTATTCCACAAACACATGTTGATACTGACCTATACCCAGGCAATAGAGAGGGAGCAAGATGGTTTAGTCCCCGCTTCCCCCAGCTTACAATCTCAATGGGGATTGAGATTTACAACAGTAAAGTAGTAACACTTACAAACAGTAAGTAGCGAGGAGATAAACACATTTTTTTTCAGACAACAATGGATACCATGAAAAATAGAAAGGGTAATGTGATACGTAGAGATTGGAAGACGCATACTTTAAGGAAGGTGGTTAGGAAAAGCCTCTCTAAGGTAGGAACATTTGTGCTGAGGTCCAGTGAGTCATGCAGAGATGTGAAGAAGGTTGTTCAGACAGAGGTGGTGCAGAGGCAAAGGCCTTGAGGGAGGAATGAGCTACAGAAAGAAGACTGGTGTGATGGGAACATAGAGAGAAGCAAGTGCAATGGTATCAGATGCAGTAGAAGAGATAGAGGCCATGCAAAGAGTCTGAATTTCATTTTATATCCAGTAGGAAGCAATTGGAAGTTTTTTGAGCAGGGTAGTGACCTGATCTGACTTCCATCCTTTTCACAATCTTCCTGGTTGCTGTGAGGAAAAGGGATTACAGAGAACAAGAACAAAAGCTAGAGGACCCTTTCTTCCAGGTGAGAGAGAAGAGTGCCTTGGACTCAGGTGTAGGCAGTAGAACTGCAGGGACGCAGTCTGATTGGAGACATATTCTGGAGGTAGAGACAACAGAACTGGATACTGGGAATGAAGGAGAAAGGACAATCAAGAGTAATTCTGTCATTTATTTCTTAAATGCCTGTCTCCCCTTCGAGGCTGTGAGGGCCTTCCTGGCCAGAAGGGTACCTTTCCATGTGCTTCACCAACTAGCACAGGGCTTGGCATATGGTTCTTCTTTATAAATATTTGTAGGTAATGAATGGATAAGTGCCTATAAGACAAATAGTATTTGGTCTCTCTGCTCCTGAACACAAAAGAGAAAGGGGAAATGGGGTGAAGAAGAACTCATAATGTTTGTAGTTACAGCAGCAGCCACTGTTCTAACCAGGTTATAAAAACATAATTCCTGAGATCTGGTCTCAGGAAGATGGGAGATAGAATGAATCCTATGCAGACATAAGAAAGAAAGATGACCTGGGAGAAGCACTGTGCTTCCTAGGAAGTACCAAATGCTACTCCACACTGGCCCACATATGAGGTTCCTATGTTGACCTATTTAGTGTTTCTGAATTGCTCAAAGGTGACTCCTTATGTTGTCCTCCCCATCTTGTTTCCTGTCTTCCCTTCAAGGGATCTTTATATATTCTATGGATTATCTCCTGACAATAAGATTATCTAATTGCTCTTCTTTAACATTCTCCTTCAGATCTGAAAATGTTTCCCTGTTTCTCTCTGCAGACTTTGGCCAGAAGAATTTTTTTCCTACATTGACTCATCTAGTTCCTACTTGTTTTACAACATGACAGCCTAAATTTGAACTAGGAGATTTTACATATAATCTTCAGGGAAGCTTCTTCATTAACATTTTTAAGCAAGCACTGAAGAGTTTTCTCTCATCACAACAGATGGTGGAGTTATTTTATAGGTATGAAAATCAGTGCTTCATTTCTCAACAACAGTAAGGTCCTCAGCACTGAAATATTTTAATACTTTGTTGTGGGCTTTAAGCACAAGTCCACAAACGCATTTAATACTTAAATCATGCCCAGTGCCTGGCACATAGTAGAAGCTCAGTAAAATGGCTATTGAATAACTGAATGAATGGATAAATCAATCAAACAAAGCATATTTTTATGCAGCCTATAATTAATTACATCATTTCAGCAGACATGTCTGCCAGGCCTCCAACATCTTTTGAATTGGCTACAGATGAAAATGTTGAAACTGGACCTCACTTCCTAGCAGCTCCTCTTTTCGTAGCCAAATAGTCTCCATGCCTGTTTGTTTATGTATCACAGATGCCCATAGAACAGATAGCACAGAAATGATTTAAATCCATCCAGCATCAATGAAATGGATGGTCGAGACAGCACACCATGGGTGTGGCAGCCCAACACTGTCACAGGTGGTGACTAGACAGGTGTTTGATGATCCAGTTATTGCCCCTCCACAGAAGTTTCCTGAATGGAAAATAAAACTTGTGGGCAACATTCATAAAATTTGTTTTTATAGCATTATAAAAGTACATGTTCATGTAACAAATAATAAAACATATATAAAATAAACTTTTTAAAGCCACTCCTCAACTCCCTTCCTTCCCCCACCTCCTCATACCCAATTCAAATGGCTACAAAGATTGCTATTATCAAGAGATTGATATTATCCTTTCACACATTTTTCTATGCACACGTGTTCTTTTCCTTTTATATAACTAGCTATACTATACATTTTCTGCAACTTGCCATATTTAGTTAACAGAAAGTTGTAGACATGATTCCATGTCAGTATAGAGAGATGTGCTTTTTTCTCTCTAATGGCTTTCACATATGGCATTGTAAGTTGCTTCTAGTTTTTTTGCTATGAACAAACAGCACTTTGTGACCATTTTTATACATATATCTTTGTGCATTAACTCATAGGATAAATTTCTAGAAGCAGAATTGCTGAGATAAAGGGTAGACACATTTAAAATTGTGATTGATAGCCCTTACAAAATGGCTGTACCAATTTATATTCTCAGAAAGTCTTTTATTTGGTAAATTTTCCTGAAAATAAAGGTGGAAAAGATGAAGAATGGAAACCAGGAATTTTGACTCGGGAGGTAGAGCAAAGAAGCCACAAAAACAATGGCAAAGTCTCTTCACCATCTTGCCTCTGGCTGGACCTGCTGAGCTTGATGCATGGTACCAAAGAACTGAGAGAACAATCTGCTGGTTAATAAACACTTCTCAGCAAGTCAGGGCTTGCAAAGTCAGTTTCTCAGTAATAGATACTTAAAAAAAAATAGAAGGCTTGAAGACAGAATATTTTCTAGTCTACCTATCTGGTTTTGTTCAAGGATCTCTGTACTTCACTCCAGGAGATGAGAGGGCTTTTGGACAAGACTTTCTTTCAAAAACAACAAGTACAAAATGTTTGAGTGGTGGTAATTTAATTCTAACACCCCTCAGAATTCCCAGAAGAAACAAGATCCAGAGCAATAGATGATTGAGTCATTCCAGCAAAATGGAGTTTAGGGGACTGATGTCGGTAAATTGGCTCTTTCTGGCCTTCCCTAGCTATATTAATAAAAATCTCGTGAAGCCTTTTAACCCTTTGCTTGTCAAGCTCTGAAGCAATCCATTGCCATTGCCCTGCTTGAATTTTCCAAGAGTGGAACAAAAAGATATCTGATCCCAAGATAAAATCCCATAAGTACCATCACGTGTTGCCAAGAAACTTTCCTCTTGAAAAGCAGGAATGAAAATTAAGTTTGTAAAGGAAAAACAAATCCCAGAAGCAGGAAAGCTTGCCGCTGGTATTTTCTCAAAAGGATCACCTTCAATGTTAGAAAAACTAGCAACTCCATTTGTATCCCCTCTCCCTTTTCTGAAGTCATTGTCAGCCAGGTTTTTTCCTCTGTTGAGGAAAGTTTTAGTAATTCATTTCCATGACCCCTACATTATCCATATCCGCCTGATGAGTTGCCTGTCAATCATACAAATGAGAAATATCTAGGACATACAGGTCAATTCTCATTATTCACAGTAGTTATGATCTATAAAGTTGCCACAAACACTGAATTCAAGAATACTATACCATTGCTCCGAGTGAAAATACAGGTTCAGTTCCTGCCAGCCTGTGGTCACATTTTCATCAAACGAGCAACACATAACCTTGTTTTATATATGTTTCTGTTTAAAGATATCTAGTTTAATATAGATTGTTGATTCACTAATATTGAACTCAGCCAACAGCACTGTGACTCACGGCTGAGGGAAGTTTAACATATATTATTTTCTCCCCAAGGCACATCATGGCCTTCTTGTACTTAAAACACTAGACAGCACTTTAGCACCACACTTGGGGCCATTTTAAATAGCAAAATCACCAATACAAAGCACTAAAACACAAAAAACATGGCACTAAATACACCACATTTGTTTATAGCATGAGAGCTGAAAACAACAAGGTAGAGCACAGCCTTGTTCAGTCTCCACCAGGAATATGTGTTGGGTGGCTCAAATTTTTTGCCACTCTGTGCATGCTTGTGAATGGCCATGAAAGCATCATGAGTATTGATTTGGGGGTTACGAATACATTTTAGCAAGCAGGTGGATTCCCAAATATACACAGAATCTGCAAATATTGAGGATTCACTGTATTTCCACTCGGGCCTGGTCAGACCTCCCCATGAGGTAATCTACCCCTCCATGGCTCTTCTCACCTCCTCTGGGTGTGGCCCAGTTTGGCCTGGACAGCTCCAAGAAGTGGGGCATGAGGGAGCCTCTTTGTGAAGGTGCCGACCGAGGCACTAAGGAGAGGCAATGTGGAATAAACCTCTCCCCTCCTCCCAGGCTACTTATCAATACTGGGTGAGAAACAGGCTCACAAATAATGATGTGAAACCCAATGTAGTAAGTGGCATTAAAGACCAATCAGATGAAAGAGATGGTATGAAGTAAGAAGGCATGAGGTACTTCCTACAGTTTTCCTTAGTGTTCTTTATTCTTTTTTTTTAAATTCTCAGCTCTTATTTTAGATACAGGGGGCTTATGTGTAAGATTGTTACATGGGTATATTGGACTCAGGTAGTAAGCATAGTACCCAATAGGTAGTTTCAACCCATGTCCTCATCCTTCCCTCCACTCTCTAGGAGTCTGCAATGTCTGATGTTCCCATGTTTATGTCCATGTGTGCTCAATGTTTAGCTCCCACTTACAAGTTAAAACATACAGTATTTGGTTTTCTGTTCCTTTGTTAATTTGCTTAGGATTATGGCCTCCAGCTCCACCCACATTGCTGCAAAGGACATTATTTCATTCTTTTAATGGCTGCATAATATTCCATGTTGTAAGCATACCACATTTTCTTTATCCAATCCACTATTAATGGGCACCCAGGTTGATTTCATGTGTTCACTGTTGTGAGTATAATTTACTCTTAATTAAATTTCTTGTATTACAGCACAACAATAATAATCTTTTCAGATGAGATAGTGGGAAGAAAATTGTCAGATTCAGGAAATAAAAATATAGAACATCTAATTAAATTTGAATTTTGAATAAACAACAAATGATCCTTTAGTATACTTCATGCTTATACTAAATACTTTATACATATAGGTTGGTATCAGCATCCACTGCCATGAACAGCCAAGAAGGGGAAGAGATGGGGAGGTGGGAGATGCCTGGAAGCTAAGGGCAAGGGCAAGGTGAGGAGGAAGAAAGGTTTTTCTTCCTAGCTACATTAATTCCTAACCAAAAGTTACTTAGATTTTGCTAAACTACTGGGTTTTTTCATCTTTTTTTGTATTTTCTTAAATGTTGTTTTATTATGGTAATAACACTTAACATGAGCTCTGCCCTCAAATTCTTAAATGCACAATATGGTATTGCTGACTATATCGTACCACAGATCTCTAGAGATTATTTGTCTTCTTAAATGAAACTTTATTCCTATTGATTAGTCACTCCTTATTTCCTCCTCCCTCGGCCCCTGGCAACTACTGTTCCACTCTTGGATTCTGTGAATTGATTATTTTAGGTACTTCATATAAATGGAATCATACAGTATTTGTCTTCCTGTGACTGGCTTATTTCACTTAGCACAATGTCTTCAAGGTTCATCCATGGCATCACATATCGCAGAATTTCCTTCTTTTATAAGGCCAAATAGTATTCCATTGTATGTATATGCCACATTTTCTCTATCCATTCATTCACCTGTGGATGGACGTTTAGGTTGTTTCCACAGCCTGACTGTTGTGAATAATGAATGCTACAAGGATTGTTGGTGTGCAGACATCTTTTTGAGATCCTGATTTCAACTCTTTTCGATAAATAGCCAGAAATGAAATTGCTGTTCATCTTTTACATGGGGACCATTAACTCTTCCTCAGTATGCCATTGGGGTGAACAAGTGAGTCAATGTCTGTAAATCCCCCGCATAGTGCCCCAAAATGAGAGACATTGCCATTAGTGCCATTAACGGGCAGGAGCCCAGGGCAAGAGGGAGAACCAGCACCTCTGTGACCATCAGAAGCTATGGATGTTTTGGGTTGGTTTGGTTTTGCTTTGTTGTTTTTTTTTTTCCCAAGGCTACTGTGGTGTGGGAAATGCCATCATAGATAGGTATCAAAAATTGCCATGTTTTTCAATGTAAGAGAAAATAGCTTGCTTTACAATTGTTCTTCTAATTTCCTTGAGGCTGGATCTCACCGTGAAAAGTAAAAATGTCAATTACATATCTGCTTGTATGTCGCATCTAACATCCAGATATTTGGAAATATTTGGATATCTAGATGCCAATGTTTCAATTTTTAAAATGGATGCTTGTTGACTTAGTATTGTACGACTGTGAAACTCCATCTGTTATTTTATACCTTTATTAGCATTTCTAAAGTGACTTCTCCACAAATTTGATGTACTTCTTTTTTATTCCTTTTTAAAAACTAAGCAACAATGGGGTCAAATTAAAAAGAACTAATTAAGAATCAAGACAGTTCACTCTCTAACTTCTCTCAAATGAAAGCATTGCTTTGTGTGGATTTTCTAATTTTTTATACTTGAGAACTCAGAGGTGGCAGCAACAACCTTAAGCAATAACAGTGGAAGTCATTAATCCATTTATTGAACAAATATTTATATATTGTATGACTGCAATGGGTCAGTCACTGGTCGATGCACTGGAGAAATAGCAATGAACAACAAAAAAGACAAAAATCCCCGGTCCTTTAGAGCTTACATTCAAGGAGCATAGGGGACAGATAGAGAGATAAATAGATATAACAATTGATTTTGATTCAATGCCCTCAATACACAACGCATCTTCTGACAGAAAGGGAGCTTAGAGCACGAGAGAGAAACAGGATGGACTAATAATATAGACACTAGGCCTTCCCACAGGTGTCCTCCACCAGAATGGGACAGACTACATATGGTGCTTAGCAATAGGCAACTGTTGAGGAAATTGGTCAAGATTAGGGTGAACCAATGTAGGCTAACACAGAAACACAGGCAGGGGCAGAGGCAGGGTTAGGAGGTAAGGCTGTAGGCATGAGCCTCTCAGCCTTGGTAGTGTCCAGAGCCACTCTCCAACCCCTGCAAGGCCTGGCCAGAAGAGAGCAAGGATTCTGTCTTAGATGGCCTGGGGTAGAGAAATGATCACCAAGGTCTGAAGGTGAGCACAAGGAATGAGGCAAAGGCTCAGGTTCTATAATGGACTATCAGATTGGCAGCCTGACCATGGGGGTCGGGAATTCATTTATTCTGTCAATATTTATTGGGTACTGTGTTAGTCCATTTTCATGCTGCTGATAAAGACATACTCAAGACTGGGCAATTTACAAAAGGAAGAGGTCTAATGGATTCACAGTTTCACGTGGCTGGGGAGGCCTCACAATCACCTTGGAAGGTGAAAGGCATGTCTCACATGGCAGCAGATAAGAGAAGAGAACTTGTGTAGGGAAACTCCCCTTTAAAAAACCATCAAATCTCATGAGACTTATTCACTATCATGAGAATTGCACAGGAAAGACCCACCCCCATAATTCAATTACCTCCCATCAATTCCCTCCCAGAACTTGTGGGAATTGTGGGAACTACAACTCAAGATGAGATTTGGATGGGGACACAGCCAAACCATATCAGGTACCAACTATGTGCCAGGTACTCTTCTAAGTACTGGGGATACAGCAGTGAATAAGACAGACAAAACTCCCTACCTCATGAAGTTTGCCTTTAGAGATGGACAACAAACCATAAATAAATAAAGCAAAGTAGGAGCACTGAAAAGGTGTCAGCAAGTTTAAACAGAGTGGTCAGGGTAGGCCTTATTGAGTGGGAAGAGGATATTCGAGTTATGCTCTGTGAAGATGTGTGGAAGGGAGATATGTGGCTAATGGGTGGAGGGGGAATGATTACAGACAGAGGAACCAGCAAGCACAAAGGCCCCAAGTATACCCAAGGCACAGGGAGGAGGTCAGTATGGCTGGAGCAGAGTCAGCTCTGGATCAAAGTTAGAGCAGTAATTGCCGAGGCCAGAGAGGCAATGGGAGAATGGGCATGCAAGGGAGAGGAGAGAGGAAAAGATACATAAGTCACTGAGTGAACTTTTGTTTTACTCTCCATGAGACTGGAAGCCCACTGGAGGGTTCTGAGCAGAGGAGCGTCATGGATGGACTTAGTTAGATTTAGACAAGGTCATTCTGGATGCTGTGCGGAAAGTGACTATAGTGAAGCCAGGACAGTTGCTAAACTCAAGACCTTAGTGAGGCAGTAATGTAAAAATGCCATTAACAGGAAGCTAAGTCAACCCAGCTACTACCCCTGGTTTCTTGCATTCCTTTGTCTAACAAGATTGATGACAGAGCTAGGGGCAGGGCAGTGGCTGCTGCAGCTGGGGACAAAGTGACCCCAGCTGTGAGAGAAACAGGCCAAGAAGACAAGAGTCACAGAGATTGGTGGGCTCGGCTCTCAACCAGTTTCACATCATCACTTCAGGAAGCTTTTAAAAATATGATGGAAGACCATGCCCATAGAGATCTCTATTTAATGGTTCTTGGGTGGGATATTTTTATTAAGCCCCAGGTGAATCTAATGTGAGGCCAGGGCTCAGAACTAGTAATGGGGGCCATTGCAACCTGACACCACAAAAGAGCAGGTGGTCACCCAACCATTCATCACACATTTCTTAAATAGTTATTATGCCTAGCAGGGAGCTATATGGCCTAGCACATAGAAAGTGCTCAGCAGGTATTAACAGTTTACTGGTATTAACAGTGAAGAAGGTAGAAGGCTCTTGCCCTAGGGAGTGATATGTTTTATCTACACTTTGGAAATTTCATTTCATCTGGCAATGATAGGCAAAATAATTGTGTTTAGGAAGAGAACCTCACAAAAGGGAGAATGGTGATAGCAGGGTTCTCAGCCTTCAGCACGTACCAGAATCACCCCGCGGGCTTGTTAAACCAGACATTGCTGGGCTCTGCCACCAGAATCTCTAATCCAGGCCATCTGGAGAGGTGCATTTAAATATGCATTTCTAACACGTTCCCAGGTGATGCAATGCTGCTGGTCTGAACACTGCATTTTAAAACAACACTGAGTTAGCACTGGCTATTTCAAACGGTCAGGGGAGCGGTCACAGAAGGGGAAAAACAGAGAGATGCTGTGCAGGTGAATTCAGTAAGGACGCTGCACTGGTTGGCTGAGGAGAGGGTTGCGGGGAGGGAAAAGGAGAGGAAGAAGTGCGTGATGATGCCGAAGTCCAGATGTGAGTTGTCCAAGATAATGAGCAGCCCCCCTTTTAAGGTTTTTATTTTAGCTCCTCTGTTAAAAGCAAAAGAGCGTCTTTGTTTTCTCTACACAGGCTCTTGCCTTTTTCCCTACTAAATAGTACAATAAATTCCACTGCCTTATTTGTTTC
Source organism: Homo sapiens (assembly GCF_000001405.40). Lineage (NCBI taxonomy): Eukaryota > Metazoa > Chordata > Mammalia > Primates > Hominidae > Homo > Homo sapiens. The sequence continues at coordinate 111,136,355 of NC_000011.10, forward strand.
ATCAAATAAAAGAATGCCTGCCAATATCTGTGAGGCTAATATTATAGCTCAACTCCAGAACATCTTGTAGTGGTTATTTCTAACATATTCTGGAATCTGTACTTAGGGTACTCAGTGCCTTAACCAACCCATATTTGAAATTGAGTTGCTAGTGCACAAGCTTATCAAGGTTATTATGCCTGCAGAAAAATTTATAGCAGATGCAGTCCAGGGGTTCCATCCTTTGAAATTTCAATTATTTCAATAATCTATAAAATCAAAGTTGATGATAGAGCAATAAATGTTATCAAAAGTGTTTTTCTATTTTTGACTGACTTTGCGGGTAAATGAAACAATACAAATGGTTTAAAATATGTTCCTCGTGAAGGGATATGAGACTGAAAGACACAAGTCTACAATTTAATAAGTTGGCATAGTGTTCAGGTATGTGCAGTATTTTCCTCATGTGCTATTGGGCCACCTAAACATAATTTACTAACTTGTGTTCTATTTTTTCCTGATGACGAAAGATTCCAGTAATGATTTTACTTTTTTATTCAGCTTTATTGATGCACAACTGACATACAATAAATACACATACAATATATACACATATGAAATTTGATGATTGGTGACATGTGTAAACACCTGTGAAACCATCACCACAAGCAAGATAAAGAACATATTCATCTCCCCTTAAGTTTCCTTGGGTCCTTTTGTAATTCCTCTCTTACTTCTCCGTCACTAGAAACCATTGAACCATTTTCTGTCACAATAGATATGTTTGTGTTTTCCAGAATTTTAAATACATGGAATATTAGAATATGTACCATTTTTCCTCTGGTTCTTTTATTTCACACACTTAGAGATTCATTCGTGTTGTTGTGTATATCACTAGTTTTCCCTTTTAATTGCTGAGTAGCAGCCTGTACCATAATTTGTTTATCCATTCACCTATTGATGAGCATCAGGATTGTTTCCGGTTTCTGGCTATTACCACTAAAGCTACTATGAGCATTTGCACACAAGCTTCATGTGTACATATTTTCAATTATCTTGGGTAGATACCTCAACGTAGAATGGCTGGATCATATGATAAGTTTTACTTTTTAAGAAACTGCTGAACAGTTTTCTTCAAAGTGGTTTTAATTATTGTACATTTCTACCAGTATGAGTTGAAGTTCCTCCACGTCTTCACTAATACTTAAGGTAGTCAATCTTTATCATTTTAGCCATTCTAATACATGTTAGTGGTGTCAATATGTGGTTTCAATATGTGTTTTCTAATAACCAGAGCTTAAGACTGGCAAAAATGTTATTCTGGTTTTCAAAGGTAAGGAAAGAATGGGATATAAATATAAAAGCCAGTAAAGTCAATATCAGTTCCTGTCAAAATTCCATAAAAATTAATCAACCAAGTAGTTAATAAATATTTAGAAAAGACTGGCACTATCACTGGCTGCCAACCTGGGTTTAGTATCAATAACACATACAGAGCAAAGACTATTAATATTTTGATAAGGTATTATTGATCAGTAGATTAGAGGGATGATGTAGGATATAACCACAAAATACAGTCATCAAAACATCACAGTTGCTTTTCATTATGAGAAATGTTTATGTGCTCCTAGGTTTTTATAACACGAGCACCTTTGTGTCTTTCTCTGTTTGCCAGCCTTGTGTGTCTCCATACTCTTATTCTGCTTCATTTGTTGTTGGGTTAAATCCAAGTCTCTCAACAACCTCATGTTTGATGATACTAATTTCTGTTTCACTGTGTGCTTTTCCATTTACAATGGCCCTCTTCCAATTTTCTACATATTTTTCCATTAAATCTAGTTGTCAACTCAGTATATTTTATGAAAAATAATTTGTACATTGCTTGCCCATAAATTTTTATAACTTTCTAGCTGGATGGCTTAAACATAATAGCCTATTATATATGCTGTTTATTACCTATCTTTTGAATATTCAGTTCAGGGGCAATCTTATTATCCTAGTCAAAAGGTCTATATCTGCAAATATATTATGATTTTCTTTATCCCTTTCATACATGAGTATTAAACTTGGTTCAATTTTAGCTTTATTTTCAGTTTTACTTGTGCCTCCTAATCCTAATGCAGTCCTGAATTTAAGCAGGTCTTAATTTACATAGAGTGTCTTATTATTAAAGTTGAATAGTCTCCCAAACCTGCTTTAGTTGTCAGCAGGAAGCATATTAGAGGGAGTTTTCCTAAATGGGGAGGGGAAAAATAATCTCCTTATGAATAAAGGTGGTCATGGGGTCTTTCCCCAGAATACTCCCAAGATGCTTCCAGAAATCAAGCACGCTGTGCCCTGCTGCATATTCCTAATGGTTTCTAGAGGAGAAAATAGGACTTTAGCAGGTCAAAATGAGTAAAATTTTTTCTCCTTGGTCAAAAAGGAAGATTAGAAAGATTGTTAATGGGTGCAGCACACCAGCATGGCACATGTATACACATACGTAACTAACCTGCACATAGTGCACATGTACCCTAAAACTTAAAGTATAATAATAATAAAATAAAAAAAAGAAAGATTGTTCACTTTTCTCTCTTTCCCAAATCAGGAAACTATCAAAGAAATTGTCCAGTACAATGGAAAGAGCTAGTAAAGAAACTGGAGGTCACACAAGCTGCGATTACTGAAAGAGGAATCTCTAGGAGTAGAAAATAAAGCTGTTATGCAGATATAAAACAAGACCAGATTGGAAACTATCTAAGTAGCCAGAAATATTTAAAAATTTATGTTTTTCATGTTTTTATGAGGATTATACCCCTTAGGTTATTAATATATTACAAAAAATGTTCTAAATATATTTAAGAAGTGAGTTTGCAGTACCTGAAAAAGAAGATCACATCCAACTAAGACTTCAAGTATGTCACTTGCCCATTCCTTGCCTGGAAGGCAGTAAGTTTTCTGGGTGTTGTTTGTTTACTAATGTCCTGTAACTTGAATTAGTAGAGTTTATAGCAGCGTTCCTCAAACACAGAGTTCTAGTATTATGATCAGCTAAGGAGCTTGCTAAATCTAGATCACTTATGCTCACTACAAACCCTCGGACACTCTGGAGGGAAAATCTAGCATTTTTATCAAGTGTCCAAGTAATTCACATCCTCACTTAAGTTTGAAAACCACTGCTTTAAACCTTTGAAGAGGATGTGTTATAGGTACAGTCTGGTTCTAACAAATGGGATCATTACTGATACAAGAGTAATTATTGAATATTTTTTATTTTGAAATCAAGTTGTAGCTTTTAAATCATGCTAATCTATTATCTTAAATCTACTTACAGATTTGAAATTTCCTAAAGACAACTGGAGATTTTATTAGGATGAACTTCTGATATGTAATATATATATAAGGCACTCCACATTCAATTTCTTACATATGAATATGTACATCATGATCTGTCTTTACACATGAGTGCTTTGCAAGTGAATGCTTGATGGGACTATGGGACTAATTCATCTTAAACTTAAACTAATTCATCTTAAAAACTTTCTTCAATATGCCAAATTTAGTGCCTGGCATATAGCAAGCACTCAGAAAATATTTACTTAATAAGGAAATAAATGAATGAATGAATATTGCTCATCTCATCTTTTCTAGCCTTTCCTGACCTCAAAATCTTCTGTGTATCTTCTCACAGTAACTAATATTATCATCCACCCACATTTCCAAGCCATCTTCTCATTTACATATGATTGGTCACTAAATTCACTCATGTGTGTTCGGGTAGAATTTTCTCACTCCCTCGTAACTTCAAGGTTAGGTTATATGACATGTTGATAGAAAGAATAATTAATCAAATTAGGTAAAGATAACCAGCATATATGTACCTAAGAATATATCCAATAAACATATAAAACATCATGCTCAGAGTGAAAATAAATCATTATAACTCAATTTTAACCCAATACTTTTAGGAATTTTTTAATCAAGTAAAAAGGAGCAAAGATTATAGGAGACTTCAATAATATGATTAATCGTTACAAACTGATAGACATAGAGAAACTTACACCCAACGTAGAATCCACATTGATGTTGAGGAAACATGAAATATTCACAAAAGTCTTTGTGTGCTAAATTTCAAATAATTAACCTCATAAAGACTATGTTCATCATGTAATTAAATTGGAATCCAACACAGAGAATTTATTTAGACTCATATGCCTGGAAACTAAATAACATACTATTAAGTGACCTTTGGGTTAAAAAGAATACTGTAAGGAAAATTTAAAAATACTCAGAACTGAGAGACAAGGAAATAATACATGCCAAAGCTTTTGGAACATAGCTAAATGAGTACTTAGAGCGAAATTTCTAGTTTGGAACACATTTGCCAGCCAACAAGAAAGATTGAAAACAAATGCTAAGTATTTAACCCTGGGAAAGGAGCAATAAACACACACCCAAAGGAAAAAGACAAGGAAACAGTAAAGATAAGACAGAGACACCAGTAAAAGAACAAAAGAAAAGTAGAGAAGATGAACTGTGCCTGAAACTGTGCCCGGTTATATGAAAAACGTATAACAAACAAACCATTGGTAAGACATGGGAGCAGGGAGAGGGAGAACACACAAGAACAAAGGTAAAGAAATATAAAATGAAAAGTAACAATTGTGAATAATATATACATAATAAGTTATAGTTTTCATTTATACTATGTGCAGTATATATATTACATGTATATTTCTATTATATACTGTATTTGTCTGAAATATATGTAGTATCTTATAAGATACAATGTATTTTTACATTTATACATAATAAATATAAATATTGCATATATAGTGTGTAATATTTAATATTTTATATAGTGCTTCATATATATTTTATACACTAATTCATTTATGTATATAATTTGTATTACATAAGCACACAAAATTATTGCATTATAAAAAAGGAAGTAATAGCTGCAACAGAAGTTAAGAGAATAACAATTAAACAGTAACTAATTTGATAACATAGATAAAAAGGAAGATATAAAATGCCAAAATCGATTCAGGAATAAATTAAAAACTTGAATAAAAAAATAGAAACTTAAAAAGTAAAATGATAATGAAATCCTCCATGCAACAAAATCTTCAAGCCCAGATTATTTCATAGGTGAAGTTTTATCATGTGTTCAAAGAACATATCCTTATTTTATAAGTCATTATAAAATATTAAAAATACTGAAAAACAGAAAAAACTGTTCAACTCATTTTATGAGATAGGTATAACCTTCATTCCCAAAGCAAGTAAGAGCAAGTCAGAGAAAAAAAATTTAAAGAACTATTTCAAGAACATTGGTACAAAATTCCAAATAAAAATATTGCTAAGCAAAACCCAAGAATGTATCATAAGTAATACAGTATGATTAAATAAAGTTTATTCCAGAAAAACAAGTTTGGCTCAACATCAGAAATATATCAGTGTAAGTCACTGTATTAATAAACTAAAGGAGAAAAAAATATGACTGTCTCAATTGATGCCTAAAAATTAGTTTGACAAAATTTAATAACTGTAATTTTTTAAACCTCTCAAAAAAACAAGTATAAAAGAGAATTTCCTTAACTTCATAAAAATGTAGTACCAAAAACCTAAAGCAAACATCATACTTAGCAGATAAATTTTAATACTTTCTAGTAAGATAAAAAATAAGATGCTTACTACTACCATTTATGTTTTATGAAGCCTTTGTTAGAGCTACAAGACAACAAAAAAAGATAACACATGGAAAGATTGTAAGGGAATACTTTACCTCTCTTTATATGCAGATAAATAGTCATCTAACCAGAAAAGCCAATAGAATCAACAGGTAAGCCAACAGAAGTAATCTAGGAGGCAATTTTTGTTGCCAGATAGAGCAGCTTACAAAAGTCAATAGCATTCTTCTACACCAGTAACAGTCAATTAGAAAATATTATACCACTGCAAGTACAACAAAACCTATACAATATTTAGGATTTTGCCTAACAATACACAGGATGTAGACAGAAAAAAACTTTAAAAATTAATTATTAAAAAATGCCATGTTCATGGAGGAATGATGTCTTCTAGTAAAAACATCAATTATTCCCAAACTAATTTCTAAATCTAACGCAATTTCAATCTAAATCACAATACAATTTTTTTGGGCAACTTGACTTTCTAAAACTTATAGGGCAGTTGCATAAAAAGCTATGTCAACTTTGAAAAGGAAGGGCAAAGCAGAAAGTCTCAGCTTGACAGATAGTAGGTTGTACTGCAAAGCCAGAGTGATAAAAAAGCAATATAATGGAAGCACCAGGAGAAATAAATAGATCAGTGAGATCCATGGAGCATGGTTAGGTGGTAATAGTGACCACACAAATCTATGGGAAAAAGACAAATGGTTCAGTGCTAGAATAACTTGCTGATGATGTGGAAAAAAAAAAAGAAACTGTATCCCTACCTGGTACAATTTACAGAACAACACTTTATATGTGGAGGGATAAAACTATAAAACAAAAGAAGAAAGAGTAGGGGAATACTTCTGTGAGCTAATAGTACAGAAAGTCTTATTAAATAAGACTCCAAAATTAGAAGTCACAAAGCAAAATAAAAAGTTGTTGGATTTGACTACAATAAAATTAACTGTTAATAGGTTGAGCCCTAAGTAAATCAAAAGCATTTGAAAACATCACTTATAAAATGCACATCCATAATAACAAATGATAAGATGTAACCTCCATGGGGTCAAGTACCATGCATATATTGCTCTTTTTCATAGCTTGGGGGTCTTTCATAGTGCCTGGCACATAGCAGGTGCTTAAGAGATATTCAATAAATAAATGAACAAGTTTCACTGTATTTCCTACTCTCTATGGTAAGACAAGGAAACATGCAATCTGTCTTAGAACTGTTTGTATCAAAATATCTTAAAATTTATTAGATTTAGTAAGAGATAATATCCAGTTATTTAGAAAATATAGTTATGCAGAATAACTCATTTCCTAATTATAGCTAACCAAGCAACTACTTCTTTATTATTGTCACTTAATTTTTGTGGTACTTGGATCAGTTTTTAGTGTCAGCTTGACTCAAAAGATTTATATTCTTATTTAAAGTGAATTAAATAAAATTTGCAAATATAGTTTTATTTACTTATTATTTATTTATTTGTTGTTCCTAGTATTATTGTTTAAAGAGAGAGGTCTCACTGTGTTGGCAAGGCTGGTCTTGAACTCCTGGCCTCAAGAAATCCTCACACCTCAGCCTCCTGAGTAGCTGGGCTTCATGAGCCACTGAACCCAGCAAATATAGTTTTATAAGAGATATTGAAGTATATGTTTATCTAACGTCTAATTACGTTACAATCTGAATTCCTAATTTCTACTAATTTGACAGGCCAGCTTAAAAGGTAGAAGTGAGGAGAGTATTTCATGACTGGCTTACACTGTGAACTCATTTCCTACTATTTCACTCTTATTCTTGACAAGAAGAAAAACATAATATCCTTAAAATCAAATTTAAAAATCAAATACTGGACTCAGAATGAGTTCAGAGTATTTCTGATTTATTAGTTGTGATTGTTTTCTGCTGCCATGGGGAATGGTACCAAGCCCTTGGCAAATTGTGCTTTCAGTGGTATTGTGGCAACCAGGCACCTTTCTGTGAGCCCAGAGAAAGGCAAGAGCAACAAATTAAGCCTTCAAAGGACAAAAAAGTTTCCAGCCACTAAAGTTAATTTTCGTTTATCCAAAGAGAAAGAAATGAGCTTTCATAAATACTCTCGAATTTTGCTACAGTTATATAAAGCCTCAAAATGAGACTAATTCAAACTCATTAAGTCACCCCCCAATGGTGAATCTTCTTGACTGTTTGGTTTTCATCCTCCTCACTGTTCTGTTAACCCAGTGAGCTTGGGATCATGCCTACAGGGTGATTTTTCACAACCAATGCTCACTGATTTCAGGTTCCAAACACAGTGGCTTTGGTTATAAGCCATAAGACTTGTGCGGGATTTGTATTCCTGTGAGATAAAACACTTTTCTAGATATAATTGCTCTAAACAAGTTGCACTGACTTTGCTAATTCCAAGATGGCACTGCTTCTAATCTTCTCTTTTAGAACTCCAGAGCGGAGCTGTACCAGGCACCACTGAGCCTCTTGCCAAAATTCATTTTGTGAAAACCATGGCCTAATACCCTCCTATAGTCAAAATGGCTCACTCATTGTGGAACATACTAATAAAGACTCTTTTTGTCTCAAATGAGAGAAATACAGCTTAAACTAGTTTGAACAAGATTGAGGCTATTGTCTCATAGAATCCAGGAAAGAGTGGGATAAAGGAAGGACTCTCTAAAGTCAGATATAGCTGCTTTAGGGACTATTGGAACCAGCAACCCAAATAGTATAGAACTCATCCCTTTTCTCTGCTCCTTACCTGTTTCTTTTAGATTAAAAAAAAAAAAGTTAAGGTTTATTCTCAATCACTAAAGACAGCTTTATTTCCCATCATGAGAAACATGGGTACCAAAATCTCCAAAGTAATATTTCTAATAACTTATAACACAGAATAAGGAGTCATATTCTCAGTTCTAGTCAAAACCTGGGAAAATGGTGCTGACTCAGTTTGGGTAAGATGTTCACCCACAGAGATAAGGTTGTCCAAAACCAAGGCAGCTCTTACAACAGCCACAGAGATGAGAGACATGCTAAAGAAAGGGGTGCTGAGCAGAAACTATCATGGTCATTCACAGAGCACTAGTAGTAAATGTATTGGAATAAAATTAAGTTAATCTGGCCTTCTATGAACCTTATTGTCTCTCCTTCTGGAATACAATATAAAATATTTTTAGTTCAACTCAGGAAAAACCTAATAGATGTAGAAAAACTTTAGACAAAGGAACAAATTAAGGCAGAAAGCATTACTGGAGACAGAGTCTCTTCATAATGGCAAAAGGTTTTTTTCAACAGGAATATATAAGGCTTCTAAATTTATATACACCTAACTTGACATCAAAATATATAAAGCAAAATCAACACAAGGAGAAGACAAAGTCGCATATTTAAAAACACCTTCCTAAAATATGCCAATTTAATCCAAATTACCTTGACTACCAGTGCCAGGAGCAAATGTCTCATGTAACAATTCTTAAGAGCTTAGCTGCTTGAGAGGCAGTTGGCAGATAATGCCAGAGAAATCCTGTTTCTGGGTAAAGGGACTAGGTATAGTAGTGCACTATGTCAAGAATATAAGTTTAATCATCACTAATCTTACTACTGGATGTCATGTAGTGGTTGGGTGGTTTAAAAGCAATGTGGCAAAGAAATGTTTGCCTTAGTTTTCTGACATATAAAATAGACCCAAGCAATTCCATGACACGTTCAAGAGAATATCTTCTTGTGGCAAGGTTGGCCACATAAGCTCAGAGATGGCCTTATCTCACAGAGGAGATACAGCTTTCAGAAGTTAGAGAAAGCAAGCCATTTATATTTCTTTCTCTTTTTTTTTTTTTTTTTTTTTTTGAGACAGATTCTCGCTCTGTCGCCCAGGCTAGAGTGCAGTGGCGCGATCTCAGCTCACTGCAACCTCCAAATTCTTAGCGATTTAAAATTTTTTAAAAAATAAATAATAAATGCCAAAAAAGAGTTGTGAAAATTTTAGAATATAACTTTAAATATTATATTTAACAAATCAACACTTTCAACATGATTAAAATCATTGTGTGTGTGTGCATGTGTGTGTGTGTAAGAAAATATTGTAAACTGTAAACTGGAGGATCTTGGTAAATGTGAGGTCCAGGCTGAATAACCCTCTCCCCTAACCCCATACCTATCTCCCTCCTTTCCCTGACTAAGACCCACAGGAGGCCCCAGGACATGGGTGCTCTAGCTCCAATTTAAATATGATATACCTAATGTATTGATCTTGGGACTTAAGCTCACTGGGATAATATCTTACTCACATTAAGATCTGCATTGCTTTCTTAAAATGTTAAATCCTTTGTCTAGGATCAGATAATTCCCACAAAACTACAAGTGGAGTGATTACTAAATGGGAACCTTCTAATCAGGAATTCCTACTTAAACATGTAAGTTGAACCTATAGCAAAACTTTCCTGGGACTGCTCATTTTGAATACTCATAATAGTCAAAGGGGATAGAATCAGCAGACAATAAAGGGAGATACTAGCAGAGGCCAGAGAACCAGCTTTGATGACCAAAATGCATTCTTATTTAAAATCACTGAGGGAGAAATCAGCTTTGAGAAGTTCAGTCATTTGTCCACATTCCCGCAGCTAGTAATTAGTTGAGGCAACATACACTCCTGTTGTCTGGTTCTAAGACCCACAGTCTTTCTGTTACACCTACACTGGCTTACTGTATTCAGATATATTTGTTAAATTTACTTATTCATTTCATTCTTCTTTTCATGCAATCATACAGTTAATAAATAAATCTTTTGCTAATCATAAAGGCACTGTGCTAGGTCTAGAGATACAGAGGGCAACAAAACAAGGCCACTGCACTCATGAAGCATACAGTCTAAGAAGACATAACGCAATGTTAAAAAGTTGATATTGATATAGGTCCAACCTGGGCAACATAGTGAGACCTCATCTCTACAAAAAATAAAAATTATTAGCAGGGCATGGAGGTGCATGCCTGTGGTCCCAGCTACTCAGGTGGCTGAGGTGGGAGGATCACTTGAGCCTGGGAGGTTGAGGCTGCAGTTAGCCATGACTGTGCCACTGCACTGTGGCCTAGGCAATAGAGTAAGACCCTGCCTCAAAAAGAAATGCTAATATATTTGTGCTGAAAAGAAATAGGGGGATTTGGACACTATACAACTCTAAGAAAAATGTTTCAAGCAGTAGTAACTAAACAAATGCAAGTGTTTGAGACAAGAGTAAAGAGATCAAGGCTGGTCTGGTTTCTACATATATTATTATTATACTTATGTAACTTTGTAAATTATTTCATCCAGCTTAATTTAGTAAATAGATGGTAGGTAAGTAGGTAGATAGACAGATATATGGATAGATGACTGATGGATGGTGATAGATAAATAGATATTAAGCCATACAGAAAGAGAGGCAGGGAAGGAAAGAGGAAAAGAAAACCACTCATAACTCAAAAGGAAAAAAGCAAGAACACTTTGGGCCATATTCCTACTAGCACGCCCCAAATTTTCTTTAGCAGCATTACCAGAAATTGTTGCTGCTGTGACTGATGGTTTGATGGTCTAAGGCTAGGTCATTTGTTGTTAAGACTAAGCCACTCCTGTGTAACTTCTCTGGGAACCTAGTTTATGTTTCTGCCTTTACATTATTTCTCATCAAATGCAATTCTGAGCAGTAATCAAGCCTCTGCCAAAGCTGGGATGTGACAACGATGTAAATAGAGTGGATGTCAGAACTTCCACTTGTTTTCTGTTTTTAATATTATACTCTTCAACTTTCCCTGAGTTCAGACTGACCTTCTGGTTATTGATCTAAATTAGTGAACTGGGTATTTTATAGGTAGTCAAATGGAATCTATCATCCCTTAACGTATATCATATTCTTTAGGCACATGGCATGAGAGTGCATTTAAACAGATGGCAGGACAAAGCATAGATGGGTTAGTCAGAGACCACTCATTCTCTGAAGGATATTTCTACCTTTACCATCAGAGGGCAGAAACTTAAACCCAAATATACCAGCTATTCTGTTCTAAGCCTAAAAAGAATATATATTCGAGAAATGGATCTCCTCATATCCCCAGGCTTTTTTATCCTTATTACTTTTTAAATTAAAAGAATTTCATTTTGGCTTTCTTTATTACTCCTTCACGAATCCATTCCATTAACACTTGTTAAGAACATTCCATGTTCCAATTGCTAGTGAAGGGCTAAGGAAAAAAAAAAAATCCATGAGCCATTGGTCCTGCCCTGCAGAAGCTCTGTTCATTTGCAAACTCCTGGGCGAGCCCAGGCAGAAAGGCATGTCTGTTCACCGTGTATTTTGTAAGAGTCCCACCAGTCTAAGCAGACTTGTTTATTTAACTGTCTTATATAGCTGCATATTCTAGGTCTCTAGTTCTGTCTGGGCTTAGGTTTCCATAATTCACATGAATTTTCAGTTTCACATTTCTGTAATTCCTTGTATCAAATGAAAACATAGAAGCACTCAGAAAAATAATAGCTCACATCTTTGAAAAATGTAAGAAAGTGGAATAGCAATAAGGAAAAAGGCCTTATTAATACCAATTTTATTATCTTAGCTCTATCTTAAATAAGTGGAAGTGGGTACTAAGGAATGGATTTGGCTTTCTAGAAACAGATGTTACTCTCATTTGGGTACTAGAGTTTAACAACTGCTTTTGGAAGTACCAAACAATGTTATCTAATTTCTTTATGAAACCAACACTTTTTAATAATTATGGACCAGGAACTGTGCCAGACACTAGTGATAAACAGATAAATGTGACCCAGTTCCTATCCTCAAAGAACTGTGCTTATCAGCTACCTCCTAAGGCAGTTCATTATTCCTTGTGGCTTCGTAAGTGTTGGTACTTACTACCTCCTAAAAATGTATCTCACCAGACGACATTGTCAGGATGATAATGCATCTCTACCCTAAGCCCTAGACCAGAATTACTCAGGAGCTTACAGAAATCTGGAAATAAAAACAAGTAAGCAAGGGCATCACACTGCAGGCTCTAATTGAGTCCATAGGAAATGTGCAGCCTGCCTCTTAATTTGGAAGCCAAACACAGATTGCAAACACTTACAGGAAGAAACAGTTTTTGGAGGTTATAGAGGAAAGTGATGAATGATGAACAAAATGTGATTTTGAGGGTTGTGAAAGGCCTGGGGAATGATGAGTCACATCATCCTGATAAGATGTCAGAAAACCAGATTTGACTTTTCTAACACTTCCTCCCTAAAAGGCCTAGAGAAAGGAGTGGTATCATTCAATTCTATCAGCACTGTGTTCATAATATTTAATAAGCTTTCATTATCCTCAAACAACCCTTGTCAGAGAAACTTATGGCACAAGGAGAAATGGAAAAGAGCATTGGTAGCAGACTGTTTATTTAGAATCTTGGATCATTTACTTAATTAACCTCCTTGGTCCTCAGTTTCCTAACTTACAAAATGTGGATAATTTGGTTGTTTGGATTCAATGGCATAATGAATGTATTGCACCTAGATAATGTATGTAGAGCACATTGCCTGGATCAATAAATGTTGACTGCCTAACAAAAAGATTTTAAGATTCACGTGAGGCATGCCTGAGGAGATATTTGTGAAGCTAATGGCTATACTTAACAGCAGTCAGAATATTTTGGCCAATAGCAAGTAAAAAACAGATTTGTAAATAATAACGGTTGGAATATAAGCTAAGTGTTTAGGTGACAGGCAAAAGTCCCAGAAATAAGAAGAGAGCATTGCACTGAACTCAATACATCCCCCGAGAGGGGCTGTGTAGTGGACAACTCTTATTCTTTGTGGCCATTCAGGACCTTTTGAATATCCTTCCTATGGCCACAGAATCTCCTTGCTTGTGAGAGCTGCCTCCCAAGAAAGAAGCCAGGAACTTACTTGTCTTGCTTCCCTTGCAACTAGAAAGCAAGCATGTGACCTGAACTTAATTGATAAGATGCTTCTGAGCAAGATCCCAATTCAGAAGAGAGTGTCATAAAGGGAGAAGTCACCATTCAGGATCTAGTCAGGTGAAGATCGAGAGAGATCCATATTTCAGAGGAAGTAGCATCTGGAGAGGAGCAGAGACCCTACTGGAAGCATTCTTAGCCCAGAATTCATGAGGAATTGGAAGCACCTGTGCCAGGTGAGCACCGAGGTAAGGGCTCTACAGGAACAGCAGGTGGAATGATTTGGGTGATGTTCCTGGCTACATGGCTGCCAAGCCTTACTCTACAGCCCTTCCAGATTCTATAAGTTATCTCATTGCCTTTTCTGCTAAACTAACTAGAGTGCATTCTGGATATTTGTGACCAAGTACCCTGGCTGACATATGTTCTTTAATAGACTTCTTGCCCATGTGTAGAATTGCACCGTAAACAGGCAGTTCAAAAGGAAATGTGGGTAACTGCTCCTGCCTAGAGAAGGGAGTAAAGGAGAGAAAACTCTGAATCTGACCCTCTGAACACCTCTCAATCAGTTTTCCTTTGATTCCATTGACTTGAATCAATCTTTTATTGACTTCTTGCCAAAGTTGACTAGTTTTATGCTACCCATGTAAATTAGATGTTTTCATTTATATTCTCAAGGCTGACATGACTATCTGGGTGTGTCTCATGCCCTTGATATAATCCTCCCAACTTTCGTTCAGCAGACGTTACTTGAGCCCCTGCTATAAGGCAGGCAGTGTTCTAGGCATTGGAAATATAATAATAAACAACAGAGATAAGTCCTTGTCATCATAAAATACAGTGCAGTTTAATGATATACGTACTACACAAACAATACCACAAAAAGCAAAGCATTATTAAAATTAATAACCAATAATGTGTTAGGGTGTTAAAAAATAATAACACCAATAATGTGTCTGAGAATTATTAAGGAAAGGCGTAGGGAACAGGAGGTATATTTTAGATTGTGTGTAAATCCCTTTGTGAGGAGGTGTTATTTGGGCTGAGACCTCAGTGATGATGCAGAACCATCCATGAGAACATCTGAAGAACATCTTCTTCCAAACAGAAGTAGCAGTAAGTGAAAGTTCCTAAGATAGATACAAGCTTGGCAGGCCCAAGTCTGAGTTGACATATTAAGGCTGAGGTACTAGTAAGTCATCAAAGTGTATCTGTCCAGCAAGAAATTGCATGCATGAATCATCTGAAGCATAAAGAAGTGGTCGAGACAGAGAATATTGTTTGTATCATCAGAACACTGGTGGTAATTAAAAAACAATGAGAATTGATGAGATTACCCAACCAGAGCAAGTACAGTGAAAAGCAAATGGGGTCAAGGATGGAACTCTGGACAACCCAAATATTTAACGGGCCCATAGAAGAGAAGGGATCTGTGAAAAGAGAGAGAAAAGTCCAAGAAGGAGAAGGAAAATGAGTATTGTGTCACAGAATTCAAGAAAATGGGATTTCAAAAAGTAATAAGAGGTTGCAGGTTAGACAAACGTATCCCTTTTATGTCAAAAAAATGTAAAAGGGTGTGTGGGTGTGTGTGTGTGTGTGTGTGTGTACACAAATAGAAAATATCTGAGAGTTGCTTATAAAGAAAATATTAATAGTGGTTATCACTAAGGAGTTGAATTGAGAGAGAAAGAAGAGTGAGGGAAACTTCATGTCCCCTTCATACTTCTCTCTTTTTATAGTAAGCATATATTTTATAATTTTGTGTGTTAGCGAGGGTCACATGTGGGAACCATCTTCTATATGGGGGCTAGTGAGTGCCCACTAGATGTGGCCATGGAGACAAGCAGCCCAGCATCTCTAGACATGGAACCCAAACCCAAGACATTTGAGGGAGATTCTTGGATTTCTAACAGAAGTCTTAGCAAGGTATGCTATTCAGAAGGCAAAACAAGCATATCATACATGAAGATGAATTTCTCCCACACATACCGTCAGATCTTTAACATCATAACAAATGCACATCCTTTCATTGTTCATCTCAACCACCCAAACTGAAAATACCAGTTTTTGGAAACAGCATGCTAACATATAATATATACTAAATCTATGTTCAGGCACCATTACTTACCAGTTTGCTTCCCGTGGAGGAAATGAAACTATACCAAGCCAGCAGACATTTATTCATTCATCAAACACATACTGAGTACCTATATTATGTCTACACGATGGTATTCTACTAAGAAATGGGGAAAGAGAATGAATTACAGTCAACAGAAGATGCAAAAGACCCCACAATGAAGGTCGGCCAAGGTAGCCATGAGACCACAGATGCACCACAAGGTATACTGATCACAGGAATACATATTTTCTCTCTCTCCCGAGACCCAACCCCAAAATGGTGGAAATATCCTCCCAAGAAAGAAGTGAGATTTAGCATTAGTCACTTGGAGTAATAGGAGTAATAGTTGACTACATAACTACAAACAGGTTTCAGTGATGTAGCATTCCACTTCTGAAAGTTTACCAGCTTCTAATTCCAGGCCATATGACTGCCATAATATGCTATGGGACTCTAGAGGAGGGAGAGTTTGCTTTCAGATAAACATATACCACCTCATTGTAAAAACAATTTAATGGATACATGTTGTCACAGGCTTAATCTCCAAAAACAATTTGGGGTATAATTTAAGTGAAAAAATACATAATGGATAATATTATATTAAGTGCTGTGTTCTAAAGGTAATGCAATTCTAACCACTGAGCTACAATAAAGGAATTGCCTAAAGTCTTTAAAAGCTAACGAAGAAACGTTAAATAGTGCACAAATCAGCATACCACCTGCCAATGAAATAAACTGCTTTTGAAATGCTGCTGAAATTGGGTAAAAAGAATAAATGGGATTTTATTGTAAATTCATAGCTCAGTTTGTTCCCTGAAATGTTAACTTTGAGCCATAATGATGTATTCTCATTAATTACTAGCTGTGATTTTTACCCCAACCAGGTCTTTGTGCTGGAGACAAGGAGGACTGTAGTTATCACCATTAATTAAAATCAATTATATAAAAGGAATTAGAAAGTACCCGCTTCATAAAAGATAACGGGGAAACAGGAACTGTAGGGAGTAGGTTGCCACTTTCCTTAGGAAAATCATTCTGAACAAGAACTGGGAAGAAAACAAATGTAATAATTATGCCAAGGCCGTTTAAGAGAAACTTTGGGGGACCTTGTGGAAAGTGTTTGTTTCAGTGCTGTTGACATTCTTATAATATGTAGGAGTTTCTAAACACTGGACTTCTAATATTTCTTTTATTAAGAGTTTCCAAAATATGAATTCTCTTCCTTTTCACAGATCATACTGTGCTTTCTTTGATTCACCTATATATCAAGCAGCTATGTAAAAGAGCTTCTGCTTCCAGGGAAATGGCCCTGGACACAGGAAGAGATATGCTTCACATTTTGGCAGTCAGCTGCCCACAGACTTGCATAATTGTCTTTGCATCTGCACAGTTTGAAAGATGCAAACAAGGTCCCAGTCTTGAGAATTTAGATGTTGCCTCAACTTAGGTATTCACTCACGTGACTGCGCTTCTCCATATGGACTTAGCCACATCTTGAAAACAGCCATTTCTTCTGGTTTCCACCAAATGGAACAGGAAATAGCTGGGCTCTTTTACCTCCACCCCAGTACCTCTACTTTAATTCATTCAGGGTGCAACTGGGCTCTAGGAGTTTTCAAACAGATGGTCTGATGAATTGAAGCAATACAAATAGCAACCCACACAAGAGTTTAGAGATGCAAAGGACCTTAACTTTCTGATGAGCTGTAGTTTTGAGAGCTTGAAGAAGTCCAGTTTCCTCATTTTGCATAAGAAAGCTGAGGTCCCCCAAAAAACCTCTTGTGAACAAACTGAATAGTGCTTAGCCACTGCCATAAACCTGTAGCACAGCAGCAGAGTCATACCCGTATGTACATAGAGATAGGAGAGAGGGGTGAGAATCTGCAACAGTAAAATACACAGATAAAAAGTACTTTATTAATTTGATGAGCATTAACAAATGCATATGCACATTAACCTATGTTCCTGTCAAGATATAGAAGAGTTCTGTTAGCTTAGAAAAGTTGTCTTGTGCCCCCTTGAAGTAAATCTCCCTCTGCTCTCACCCGGGCAATCACTGATCTTATTTCTGTCAACATAGATTGGTTTTTTCTGTTCCAGAGCTTCACATAAATGGAAGAGTATAGTATGTACACTTTTACATATGGCTTCTTTCACTCAGTATAATGCTTTTAAGATTCATTTATGTTGTTGACACCATAAGTCATTTCTCCTTTGCTGAGTAGTATGCTATTATATAAATGTACCATACTATGTTCATCTATTGTCTTGATAATGAATATTTGAGTTGTTTTCAGATTTGAGCTATAAACATTCATGCACAGGTCTTTCTGTATAACATGTTTTCATTTCTCTTTGACTTCTACCTACAACTGGACATAGAGTAGGTGTATGTTTAAATTTATGAGAATATGGCAGATTATTTTTCAAAGTGATTGCACCATTTTACACTCCTGCTAGTTCCAAAACTTGGTCAACATTTGATGTCATCAGTCTTTTTAATTTTATCATACAAATGGATGTGTAGTGGTATTTCATTGTGGTTTTAATTTGCATTTCTCTGATGACTAATGATATTGAACAATTTTTCATGTGCTTATTAACCATTCAAATATCTGCCTTTGTGAAGTATCTATTCAAGTCTTCTGCTCACTTGTAAATTTGGTTGCCTCTATTATCAAATTGTAGGCATTCTTTATATATTCTGGATATAAGTCCTTTGTCAAATATATAGATTACAAATATTGTTTTCTAGTCTGTAAATTCACTATTCATTTTCTTAACAATGATCTTAAGAGGTTTGATCTTCTAATAACCAAAAGTGCTTAAATTGAAAAAATTCCATTTGTCATTGTTTTGTTCTTTATAGCTACTGCTTTCTGGGTCCACCTAAGAAATGAAAACTAATTAAAGATTTCAAAAATGTTTCCTATGTTTTTTTCTAAATAGTGTTTCTCAACCTTTTATCCATGTGATTTTTAAAAAACAAACAAAGCAAAACAGCAACAAAAACCTTGCATTAATTTCCTAGGGTTGCCATAACAAAATTACAAACTGGTTGGCTTAAAACAACAGGAATGTATTCTCTCATAGTTCTGGAGGCTGGATCCAAAATTAAGATGTCAGCAGAGCAGAGCCATGCTCTCTTTGACAGCTCTAGAGGGGGATCCTACCGTGCCTCTTTGTAGCTTCTGTTGGTTTATCAGGAATCCTTGGTGCTCCTTGGCTCATAGAAGCTTCACTCCAGTTTCTGACTCATCTTCATGTGGCCTTCTCCCCATATGTCTGTGTCTGTTCATTTTACTTTTTTTTATAAAGACATCGGTCATATTGAATTAGGAGCCCACCTTACTCCAGTATACTCACATCTTAACTTATACCTTAATTATATCTGCAAAGATCCTATTTCCAAATAGGGTCATATTCACAGGTACCAGGGTTAGGACTTCAACACATTAAAAAAAAAAAAAAAAATCAACCCACAACACTCACAAATGAATCTTCTCTAGATGCTTTTTTCCTGATTACCCCAACATGAAATGTAAATACCACAGATTGACTGTATATCTGTTTATGTACTATAGTTCTTTTGAGGGCCACTAACTACAGTAATACCTATCTTTATACCAGTACCTCACTGTGTCTATATATGTAGCTTTGCAGTAAGGTTCTTACTTTTTAAAAATCATTTTGGCTATTTTACATTCTTTGCATTTCTAAGTAAATTTTAGAATCAACATGTCAATTGCTATCAAGGAAAACAAACCTACTGGGTTTTTCCTGAGATTACATTGAATATATAGATTAATTTGGAGAGAATGATCATTTTAGCAATACTGAGCCTCCCAATCCATGGTCATAGCATATCTTGTCATTTATTTAGATCTTCATTAATTTCTCTTAGCAGTGTCTTGTGGTTTTCAGTATACAGATATTACATATCTTTTGTTAATTTAATCCTAAGTGTTTTGTAGTTTTAGATACTATTCTAAATGATGTTGTTTTTACATGTTCATTTTACAGAAGATCATTGCCAGTATATAGAAATACAATTCTTTTGTATATTAACAAAATTGAATCCTATAACCTTGATGAGCTCACTTATTAGTTCTAGTGGTTTTACATAGATTCTCTAGGATTGTCTATGTTCACAATATGTTGTCTATAGAGAAAGACACTTTTTTTCTCCTTTTTCAATGGATATGCTTTTGATTTCTTTTGCTTACTTTATTACTCTGGCTAAATCTTCCAACATAATGTCAAATAGAATAAGAATTAATACATTTGTTTTGTTTCCAATCTTAGAAGGAGATTTTCAGATTTCACCATTAAGTATAATGTTAGCTGTAAGTTTGTTACAGATGCCCTTTATCAGACTAAGAAAATTTCTACTTCCAGTCTGCTGACAGTTTTTTTTAAATAAATGAGTGTTAAAAAATTATAAATATATTTTCCTCTGTATATTGAGATCATATGATTTTTGTCCTTTTTTTAAGTGTGGTGTATTCCATTAACTAATTTTCAAATCTTAAACCACCTTATATTTATGAAATAAACACCACTTGTTAATAATGTATTCTTCTTTTTATATTTTGCTAAATTTAATCTGCTGATAATTTGATAAGAATTGTGCATCTATACTTATAAAGAATATTAGTTTGTAGTTTGCTTGTAATGTCATTGGTTTTGGTGTCAAGGTTATTCTGGCCTCATAAAATGAATTGAAAATTATTATCTCCTTCTTTAAAATAAAAATGTTTAATATTAATATTATTTTTCCTTAAATGTTTGGTAGAATTAACCCATGCAACCAGCTGAGCTTTCCTTAGAAAAAAAGTTTTAGATTATCAATTCAATATCTTTCATAAATATGTCTATTCAGATTTTCTATTTCTTCTTGTATGAGCTTTGTTAATTTGTATCTTTCAAGGAATTTGTTCATTTTATCTACGCTGTTGAATTTACTGACAAATTTGTACATAATAATCTCTTTTCATCCCTTGAATGCCTGTAGGCCCTGTAATAATTGCTTCATCAATTCCTTACATGGGTGATTTTCATTTTCTTTCTTTTTTCCAAAGTCTATATCATCCAGTGTTTTATTAAAAAAAAAAAAAAATTTGAGACAGGTTCCCATTCTGTCACCCAGGCTGAAGTGCAGAGGCATGAAACCGGCTCACAACAGCCTCAACATCCCGGGCTCAGGTGATTGTCCCACCTCAGTCTTCCGAGTAGCTGGGACTACAGGCACGCACCACTATGCCCAGCTAATTTTTGTATTCTTTATAGAGACAGGGTTTTTCCGTGTTTCCCAGGCTGGTCTCAAACTGCAGCGCTCAACTGATCCACACACCTTGGTCTCCCAAAGTGCTGGGATCCACCGTGCCCAGCCTCAAATTTTTGTAACTTTTTAAAGAACCAACTTTTAGCTTCATTGCTTTTCTTTATTATTTATATATTTTCTATTTAATTGATTACACCTTGTACTTTTATTATTTCCTTTGTTTTAGTTTAATTTACTCTTGTTTTCCTATTTGCTTAAAGTGAAAACTTTTGTTATTGATTTTAAATCTGTTTTCTTTTTCAATGGAAGTAGTAAAGCTACAAACTTCTGCGTACTGCCTTAGGAGCATCTCGTGAGTTATTATTGTTAGCCCAAGTGGTGCCGTCCTATAAAACCTCGCCATTTTGCACACCGTGGTCAGGGTGGAAAATTCCACAGAGCGGCTTGGGCTGTGAGAACTGCAGGAAATTCCTGCCATATCACATACTGCCGAGCAGCTAGCCACCTCCGCCGTCCAAACCCAGTCTGTAAGTGGGACCTGGGCTCTGGCACTTGCTGGTGTTTCCCCTCCGCAGGTCTTTATCCAATAAACCTGTGTTGCTGTTGAGCCACCCCCCTTGTCTCTGTCTCTTGTCTCCGTCCTAACAATTATATCTTCTGTTTTTATTTCTATTTAGTTAATATTTTCTAATTTTCCTTATGATTTAGTCTTTTACCATAGGTTATCTAGAAGTGTCTTGTTTAATTTCCTAATAAATCGGAGAGTTTTCCACATCCCTTTCTGTTATTAATTTCTAACTTAATTCTACTATGGTCTGTGAGATTTCTCTTTTTAAATTTATTTATTGAGCCTATTTTATGGCCCAGCATAGGGTCTACATTGCAAATGTTCCATACGCACTTGAGAAAGAGTATTCTGTAGTTAGTGTGTATGGTGTTCTATAAAGGTTAATTAGGTCAAATTGTTTAACTTATATCTTTCTTGTCCTGTTATATATCCTTTCTAAATTTCTGTGTATATGTTTTATTAATTAGTGGGAGAAGAGTATGGAAATCTACAAAAAATAGTAAGTTTGTCTATTTTTCCATTAAGTTCTGTCAGCTTTACCTTCATGTATTGTGTAGCTCTGTTATCAGGTGCATACATATCTAGAATTGTTATGTCTTCTTGATTGATTGACCTATTTATCATTATAAAATGCTTGTCTCTAATAATGCTCTCCATCTTGAAGTTAACTTTGTCTGATGAGCCAGCTTTCCTATGATTAGCATTTGCATCATATACTTTTTATGTATTTGGCTTTCAATCTGCCAGTGCATTTAAATATGTAAAGCGAATCTCTTGTAAACAGCAGATAGTTGGGCCCTTATTTCTCCAATCTGACAATTTTTGCTTTTTAATTTCAGCGTCTGTTTTATTTCCATACAATGTAATCATTAATGTGGTTGGGTTTAAATCTAACATCCTGCTATTTAATGTCTATATGTGCTCTCTGTTTTTTGTTTATTTTTTTCCATTTTCCTCCATTATTCTGGGTTAATTAAGTAATGTTTAGTATTCCCTTTTATTTCTTCTTAGCAATTTCTGTGCTTATTTGTGTCAACGTCTGGGGGTTCCTCTGGAGGTTATCACCAACTTATCACAGACAACCTTCAAATAATACTATGCCACTTCATATGTAAGCAAAAACATTACAATGGTATATTTCAATTTGCACCCTCCCATTCTCTATGCTATTGTTCTTATAGATTTTACTTCCATATATGTTACAAGCTCCACCATAAATTATCAGTTTTGTTTTACATGGTGATTAATCATTTTAAATAACTATTGAGATATAATTGCCATATATATTTAAGAATCTTTGCCTACTCAAAAGTTAAAGAGATTTGTTTTCTTCTGTTTTCTTCGAGAAGTTTTATAATTTAGGTTTGACATTTAAGTTCGTGATTCATTTTGAGCTAATTTTTGTATATGCCATGAGGCATGGATTAGAATTTTTGTTCATATGATATCCAATTGTTTCAAGACTATTCTTCCTCTATTGAGTTATTTTTGTATCTTTGTCAAAATCAATTGATCATGTATGTATAAATCCATTTCTGGACTCTTCTGCTTTATTGATCTATTTGTTTGTCTTTCCACTGTAACCACAATATCTTGATTACTGTAGCTTTATAATAAATCCTGACATTAAGTACTGTAAGGCCTCTAAGCTTTCTCTTCTATTTTTAACAGTTTTTTGGCTACCCTGGGTTCTTTGCAATTCCAAATAAATTTTTAAATTAATTTCTACAAAAACCTTTCTGGAATTCTGATTGGTATAGTCAACTCTATAAACCAATTATGGGAGAACTGACATCTTAACAACATTGAATCTTCCAGTTCATGAACATGTTATATCATTCCATTTAGTTCAGTTTTTAATTTTCCTCAGAAACGCTATGTCATTTTCAGTGTGCAGGTCTTGTACAATATCTATTTGCCTTATATCTAAATATTTTCTGCATTTGATGGGATTGAAATAGTAAGTTTTTTTCATTTCTAATTATTCATTGTTAGTATAAAGAAATACAATTGATTTTTGTATATTGGTCTTACATCATATATGTACTTATTAGTTCTAATATTTTTATGTAGATTCATAAGACAGATGATTACATCAACTGTGAATAGAGACAGTTTGATTTTTTTTTCTTTCCAAATTAGATGTTTTTTATATCTTTTCTTTGCTATATTGCATGACTAGAACCTCCAGTTCTATGCTGAATAGAAGTAGTGGGAGCAGTCGTCCTTGCTTTCTTCCTGATTTTAGGGAAACATGTTAACTAATTAACTATTAAGTTTAATGTGTAGCTGTAGATGCCCTTGATCAAATTGAAAAAGTTGTCCTCTAGTTCTAGTTTTCTGAGAGTTTTCATGAGAAATGGATATTAGATTTTGTCAAATACTTTTTCTGCATATATCAAAATGGTCATGTTTTGTTTTTCATTTTGTTTCTTTAAGTCTGCCATGATAATTTACATAAATTAATTTTCAAAGGTTTCATCAATCTTGCATTCCTGTGATAAGCCTCATTATATATAAAATTGAATCCAACTATATAATAGTAAATTTTGTAAAGAAATTTTTCAGCTATGTTGTCTTCTTTTTTTGTAATGCTTATGTTTTGCTTAATCACCAGAGCAAGGCTACCATCATAGAATGAATTGGGCAGTATTCCCTTCTATTCAATTTTCTTTAATATTTTATATAGAATTGCTAATATTTCTTCCTTAAATGTTTGTTATAATTCACCAGTAAAGCCATCAGGGTATGGAGTGTATGTGTGTTTGTGTGTGTGTGTGTGTGTGTGCACGCACAAAGGTTTTTAACTACCAATTTGATTTCTTTAATAGATGTAGGCTGTCCGGGTTATCTATTTCCTCTTGAATGAAATTTGGTAGTTTGTGTCTTTTATGAAATTGGTCCTTGCCATCCAAGTTGTCAAATGTATTTGCATAAACCTGTTTATAATATTCCCTCATTATCTTTTTAACCTCTGTAGAATCTTTAGTGATGTCACGTCTCTCATTCCTGATGTTGGTGATTTGTGCCTTCTCTCTTTTACTCATGATCAGTTTGGTTTGAGCTTAATCAGTTATACTGAACGTTTCAAAGGACTAGCTTTTGGTTTCATTGATTTTCTCTTTTGTTTTTCTGTTTTCTATTTCATTTATTTTTGCTCTAATCTTTATTATTTCCTTTCATCTTTATAACTTAGATTTCATTCTCTTTTTGTAGCTTCTTAATATGAAAGCTGAGGTCACTAACTTGATACCTTTCTTCTTTCCCATTATAGGCATTTAGTTCTCTAAAAGTCTTTCTAAATAATAGTGTATAGCAGCATCCCACAAATTGTTATATGTTAGTTTCATTTTTATTCAATTAAAAAATACTCTATAATTTTCCTTTTTATTCCTTCTTTTACCCATGGAATATTAAGATATTTGGAAGGCAAATAAACATACAAAAAGTTGCCTATATATATACAAAGACTTGTATACAAATGTTCATAACAGTTTTATTTGTAATAGTAAAGAAAACAACCCAAATGTATATCAACAAGTAGAAGTATTATAATAAAAACTGTGGTACATCCACACAATAGTATACTACTCAACAAGAGAAAAGAATGACTATTAATACACACAACAACATGAATGAATCTCAACATAATTACGCTGCATGAAAAAAAGACAGATGAAAAAACACGTACTGTATGGTTCTAACATAAAATTCTGGAAAATGCATACTACTTCAAAGTGACACAGATCAGACCAGCAATTGCCTAAGAAACATGGGAGAGAACAGGAAGGGGTGGGAGGAGGGACTCCAAAGAGGCAAGAGAAAACTTCTGGGAGTGATGGACTTTCATCAACTCGATTGTGATGATGATTTCATAAGTGTGTATATATATGTCAAACCTATCAAATTTTACACATTATATGTGTGTAGTTCATAGTATATGAATTATACCTCTATACAGTCCTTAAAGAAAAAAACACAAATCCAGAACAGATACAATGGCTCTTCACTGCTCAGAACACTAGGACGGCTGCAGTGACTGGGTTACCTTGTCCGAGGTTGCCTGTTTTCCAACTTCAGGAGCTCTGCAATTCTTTGACTCAGTTTCCATGTCTACTTGATTCTCTGCTACTCTCTCTATTTCACTGCCCTCTGTGGGTTTATGTGTCATGTTAAAACTCCCCAAAAGAAGATCACAATTGACATTCAAGGAGCCTGGCCACCTCACAGTTCATGTAACTCTTTTTTATTTAGTGCATGTATGATTGTCCTTGTTAGGTTAATGCAACCAATTTCCTGTTCAATCTGTTGTGGCCAGGGAATCGGGGTCCATGATGGAAAGCAAAGCACCCTATGTGGCAGGAAGTGTCTTTGACTTTCCTTTAGAAGAGGACTGGAGCTGAGAGGATTTCTTAAACCCATTTCCTCCTCACCGTTACAAGTTAGGAGGCCACATCTTTCTATTCACATGTGCCTCCAGGAGCTCAGGCAACTCTTCCCTCATCTAGCAGTTTGCTGAAATGGGCTTGGCAACTACTTCCAGTCCTCCTCCAAGACAGGAATTTCCAAGACAGTGAGCATTTTAGCTCCTGCTGCTGGACAAGAATAGCAGACAAAGACTGACACATTGCTGAGTTATCTCCAAAGCACAAATGGCTCTCAGGCACAGTACATTACATAAGCAGAAAGTGTTACTGTATTCTCCCTGTGGCCAACTCCTGGATTGCAGAAAAGGTTAAGCATATAATACATCTGCATATCTTACATCTTACATAAATGTGTTACAACAAAAGGGAAGGGGAATCATTATATGAAAAACTAGAGTATGCTCTACCATCCCCAAAGATTGCAGACCATAGAAAGGTCATACACAGAAAGAAGAGAGCAGGCAGAGGCTCTCCTGGTAAAACATGGACTTGACTTGAAATTCTCCACCTCAGCTACTTTCTCCAAAGTCAAGGAACCACAAAACCCTGGTGTGTGAGTTTATTTTGGTTCACTGGGCTACTGTTTCTGCCAAGAAACACCTTGCTGCCACTTTGTCCTGCTTATTGTCATGCTGGTCACTTCCACGTACAGAATTAAGAGGCCATCACTGAGCAGAGGGAGGAGTGGAAGCTCAAATGTTTGTTATTGTTAAATTCACTCGTGCCCTTCTGAAACGTGTGCACGTGTGTAAAAGGACAGAGACAGAAGATTGATGTTTTTGCCTAAGAAATTTCTCCAAAACAAAGGCAATGGACCTAGAGCTTTTCAGTAAAGCTTATCTTTTCTCTTTTATCATCCCCCTTTCTCATTTCAAAGAGTTTCTTTTTTTCAGTGATTATTCCATAACGAGTAATGTGACAAACAACCATCATTACAAAGTCAGAAGCAAAAGATGGAGCTGTAAAATGTGAACGAATGTAAATCAAATATTCATGTGTGCTGGCAACAAAGAGTTGAGTGTTTTGCACTGTGGTTAAGTATCAATTACTGAAAACTAAGATACGTCACTATCTACATACACACACACACACCTACACACACACACACACACACACACACACACACACACGGGACAGCAATCTAAGTGGCACAAAGCACAGAACTTAGAGTCACCTGACTGGGCCCATGTCTCTGCCTTGCCACTTAACAGCTATGAGCAAATGTTTTCAAACTCTGAGTTTCAGTTTCTAATCAACTTACATAGATAAGAATTAACACCTGATCTACCCATTTCCCAAGACTATTGTGAGAATGAGATTATATAGAAAAAATGGTTACTGTATGCCATCATGTTTTTAACTAATATAATTCTCTGTAGAATAGCAAATGGCTTTTAACGATTAATTCACTCAACTTTTATTGAGTGTCTACTCTGTACCAAACATGTCTACTTCTTTGTAACAGTCCTTTTTAAGCTTTCAGATTCCAGGGTGATTTTCTATTTGGAAATAAGGATTTTATTGCTTCCATATCTTCTATGTAACTTCTATATTTAGGCTTCTATATAATAAAGAGGTATATATACATTACACACATACACACACACACACACACACACACAGTGACAGTAAGAGACGATCATGTCAATGTTATCCAGAAAGGTACCAATAAAACCAAGATAAAAATTAAAACTGCTTAAAAATAACAATACTTTACCCAGAAATGTGCTATGCTAAAGTATTTTAAGAAAAGAAATCACAAATAGTTGTTCTTAGCAACTTCATAATCTTGCTCTAAACTGGGAAAATACAGTTTGAAGCCTTCATCATCATCACTTCATTGGAGCTTCCAAGCTGTTGCAATTTATCATCCCATACTTTAAGTTTCTTTCTGATCTTCCACATCCTGAAGTTCTTTCTAGTTTAAGGATCTTGGTCCTACGTTTCCTTGTGCTGTGTATGTCGATTTTCTCCGTCACTGCCTGTCTGTTGTACTAAGTCAGTGTCTAAGCTCAAAAAGACAAAAGCAAAAGGGCAGGATTTGTGCTCGGTGTTTCTAGTCTGCTCGATCTTGAGATTTAGTTTATTTCAATAATTTAGAAGACTTCGGGTGACTTACTGAAAGTGCGTCATGAATAAACTGTAACAAATCAACTCCAAAATTGGAAGATGACTTAGGTTCCATGTTTTTCTTTCTGCATAGAGTTTGAATAAATAGACAAATTAATTTAAATTCAAAAGAAAATAATCACTGCTTTCCCTTGACATATTCATTAGAGGAGTTCAAGTAAAAATTTGGAATAAGGTATATACTATAAAAATTTTGTTGCTCTTTCATGTTCTTCATCAAAGTATCTGGGGAATGATGTTTTTCCTTTTAAAGTGCTTTATAGCACCTATTGTTTGTACAGGATTTCATTTTTTTTTACTGTATCTTTTTCTTTGAAAATGCAAATTACAAAAATAAATAGTAAAGGGATAAAATAACTTCAGTGTAATTTGCCACAACAGATCCAAAAAGCATGTAGAGTCTAATTTTTCATACCTGCAAGGGATGGAGTCAGTTGTCATACCCTACCTCAAACTGACACAGGGTTGGAGCTGTGTCTTCTACCCTATCCTCTTCTTCTTGGCCAAGAGCACAGCACTACATTGATTCACCTGCCACCCTGTATATACTCATGGCCACACCGCCTGTAGGACCCAACCCTTTTTCCTTGCTACCAGCCCATTCCCCAAACCACACAGAGGAAGGAGCAGCTTCACAGACAGCCCATAAGTCTAACAGCTTGAATAAGAGAGTAGTTCTTCATTTCAGCTGATATTTGGCTGGATCTGAATGGAAAATTCACCAATGGTGCTGAAAGAATATTTCATTTCTCCAGTATGCAGGATGTTCATTGAATACTTCCAAGAGAAGCAGGAAAGACTGGGATAATTAAACATTTGCTTGAGTGGAGCAAGAGAAAGAGCTCTTATTGACAATGTGACAATGCTGCAGTGTGATTATTATGGAAAGACCACCACTCACTGCTGTACCCAACCTCCTCCATGCTAACTCAACTCCAGGCACACTGTGGTTCAACCAGCAGTAACCCATTCCATAAACACCAGTCTGTTTGGAAATTTATGTCCTCTCACAGTATAAAGCCGCTGAGTGTAAATAAGATTCAACTTCTTTAAAATGGGCACAAAGGCATGCCCCCCTGACCAATATTATCCTTACTCCGTTTTGGTAAAAGCTAGTGTTCTTCTCAGTTATTTATAAAGCAATTATCAAATGAGTCCTCCTTTTGTACAGCGGCAAACCTTAAAGGGATGGAAAGGGTGGTTATGGAAATGTCACACAGGCTGAGCAGAACCAGTTGTTACAAAGACGAACTGTGTGGGAAGGAGGAGAGAAGGCAAGAACTGTACAGTATTTTGCTAAGTCTGAATTCTTTATTATTAGTTCAAATAAATAACAAAAATGGGTAATTACATAGCAGAAGTTCAAAAGAATCACTGACTTAAAATCCAATGAGTGCATCCTCATTAAGTCACTGGAGATAATATTCATTGCATATTACAGTCTGCTCATGGTTTTGAGCTTTGAACCTGTCACTTTAAAACTGGCACAAAAAAAAGCTTGTGCCAACATAGCTTATCCAAGACAGCATAAGCATAATTTTCCTGTTTCTTCTCTGTATTGTCTGTCTTTTGGGTGAGCAGATTCTCCTCTGAATTAGATCACCCTAATCCAATATCCCATTGTCTTCCAAGAAATAAAAATAAGTAACAAAACTGTTTTCTGTGATAGGGACTATGATTTGGCCTTTTATAATGAGCCCAGAGAAGTTGACTTTGTTTTATGCTCAATGTAAATCTTTTTTAAAATTTCAAAATCTCTTGAAATGTGAATCTTGTCCTCAAGAATTAATTGCAATGGAACATTATTAAAATGCTTCATTTTGGCATGCTTTGTACATTATGCATTCTTTTAAAAGCCTATCAGAAAAGCAATACACTAAAAGCGTGGCTTGAATCCTAGAGGACAACATTGCTCACAGTGTGTAAACACAGATAATTGGTACCCACCTTCTGGCCCATGAGACCAAACTACTTCATGGAAAATGTTCCAAATACAAAGAATTTAGCCATGAGCGTCTCTATGAAAGATATGTTTTATGAGAAATCTTCACAACTACACTAATTGGATATATAGAGCCAATAGCATCTGCTGCCCAACAACAGATTTTAAAAGGAAATCTCCAAAGCAGAGACTGTTAGTTGTTTTCCCACTATTCACTTCCTCCTTCTTCCTTTGCAAGAGAACAGACCCCTGAATCAATGGGTGTGGCAATTTGCCCAACTATGAAACTACGTTGTGTCTCTTATAGATAGGGATGATCAAAGAGATATGAGTAAAAGTCATTGAGTGTGGTTTCTTGGAAAGGGAATTGACTCAGATGGGAGGCAGGATGGAAAAGCTGTAGCTATGCCAGTATCTTGTAAGAATGAGGTTATCCTATGGCTGGAAGCCATCTACTAAGGAGAGTAGAGCAGAAGAATGTAAAAAGACTGGGTCCTCAAGGACATAGAGTCAACATATCAGTCCTCATTAGCCTACTTCTAAAGTTCTCTTTCATGAGAATAAAATGCACTTGTGCCTTATTTAAGCTGCTACGGCGTTGGGTCTTTCTTACTAGCAACCAAACCCAATCTTGTCTCCCTATTACCTTCCCAGTTGCATTTGACAAATATAATGCTTGGGGTATTAAATTATTAAAATTTAATTTAGATAATTGCAACTATTGGAAAATAGAATTCTGCAGTTATTTAGCATAATCATTTAAATGCAAAAGAATTTCTGGAGTGCAAGAGAGGCATAATAAAAAGTAATTTAGTAGGGATTAGGAATCTTTCGATCCAGCTCAGTTGTCAAAACACAAAAACAAAAGAAATAGAGCCATTATAAAAAGCAAATCATAGACATTGGCCCTTAGAAGGGGAATGTCATACACATAGCAGGATCAAAACCCAGAAAACCAGTCAGAAGACAGAGGCAAAGGAGGAGTATGTGTGTATAATGAATTAATGGGATTGAATAAAATAGGGAAATGGTATAAGCAACTACAAAGTAGGGAAATCCTTAGCAATAAGGAAAGCAGTCTTCTAAAATAGGAACTTGAGACTGTGGAATTATAGGATGATGCCTCTATGGTAGAAGAGGGTATAGCTATGGTAGAAGATGACAACTTTAGCCGGGACATTTAGACATATGGAATTAATTAGGTTCTAGGCCTGCAACCAGGCTCTCGGCTAGGTTTCCAGGAACAAGGCTCAAATCACCCTACAGAACTGGCCTGATAAGGCAATTGTTGACATGCCATTGCCAGCCTTGACCAATCCACACCACTTGACTTGAAGGCCCCACCACTGCTGTCATTTCTGTATTAGGAGCTGACCTCACCTGGACCACTCACTCAGCAACAAACCCTATTTCCTCACAATGCTCTTTTCTTATGTTTGTCATGCATATTTCTACAAAACACCTGGAAATTTGAGTTGAGAGGCAAGTCAGTACATTGGGAGGCAATACTAATAACAAAGGCCTTCCCCCAAATACATAAAGAGACTTGTCAAAACATGATGGGAAGCCATGAATAGGATAAGTGTGCACCACACAACTTCTGAAGATGAAAAATTCAAGAGGTTCTAGTTATTAAGCAAGAGAGAATAAGTAACTGGTTAAAGAATTAATCGGCTGGGCGTGGTGGCTCATGCCTGTAATCCCAGCACTTTGGGAGGCAGAGGTGGGCGAATCACCTGAGGTCAGGAGTTCACGACCAGCCTGCCCAACATGGAGAAGCCCCATCTCTACTAAAAATACAAAATTAGCCAGATGTGGTGGCTCATGCTTATAATCCCAGCTACTCGGGAGGCTGAGGCAGGAGAATCGCTCGAACCTGGGAGACGTAGGTTGCCGTGAGCCGAGACTGCACCGTTGCACTCCAGCCTGGGCAACAAGAGCAAAACTCCATCTCAAAAAAAAAAAAAAGCAATCAACTGGTAGAAGTCCAGCTTCAATTTGAAACTAGGGCCACCTCTGAGACTCAGCTAAGAAAGTCATGATGTCCGTGATCCAAAGATGCATGCATTCTCCTATTCAGCGACTATCTATTAATCACCAAACACATGTCAGGCCCTGTTATAGCACTGGAGATTCAGCAGTGAAAAAAATTGATAAAAGTTCTTGTTGCTGTGGAACTTGCATTTCGCTGATAAAACAAACAGGACCTAGAGGCCAGATTTAAGAGTAAGTCATTGCATACGTGTGGCTCATTCAGATATGTTGAGCTGTGTTTCCCTAATTCCTTTCCCAGTATCTCCCCAAGCATGTTTTGCTAAATGAAAAATGTGCTACAAGAATAAAGGGGCTAATAAATGTAACGTGATGAAATACGTTTGGGATATGGCAACAGAGACCACAGTCAACAACAAGTTTGCTGAAGGCAGGATTTCTCAGAGGCATTAATGAATTATTGTGCGTCAGAAACCTTCAAGAAGGGGTTAGAGTATGTTTGGCATGTGTGTGAAACTTACATGATCACAAAACCTTTTTCATGAACCATATTGCAGAACTAGAATTCTCAGGAAAACTTTAGAAAATGCTGTTTTACTGTGTAACGAAGTTGATTTTGATCTCTGAAAGTAACTGCTAGAAGAAGTGGAGGACATGGCCCATAATATTATAATAGCAGCTGTGAAGCTTGGATTCTGTTTCAATATAGCAGACTAAAGAGAATACTCCTTGCTCTTTGAGTGAAAACAGCAGGAGAATGCAGCAGTACAGATGAGAAACTATGTTTTAGGAGGTCCTGGGCAGTTTTCACGTAAGAGAATTTTCTTAAGAAAAAAAAAGTTAAAAAGATCATCATGGTTGACTTGAGAAGGAGATGTGACAAGAGAGAAATATATAAAACATGGGTAATAAACCATCTTATATTCTATTAAGGAGCCCTATTCACAGAAAAAAATAAGGATCATATACAAAAGAAACTTTTTCTTACTGAGAGAAATATAAAATGTGCAATTCATATGCTTTTCAAATTACCAACAGGGAACACAGCATTGAAAGTAATTTTAATCCCTTTCTTCACAAAACCTTTCATTAGAACCATGAAAAAAATAGCAAATAGCTCTCATTTTCATCTGACCTGTCCATACCCTTACAGGGTATTGATGAATAGGTGAAAAGCCAGAGCACAACACACACGCGCGCATGCACACACACACACACACACGCACACTGACACGTGGGAAATGAATAATCTCTATGGGGTGGAATAAAAAGCCTTTATATTTAGGTAATTGACAATTCACAGAAACCCTTAAAGGGAGTAATGAGAAGCCTTGAGCACAGAAGGCACCAAATGTAGGGAAATATTTTTGAAGGATTATGTGAATCCTACTCCTTTCCCTAGAGGCCAAAGTCAGATGAAACAAACCAGCATTTTGAACTCTGAGCCCTCCTCCATCTTTCAAGAGTCCTGATTTAGAAGTATCAAAGGTTGGGAAATTTCTCATTCCATTTCTTCTGTATCAGTGGACAATAAAACACCACATTGTTTTCGAAGTTCTGCTCAGAATGAACACCGGGGTAAATTGCTGGGGATCTGCAATTAAATTGTTTATTTTGTAAAACTCAAGTAGCATTTTTACAAGTTCAGATGAAAAATTATCAGCCTTGAAATACGTATACAAAACAATTTCTGATTGAAAAAGCTTCCTAGATCACCCCTCTCTGCATTATTGGCTTTTATTGGATTTAGTATGTCTAATTGGGCATGTGGATATCAGGGCCATATTGACAAAAATAAATATCAAAAAGTATTATGTAGAAACTGCAATAGCCTCAAAACGACACTGGTTATTATGAGAAGTCTATTAAGGAAGAAAATAGCATAGTTTTACCCCTGAGGAGTTGATCGTCTTCTTGAGGAGATGAGATTATACCTGGGAAACAAGTAGATTTGTAACAAAGGAGGCCTCAAGCAGGAGCAGCCCCCGATTTCAACATAGAGCAATGAAAGAAGGGGCCAGCATCACAGAAGCCAGTGGCCAGGTCTCTGTCAACTTAGGAGCTGCAGTGCAACAGCAGAGCAGAGTGGCACAATTGATGGTCTTCGCACTGACCACAGGGCCTGGGACAGCTGTAGAGGGGCTGTCTAGCAGCCTGGAGACAAGAAGGAGAATGAGAGTCATGGAAGAGAAGAGTCTGACAGGGTCTAGAAATAAGGTTAGCAATCTGGGTTGGTGAATCTAAACTTCATGGGAGAGATGGCTGAGAAGGAAAATCCTAAAGACTAATCCAGCCTCCATTTTACTTTTATTTCCCCTTCTTCTCTAAAATTGATGTTTCTGTCCCGTTTTCTCTTTTAAAAGATAAAAGAAATGTCTCAAAAATGTAGCCTTCATTGAACATCAGCCAGCATTCTCATAGCAAATATATTAATGTCTTTGTCCAAACAGACGAGCAGAAGTGTTTGAAATCGCTGAATATATCACTAATTATTTTCAATTATTGCCAAAACAGGAAAGGGAAAGAAAATGTCTCATTTGTGGCCATCCCATACTCATTTGTGACCTAATCATAAAGTCTCTACCCAAAGCACAGTGATTAGTTAGGGTTAGTACGGTAAAGCCAGGGTCTGCTGGAATGAGAAGCCCTGGAGCTGCTTGCGCAGTCTTGCTGGTGCCTTCCTTGCCTTGTACGGTCAGCACCGGCATGTGCACTCAGCATCCAAGGTTTGCCATGAAAGACGCACGGACAGCCAGTTCTATTGCAGCATAGCCACGGACATACCTGCTGTGCCAGGCTCAGCGCTGCCTTCTCATCTCACGTGCTGGCAACTTCACAGGGCAGAGCTTCTGTCTGATGCTCTTCTTACCAGAACTACTAAGAGTTATGTTCCTGTTGAAGTTTATCAATTCATGTTAATGGCAGTAAATATGTAAACCAACTGTTCCATATTTACCAAAACCACACATTAATCATTATGGGTCTTCAGAAAAATAAACTGATAGAAAGATTTAAATATAGATATAGAAAAAGGGTGACTTAGCGGCAAAAACGATCAGATCATGATGAAGCATTCAGAAGATATTTCAATGGCAGATCCATCCATTCAATGTGTAGGCTATAAATTATGTTTAATCCATTGAAGAATCACATCTAATCTCCTGTGCCTCTCTGAATCATTGTGACAACTTTCTGTTACTTTTTGTCTCCTCCCACGGGGCAAAAAGCTACCCAAAGGCAGGGACTTGGTCTCATTCACCTTCATGTCTTCTGCCTCTGGTAGAGAGGTAGTCTCATAAGGAACACTCAAAAACTGTTGCTGAATGAATGAGTACAGAATCTTCCCCAGAAAGAGATTATAAATTAGTACTATTGTAAGGGAGGTGACACATATTATAATATCTATAATACAAGGTAGAAAATAATAAATTTTATAAAGGAGGTTTAAAACAAAGTACAGTCGATTCTCATTGTTAGCAACAAGAGTTATGGCCCATAAAATTGCTCTGAACACTGAATTAGCAAGCACTAAATAGTTGCTCCTAGGAGAAATACAAGATTAGGTTCCTGGGAGCCTCTGCCAGTTGCGTTATATAGGTTTGTTTGAGAACTTCCTTGTAAAACAAGCCAGTCTCATCAGCATTGAAAACCTGCTCTTCCACATAACTCTTTCCCTGAATGATATTTAGCAACTATTTTTTAATTTTTTTTTTCTGAGACAGAATCTCGCTCTGTCACCCAGGCTGGAGTGCGGTGGCACAATCTTGGCTCACTGCAACCTCCGCCTCCCAGATTCAAGCAATTCTCCGGCTTCAGCCTCCCGAGTAGCTGGGATTACAGGCGTGTGCCACAACACCTGCTAATTTTTGTATTTTTAGTAGAGATAGGGTTTCAATTCTTCTGTAGCCTTCTGATCTGTAGAATCTGCCTCATCTGCAAGTTTAATAACTTTCACACCATATCACCTTTTGGAATGTGTGAACCAGCCAAGCCAATGCTAGCCAAAAATAGTGTCACATTCTCCTGATCCAGGGAAATGTGACCATAAATTTCTTTGGCTTCCAGTCTCACAACTCTGCTGTCTGCTATGTGTTTTTTAATCAGTTATCATGTCTAACTGCTTTTCTGCTTTTTCCATAGACTCATCACACACTACAGATGTTACTTTAGCAACCTCCACAGTGGCCCAGATTAGCGAATATCTCCTTTCTTTTTCTGGATGTACTGTATTGTTGATTCATCAACATTGAATTCATGGCCAACATCATATAACTCATGCCTGAAGGAAGCCTATTTAACATATGCATTTTCTCACGAGGCACATCACAGCCTTCTTGTACTTAGGAACACTAGACAGCACGGGGGACCATTTTAAGTAGCAAAATTACTAACAAAAAGCATCAAAATGCAAAAAACATGGCACTGAATAGACTTCCAAAAGGTCTTTTATTTAACATGAGAGCAGAAACAAAAAGGCAGAGTGTGGCCCTGTTTGACCTCAGCTGGGAACATGAGCATTTAGGCAACTCAGATTTTTCACCACTCTATGCGTGTCCACATATGACCTCAAACGTGCCACAAATATTGATCTGGAGTTTATAACCAAATTTAGCGAGTAGGTGAATTCGCAAATATAGAATCTAAGAAGAAGGAGAAGTACAGTGGGGATGAGTTCCGGAGGAAAGAAAGTCCTCTCAAAGGATTATTCTGAGATTCAAATGAGATCATCCATATAAAGGATTCAGCATCATGCCTGACAAACAGGCATCAATAGATTCTTATTCTCTGACTGGTCAAATGAGGTCACACCTCAGAGAGGAGGGAACTTTGAACTGGCCCCTGAAAGACAGATTCGAGACACGGATATGGATGGATGAGAAGAAAACTATTCAAGGCAGAAAGAAAAGTATAAGCCAAGGCAAAGAGGCAGGATATTAAAGAATGTATACAGGGGGAATCAAATGGCCACAACCTGGCTGAATCCAACACTGTATAAAGGAACTTGGTAAGAAAGAATTTGAAAAGGCAGGTTGGGCCAATTTACAGAGGGCCTTAAATTCCAGGCTGATGAATCTGGACACAATATAACAGGCCACAGAGCAGTCTTGGTGTTTGTTAAAGAGGAAAGTAGTGCTCAGAGCTGAGTTTCCAGAAGAATAAGCTGAGGATGGCATGTAAAAGTAATGGTGGTGTGGGGGCAGGAACTCAGGAAACCACTCGGAAAGTAAGAGTATCACTGATTGTAATATTCTTGTGGTCATTTTGTGATTTTGGAAGAATTGGATGGGGGTTAAAAAGGAAGAAAGAGGAAGGGTTTCAATGAAATACCTTCCCAAACCTCTTGACGAAAATAATTACTTGAGTCCTCATCAGTAATACAAATCCGCAGGCCTCAACCCATACCCTTGGGATGTGAATCTCCAGCACAGTGGTCTGGGGAACTGTCTGTCTGCCAGCCCCTCAGGTTGTTCTTTCCATCAGGGAAGTCTGGGAAACACTGTTTCTGAGCTACAGAAACTGAGAACAGCTACTCTACATAACCAAGCTGAGGACAAGAGAAATACCTAGACCCCATGTTTCCAAGCTCCAGTCTTCACCACTGCTGACTTGTTTTCTCAAGCAATTCTGTGCTTCCCTAAAGAAGCAAGTATGCTCACTCACGTGGAGCCCACCACCCCCAGCCTGGTAGTGAGGGAGTGCAATCGGTTTCATTAATAAAGCAGCCTCAGAGAGGAATTTCATTTAAAAACAGAGACAACTAACTATATTAGTTTGAAATAAGTTCTGTACTTTCTAAACTCTAAATACAAATTCATTAGTTTTTAATTCTTTTTTAAAAATCCAGATTCCACAACTCTATGAACTGTTTAATATGAATTCCCACTACAAATTCTAGAGCAGGAATACAAGGTATTTTCTATATTTACATTTAAGCAAACAGGTGTGAAGCAAGTAAAATGTGTTCAGAATTGCTTTAGACTCTACTAATGAACTGTGAAGATTTATTTTATGATCCGTGTCATAACGAATTCTATGGAGCACTAACAGAACCAAAAGGAAGACTTACAATTTTCAACAGTAGATATTAGATGGTTAAGACATCCCAGGAATCCAGTGTGTTTTTAGTAGATGTTATTAACACATTGTTGAGTAGGTTACACTGTATTGAAGAGGGCTCTAGAAAACAGACAGTGGGCACAAAGCTACACTGAGGACTGCATTAGAATGTATGCTTATTATTTAAATTTCCCTGAGATAATTTATACACTATTCATTTCCAACAAAAGATCAAGCGAGGCGTGGTGGCTTACGCCCTGTAATCCCAGTACTTTGGGGGGTCAAGGTGGGTGATCACCTAATGTCAGGAGTTTGAGACCAGCCTGGCCAACATGGTGAAATCCCGTCTCTACTAAAAAGACAAAAATTAGCTGGGCATGGTGGCACATGCCTGTAACCCCAGCTACTCGGGAGGCTGAAACATGAGAATTGCTTGAACCTGGGAGACGGAGGTTGCAGTGAGTCGAAATCACATCACTGCACTCCAGACTACATGACAGAGCAAGATTCGGTTTGAAGAAAATTTTAAAAAGATCGGAAGTCATATAATATTGGTATCTTAAAAAATTTAAAGTAATTACACAACTAAACTGGAGCTTAACCCACAAGGGCTCTTGGCTTTGCCCAGGAAAGAATTCAGGGGCGAGCAAGAGATGGAAGAAAGCAGCTCTATTGAAGTGGCAGTGTTACAGCTCCGGTGGTGTTACAGCTCCATGACTGCTCCTGCAGAGCAGGGATACACCTCAGGCCGTGTGCTCAGGGTAGCAGCTCAGGGCAGTTTTGCAGTCATATTTATACCGACTTTTAATTACATGTAGATTAAGGGGTGGTTTATGCAGAAATTTCTAGGGAAATTTCTTTTGGGTTGTTGGGTCATTGCCTTGGAAAGAGGTGGTAATTCCTGAGTGTTGCCATGGCAATGGTAAACTGACATGGCACACTGGTGGGCATGTATTATGGAAAGCTGCTTCCTCCCAGTCCATTTTAACTAGTCCTCAATTTGGTCTGGTGTCTGAGCCCCGTCTCTGGAATCGAGTCCTGTCTCCGCCTCCTACCCCAACAGAGTAAGACTTTCTCAGCCTCCTGCACCACCCCACCTATTAGCCAAAGAGAGGAAATCCCTGATAACCATTACACTGCCCTATTTATGTCTTTAAGATAGAGTAAGGAGTTACAGGTACATAGTGTCTTGTATTTATTAATAACAACCATATCATTATGACAGAAAGCATGATGAGCAATAGCGAAAGTGTGTTTTTAAAAAAGCAACACCATGGATATCTGATCAAAACTTTGTTTTGTGAGCAATATAATTTAATACATGCTATTAGTATATAGTATGGGCTGTAGAAAAAATAGAATGCAGTATTTACCAATGTGCTTATGAAATCTATGGAAATTGGTATTTCTTGTTTTTCTCGGGGGTCAGCATGATGTCACAGAAAGTGCACAGTTATTTAGAGGCCAAAAGCCTAGATGTGTAAATCATGTTTGCCTGACTTAGCAGCTGTGTGGCCTTGTGGACCTTCCTTCAACCCCTCTCAGCTTCCATTTCTCCTCTGGAATATGGGAGTCATAACTGCTACACGGAACAGTTTTGAAAATGAAATGAGAAAACACATAAAGAACCCAGGTCAGGACATTGGCTCATAGCAGCCATTCAGTGCGTGTTGGTTTCCTTATTCCCTTCACCTTTCTGGATTAGGTCACATCCAGTGCTTCCCACATGCCAAGGCCAGTCTGAATGTCTGGCTCTCAAACTTTTGGGGATCCAGATGCTTTGTGCCTCTAATTAAGGTTATAGATCATCTCCCCTAACAAGTTCATGTGCATATAACATTTTGCAGGCAATTTCTCACAGACTCCCTAGTATTCACTTATGGACCCACTTGGGGTCCACAAATCCAGGTTAAGAATGCTGGACCTAAAGAATCTTGGGACAGTAAAGGACTGTGGTGTGTATGAAAGATTTGCTCACCAACTATAAAGAAACTAGAGGTCCTAATCATCTCCAAGACACTATCTGGCAAGTTATATATTTCTGAAGCCTGAATTGACATGTACAGGTCCATCTTGTGGCACTAGTAATAGCATTCTCACACACACACACATATGCATACACACACATGCACACACACATGCTGGCACACACACACATCAAGTATCAATTTGCGATCACTAGTTTACATGGAAACTAGGAGCTTCATTGGAATAAAAGCTTGAACAATAGCCAGTACTATGGTTCGGACATCTCAGATATTCATGATCGAGTAGGAGTCAAAGATGCAATGGAAACCACAGTGAAGAAAGGAACCGAAAAGAAAATTCACCAAGCAGAGGAAATCAGCAACAAGTCCTGGCAGGTCACAAAGAGAGAGTTTCAGGTGGTGACCTATGCTTAAAGCCTTTGTTAAATCTAGCTGTCTGGGCGGCATGTGTGATCCTGGAGAGAAAGGAGCCTATGTAACAATGGAAAGAGCTGTTCCACCAAACCCTGCAATGCCTTATGACCATGTGATCCACTGC
This sequence comes from Homo sapiens, assembly GCF_000001405.40. Taxonomy (NCBI): domain Eukaryota; kingdom Metazoa; phylum Chordata; class Mammalia; order Primates; family Hominidae; genus Homo; species Homo sapiens. The sequence continues at coordinate 111,176,954 of NC_000011.10, forward strand.
AGTTCATCCTGCCCCAATTAAGTGCAACACAGAAGAAAAAGCATTTTCCTTCCCCATTCCATGGAGGGGCTGATGGCAGTGGTGGCCTGGATGAATCAGGAGGGATCTGGGCATAACTGGGGACAGAGGCCCATGCAGAAAGCTGGAACCAGAGAAGGGGCACTAATTGGCATGACAGAGGACAAAATAAGAGTAACCTGGACCCACAGGCACAAGTAAGAACCCTTAAGGGATGCCCAGAATACTTGAGAGAAGGTGTTTAATATCATTAAAAGCTCAGATTGTGTCTGTGGGTGTATGTGTGTGCATGCACACACAAGGGCATGTACATATGTATGTATATATGAAAGTTATAAGTGAGAGGTGGTGTCTTAGTCCATTGTGTGCTGCTGTAACAAAATATTACATATGTGGTAATTTATAAAGAAAAGAAATTTATTTCTGACAGGTCTGTAGGCTAGGAAGTGCAAGGTTGAGTGAGTGGCCTGAATCTGGTGAGGGCCTTCCTGCTGCATCATCCTGTGGTGGAAAGCAAAAGGGGAAGAGAGTGCAAAAAAACAAGAGACAGCAAGAGAAGGCTGAATTCCCCTTTATAACAAATCTACTCTTGCAATAACAAGCCCACTTCCTCAATAATAACATTAATCCATCCATAAGGGCTAATTAGGGCTAATGACTTAATCAGTTCTTAAAGCTCCCATCTCTCAACATTGTTGTGTTGGGGATTAAGTTTCCAACACATGAAATCTGGGGGGTATATTCAAACCACAGCAGGTCACAAGTCCTCCCTGCTTCATAGGCTCCTTCTCTGGACCAAACCCTTCTTCCTGTTTTTATTCTTGCCTGCACACCTGGTCCAAGATGCTTAAGATAACAGGCTCTGGGGCCAGAGTGCTAGGCTTTAATCCTGACTCTACTACATAACACGGTCACTTTAGACTATTGTTTTAACCTTTCTGTGCCTCAGTGTTTGAGTATTAATGTTAGTATAACCCTATTCACACAAACCTGCTCCTGCTCTTTTTTTTTTTTTTTTTTTTTTTTTGAGATGGAGTCTCACTCTGTCACCCAGGCTAGGGTGCAGTGGTAAGATCTCAGCTCACTGCAACGTCCGCCTCCTGGGTTCAAGCAATTTTCCTGCCTCAGCCTCCTGAGTAGCTGGGACTACAGGCACGCACCACTACACCCAGCTAATTTTTGTATTTTTAGTAGAGATAGGGTTTCACCATGTTGGCCAGGATGGTCTCACTCTCCTGACCTCGTGATCAGCCCGTCTTAGCCTCCAAAAGTGCTGGGATTACAGGTGTGAGCCACCGCGCCCAGCCACAAATCTGCTTTTAATATTTAGGGGCATTCTAGCAATATATACAAGGGAAAATGTTCACTGCTGTATTACAGGTGTGATACAGTTTGGATGTTTTCCCCTTTAAATCTCATGTTAAATTGTGATCCCCAGTGTTGGAGGTGGGACCTGGCGGGAGGTGATTTGCTCATGGGGCAGATTTCTCATGAATGATTTAGCACCATCCTCTTGGCACTGTCCTCAAGATAGCGAGTTGAGTTCTGGAGATCTGGCTGTTTAAAAGTGTGTGACCCCTCCCCGCCCCCTCTCTTGCTGTCTGTCTTGCCATGTGAGATGTCTGCTGCCCCTTTGCCTTCTGTCATGACTGTAAGCTTCCTGAGGCCCCCCCAGGAGCTGATACTGGTGCTATGCTTCCAGTACATCCTGCAGAACCATGAGCCAATTAAACCTCTTTTCTTATAAACTGCCCAGCCTCAGGTATTCCTTTATAGCAATGCAAGAACAACCTAACGTAAGGCGCCCAAATCATTTTCTCCATGAATTAATCCCTCTCATCCTCTACTCATCCCAAGTGCCCTTTCTCAGAGAGTCTGCATCAAGAATTCCTATCGAGTAGTCAGTGAGCAGGGCAGTTATACCCATCTGTTTAGCCACAGCTAACTGAACCAAGAGTGGACACCTAGCCCAAGCATCAGATCCCCTTCCACAATTCTGAATGGAGATCCAGAGAGCTGGGTCAGAATGTGAACATGCACCTAGAATGATTTAAAGCTACAGTCAGGTCAAGTAAATGCAAAGAAGAAAGGGTCATTTTGAGAAAAAATATAGACAATAATTAGACAGAGAGAGGAGCAGAAATGTGAGACCACACAGCTCATAAGAGGGAGAGGGGAGAGGAAGCCCAGCAGCATTTCTTACCCTTGGTTCCATGAGGGACTTCTATATCCACCTCCTCTCAGATCTTAAGTTTGCTGGAGTGGCTTTCAGGTACTTGGCACCAAACAATTCTAACACAAGTGTTATCCAAAGGAGTTTAGATAGGTTAGGTACCTAAGTGTCATCCTTGTACAAATGTGGCTGCCACAGACAAGACCAGAAGCCAGATCATGCCAATTTCTGCATAGCAGAAGGTATGGAGTTCCTGATTGCCTCAGGGGGAAGTAGGTAAAAATAATAATATTCTCTCATTCAGGCTGAAAGGGTTCTGAGTTTTCTTTGATGTAACTACATCATTGGACCAAATTATCTACCAAATTCTTCCATTAGATTCATATTTTAAAGTTATCTTTTAATTATCTATTTAAAAGTGCATTATAAATAGCTATGCAAAAATTACCACATTTCAGAATTCTTCATCTAAATTTAGCTTTAGGCTAAGAAAAACCACATTATCCTTAAATGAGAAAAAAATATAAAGGCAATTGTGATGACACATTGTTCCTGTTTTGGCTTGTTCCGGTAACATTTCAAACTGTTACTAGAAATAACGAGATTTTTTTTCAAACCTATGTGTTCTCTTTACCATCTCTACTTGTATGGGAGGTATGTGTGTGCACGTGTACTATGTGAATGTGTGTATATGGACATGAGTGTATATGGATCAGAGTGTGTATACGTAAGTATATACATTTGTGTAAATGTATGTACGTGTGTATGAGTGTGTGTACCTATGTGAGTGTGTGCACATGCATGTGAGTGTGTGTACATGCGTGCAGTGGGTAATAGTGAGCAATAACAAAGCCTCCCTACTTCTTAGGCTCCGCTGGTCCAAACCCTTCTCAGTCTCATTCTTGCCTGCACCTCTAGTCCAAGATGCTTAAAAGAACAGGTTCTGGGGCCAGAGTGCTGGGTTCTAATCCTGGCTCTGCCGCATAGTGCTATATGACTTTAGCCTTCAGTTTTCTCATCTGTAAAAAGAGGTTAATTAGCGTACCCATATAATAATTTTGTAAAGGTTAAATGAATAGATATAAAACTCTTAGAACCATGCTTAATACTGAATAAATATGCAAAAATATTAAGCCCTATTAGAATTAATCATGTCCCTTAATTATAAGAAAAGCAGTTTCTTTTTTTATTGAACCCCAGATCCACCCCTCAATTTCAGATTGAGACTGTTCTGCTTATTGGTGAACCCCTGACTCAGTAACCCCAGAGTGTAACATAAGATTTTCTGGTATTAAGTTTAGCTATAAGGATCTGTTAGCCTCTAGGGAGGCATCACCTCAGGGCTATCTCACTTTTAAGATTTTACAACCTGGCTCCCACCTTTCATAGGCCCCAGAATTGCAGAATATCTCTCTTTTTTCTCAAGAGGTCCATCTTCTCCATTCCTAACTGCCACCCCCCACCACACGCGTGCGCGCACACACACACACCCCCATGAACTTCTTCACATCTTCACCATCCTAAAGATCTTTCTCTCGCCTAGAAAACACGTCTGCTTCTACAAGGAATAAGCATGCACTTTTAAAGTCCTTGTTCAAATTACACAACCTTCTCTAGTACACCCTCTCTTTTGCTAATCCCGGTATACACAGAGGGTCCTATTTATATTTTACCATAACCACAACTACTACCTTGGGTTATATTTCAGTTGTGTGTGTGTGTTTGTGTAGGAAAAGTTAAATATTAAATTTGAACTCAATTGAACGAGAACACAAACAATGGTCACCAAGTCCCGGAAGAGGTTGTGTGAGCCCCTTTAGGCATTCATCCAGTGCTGTTTTGGAGAAATCTCTATTTCAATCTATTCCTATATGTTAGTTATTGAAAAACAATAGACAATCGCAAAAATAAGTTGACCTTTTTGTGTTCCTTGAGCCCAGTCGCGAAGGGCCCTCATGACTGGGCCTCATGTCAAACAACTTGTTACAAAAAGACCTAGGGTCCCAGTCTGTGCCAATGTTTCATGAGACCTCTCCTCATCTGTGCATGGATGAGTGACTGACTCTGGAGCCCAGGCTGTTGCTTCCTGGTCTGGTGGTGAATCCTCCATAGTCTGGTGGGTATATATATATACACACATATATATATGTGTGTATATATATATACATATATATATGTGTGTATATATATATATATATATATATAATCTTTTCCCTTCTCCACTTCCCATTGCAATTGGCTTATTATATCAATTTGCTTATTATATCATTTGCTTATTATATCTGCATTGCCATTTACATGTGATAAAGGTTGTTTACCCTTAAAGGTATTGTGTGTGTGTGTGTCTTTTCTTCTCCCCTCGCATGCTTCCTGCACAGAGCAGTGTGTATGTAGGGCATTTCACAGAACAAAAGCCTATATTTTTTATATACATATACATATACATATATATATATATATTTTTTTTTTTTTCTCTGTGTGTGTGTGTGTGTGTGTATACACACACATATATCTCCTGTGATGATGTCAACCAGGTCTCAGGAATCCAGTGAGTTTGAGGTAGGGTCAGTCATTAAATGCATTGGTGTTCCAGCCTGGGAAACATGGCAAAACTCTGTCTCTACAAAAAAATATGAAAATTAGCTAGCTGTGGTGGTGTGTGCGGGTTGGCCCACCTTCTCAGGAGGATTGCTTAAGCCCGAGAGGTTGAGGCTGTAGTGAGCTGCCATCACGCCACTGCACTCCAGCCTGGGTGACAGAGCAAGACCTTGTCTCAAAAAAAAAAAAAAAAAATGCATTGGTGTTGACATCTGTTCCTCAGTGCCCAGAATCCTAAATAGTGGGGAATAATGACCACTTCGTAAAAAAAAAATTCTGGATGGCATACCAGATGGACAAGGAACTCACTCGAGGGAGAAAAAAATGGGGTGCCATAGTATGAAAAGTGCCCATTTTTATATGAAACACAGTTGCATGTATAAAAATGACGAAAAGTAGAACTGGAATATACCAATAAGCAAGTCAAACTAAAGATCTTAACAATCTAGATACTAATAAGAAATTGGTGTACATGGCTCCTGCATTCTCCCCACCTTGGTGGCAATGACTGGAGACAACAGCTAAAACAATATCGAAATCAGTGATAGTTCAGGCCACACAGGAGGCTCAGTTTCATCCTGGAGATTAGGAAGTAAGTCCTAATGGAGTGACAATGATACATCACTAATGCAAAGACCTCTAGTGGTCCCTTATAAACTTGTTTGATTCTCTTTAAGGGCTGTGAAATAAAAAAAATCAAGTGATTTTGCTAGAGAACTGTGTTTCAGAATACCATGAATATTACTGTGATATAGTTTGGATGTCCTCTCCAAATCTAATATTAAGTTGTAATCCCCAGTGTTGGAGGTGGCATCTGGTGGGAGGTGTTAGTATCATAGGGGATGATCCCTCATAGCTTGGTGCTGTCCTCATGACAGTGAGTGAGTTCTCGTAAGATCTATTTGTTAGGCCTGGCGCAGTGGCTCACGCCTGTAATCCCAGCACTTTGGGAGGCCAAGATGGGGGGATCACGAAGTCAGGAGATCGAGACCATCCTGGCTAAAATGGTAAAACCCTGTCTCTTACTAAAATACAAAAAATTAGCCAGGCCTGGTGACACATGCCTGTAATCCCAGCTACTTGGGAGGCTGAGGCAGGAGAATCGCTTGAACTCAGGAGGCGGAGGTTGCAGTGAACCAAGATCGCACCATTGCACTCCAGCCTGGGTGACAGAGCAAGACTCCATCTCTTAAAAAAAAAAAAAAAAAAAAAAAAAAACTATTTGTTTAAAAGTGTGTGGCACCTCCCCCCTGCTCTTGCTCTCCTGCTCTTGCCATGTAATGTGTCTGCTTCCACTTCACCTTCCTCCATGTCTAGAAGCTCCCTAAGTCCTCCCCAGAAGCCAAGCAGATGCTGGTGTCATGCTTGTACAGTCTGCAGAACCATGAGTCAATTAAACCTGTTTCCTTTACCCAGCCTGAGGTATTCCTTTATAGTAACATAAGAATGTCCTAACACAGAAAATTGGTACCAAGGAGTGTGGCATTGCTATAAAGAAACCTAAAAATGTGGAAGCAGCTTTGAAAATGGGTAATAGGCCAAGGTTGGAAGAGTTTGGAGGGCTCAGAAGAAGACAGAAAGATGAGGGAAACTTTGGAATTTCTTAGAGACTGGTTAAATGGTTTTGAGCAAAATCCTGATAGTATTAATAACATGGACAGTGAGATCCAGGCTGATGAAGTCTCAGATGGAAATGAGGATTTTGGGGGAAACTGGAGGAAATGTCACCTTTGTTATGTCTTAACAAAAAAACGTGGCTGCATTCCGTTAATGCCCTAGAGATCTGTGGAAGTTTGAAATTAAGAACGATAACTTAAGGTATTTGGTGGAAGAAATTTCTAAGCAGCAAAGCATTCAAGATGTGGCCTGGCTGATTTTAACAGCCTACATTGAGATGCAGGCATAAAGTGGTGACTTAAAGTTGGAAGTTATATTTAAAGGAAAAGCAGAGTGTAAAAGTTTGGAAAATTAGAAGCCTGGCCATGTGGCAGAGAAACAAAAAGCATTACCAGGAGAGGAATTCAAGGGAGCTTCAGAGTAGCAAGGAACCATTTGCTAGAGTTATTAGACTGACTAAAAGGAAGCCAAGTGCTGATAGACAAGACAATGAGAAAAAGACCTTGAAGGCATTTCAGAGATCTCTGAGGCAGCCCCTCCCATCAGAGGCCCAGAGGCCTAGGAGAAAAGAATGGTTGCATGGGCCAGGCCCAGAATGCCAAAGTGCTGTGTCACCTAAGGAGGCTCTTCCACACATCCTTACTGCTCCAGCTCCAGCCTTGACTCAAAAGACTCCAGGTACAGCTTGGGCTGCCACCCTGCAGAGTGCAAGCTGTAAGCCTTGGTGACTTCTACATGGTGTTAAGCCTGTAGGTGCACAGAATGCAAGCATGAAGGAAGCTTGGCAGCCTCTCCCTAGATTTCAGAAGAGGTATTGGAAAGCCTGGATACCCAGGCAGAAGCCTGCTGCAGGAGTGAAGACCCCACAAAGAATCTCTACTAGGGCAGTGCAGAGGAGAAATGTAGGGCTAGAGGCCCCACACAGAGCCCCTACCAGGGCATTGCCTAATGGAGCTGTGGGAAGGGGACTATCCAGACCCCAGAATGGTAAATCCACTGGCAGCTTGCACCCTGCACCTGCAAAAGCTACAGACACTCAAACTCAACCCATGGGAGCAGTCACAGGGCTGTACCCTGCAAAGCCACAAGGGCAGAGCTGCCCATGGGAACCCACCCCTTGCAGCAGTGTGCCCTGGATGTGGGACATGCAGTCAAACGAGATTGTTTTGGGGCTTTAAGATTTGATAACTGCCCTGCTAGATTTCAGACTTGTGTGGGGTCTGTAGCCCCTTTCTTTTGGCCAATTTCTCCCTTTTGGAAGGGCATTATTTACCCAATTGCTGTAAGCCCATTGTATCTTGGAAGTAAATAACTTCTTTTGATTTTACAGACTTATAGGTGAAAGAAACTCATCTCCAGGTGAGACTTTGGACATGGGACTTTGGACTTTTGAGTGATGCTAGAATGAGTTAAGACATGGGGGGACGATTGAGAAGAAACAATTGTATTTTGCAATGTGAAAGAACATAAGATCTTTGGGCCCAGGAACAGAATGATGTAGTTTGGATGTCCTCTCCAAATCTCATGTTGAGATGTAATCCCTAATGTTGAAGGTAGGCCTGGCAGGAGGTGTTTGCGCCATGGGGGCTTCCCTCACGGCCTGGTGCTGTTCTTGTGATAGTTCCTAATTCAAGAAGCTAAACATTTGCCCAGAAGAAAAATATATGTGAATATAAACAGAGTGGTAGAAAGAAGGATAATTGTTGGCTCAAATTTCAATGTCAGAGATAAAGAATTGGACAATGCATAAAAGAGAGAACATCAATTAAAGCACTTTGTGCTATATCTTTCCTGCATATAGTGAACATTCAATAAACAAATGCTATTCCTAATATTATACAGTGCATTTATTTTAGGTACTCCTCCAAAAGTAGAGTGTCTTGGGAAATCCTAAATCTTTCAGATAGATTTGTAACTAGCCACGAAGCTGGCTTAAGGTGCTCTTTCAACCTTCCTAATAAAGCATAATTTAGTCTCTCCAGGCAAGCAGAGTGTTTTTAAGACAGATGGTTTAGATCAGTTATTTTATTATTCAAAAGTCTTCCCCTCAACAGGAATTTGCAGAAGTTTAAACGGAAGATGAGTAGTCATTCTCAGTCAGAGTCATCCCTCTCTTGAAAAATGCCTCTTCCTTTCTGTTTTGGTTACACTTTCCTTTGATGGACAAACACCTCCAGCTGTTTCAACCCTGGAAGTATCTCAAGGCTCCCTGGGCAGGCTTTATAACCCACTCTTCCTACAGAGACAAGGAGATCTGCATTCAGCCTCTGAGGAGTAGAGGGGACCCATGTTTTCCCTCTGATGTTAGGCTAATTCTTTTTAGTAAATATAAATACATCACTTTAGACCACAGACACCTCTGTGGATATCATGTACCCAATAAAAGAAAGTGCCCAGTGTTTGGGTACTAGGTACAATCTTAAAAAGAAAAAACACAGAAAATGTACATTCTAGTAGTTGGCTAAATAAATGGTGTTGGATGAACAGTAGAAAGTTCATCGATAAAATGGGAATTCTTTCCAAATTCATACCGAAAAACATTCTGTGGTGTTACCAAAACATTATTATTATTTTGATTTGATTTGATTTGATAAACAGTGGGGTTTGGGACTTTTTTTTTGAGGGTCTAGTTTCACTTATTTTTTTTAACCTTCTGGCCTTGGTTTATTCCCCGGGATCATGGTCACTTTGTAATCCAACCAGGTGGTAATCAGCTCTCCCCACTGTCGAAGACAGTATGTTTGGAGCACTGTAATAAAGACATATCTGATGTCACAAATACCACAACAAAGTTTCCTTAAAATGTATGGCCAATTGCTACATTTCTCTTTCTATTAAATGTGGTAGCTTCCATTCTGTAGTTAAATAATTATATTTTATTCACTCATTTGATATTTAATATGGAAAGATTTAAAATTGAAAAATCTGCTGTCAACTATCCTCAAATCTGACAGATAGACCCCCAGTTCCTTTTATTCAGGTGGAACCTTATGTGCTGCCTCAGAAGACACCCAACAGCATGTATTAAACATGTTAGTGATATCCCTAGAGAAAAGTTCATTTTTCTTGCCAACAGTAATTCTACTAGGAGTACTTTTCTAGCTTAGGTAAAAATAGCTAAAATAGTCATCATACTTCCTGTTGAGCTTTTATATACATGCCATTTATATAAACGGAAAGAACTCGGGGGAGAGCTTTAAATGTTATCAAATTCATGAGGTGCAACTGTACTGAAGTACAGTTTACAACAGAAATTATAAATAAATAAAGAAGAGTAGAATTTTTCCCACATCAAAAAGACTGATAATTACAGATGCTTCTTCTCATTGACAAAGCAGCCTTTACTAGAAGAGGCCAACTTTCATTGGCACAACAAAACATACAAATCCCAGCTCGTCACCCCATTGTGACCTAGACCACAAGCACAGAAGTATTACTTTTAGGGGAAGTAGCTCTGTTGAAATAAAGTACTTTGAGTTACAATAGCTAAGGAGAGTAAAGATAAAAGTAAAAAGTCTAAGATGTGGTCACTCTACAGAAAAAGGCTTTGATAAAATACAACATCCCTTCATGATGAAAACCCTCAACAAATGAGGCATCAAAGAAACTCACTTCAAAATAATAAGAGCCATCTATAACAGACCCACAGCCAACATCATACTGAATAGGCAAAAGCTGGACAACACAGGGATGCCCACTCTCACTATTCTCCTACATAGTCCTGGAAGTCCTAGCCAAAGCAATCAGGCAAGAGAAAGAAATAAAAGCATCAAAATAGGAAAATAAGTCAAACTATCTCTCTTCACTGACGATATGATTCTATACCTAAAAAACCCTAAAGACTCTGCAAAAAGGCTCCTGGAACTGATAAACAACTTCAGTAAAGTTTCAGGATATAAAATCAATGAACAAAAATCAGTAGCATTTCTGTACACCAATAACGTTACAAACCATGAATACAATTCCACTTACAATAGCCAAACACACAAAATAAAATACCTAGGAATACATCTAACCAAGGAGGCTAAAGACCTCTACAAGGAGAACTACAAAACACTGCTGAAAGAAACCAGAGACAACACAAATAAATGGAAAAATCAATGGATCAGATTCCAATCAATGGATTGGAAGAATCAATGTAGTTAAAACGGCCATACTCCCCAAAGTAATTTATAGATTCAACACTATTCCTATCAAACTACCAACATCACTTTTCAGAGAAGCAGAAAAAAACTATCATAAAATTCATATGGAATCAAAAAAGAGCCCAAATAGACAAAGCAATCCTAAGCAAAAAGAACAAAGCCAGAGGCATCACATTACCCTACTTCAAAGTATACTACAAGGCTACAGTAACAAAACAGCATGGTACTGGTACAAAAGGCTTAATTAAGATACAAAGATCAATGAAATAGAATAGAGAACCCAGAAATAAGACCACACTCCTACAACCACCTGATCTTTGACAAACCTGAGAAAAACAGGCAATAGAGAGAAGTCTTCCTACTCAATAAATGATGCTGGGATAACTGGCTATGCATATGCAGAGGAATGAAATTGGACCCCTACTTATCACCATATATAAAAGTTAACTCTAGATGGATTAAAGACTTAAATGTAAGACCTCAAACTATAAAGAATGTAGAAGAAAACCTAGGAAATACTCTTCTCAGTATCAGCCTTGGCAAATAATTTATAGCTCTGTCCCCAAAAGCAATTGCAACAAAAAACAAAAATGGGTCATTAAACTAAAGAGCTTCTGCACAGCAAGATAAACTATCAAGGAAATAAATGGACAACCTACATATTGAGAGAAAATATTCAAAACTAGGCATCTGACAAAGGTCTAATAATCTAGAATCTATAGGGAACTTAAACAAATCAACAAGCAAAAAAGAAATAACCTTATTAAAAAGTGAGCAAATTACATGAACAGATACTTGTAAAAAGAAGGCATACAAGCATCCAAAAAACAGGAAAAAAATGTTCATCACTAATAATCAGAGAAAATGCACATCAAAACCACAATGAGATACTATCTCACACTAGTCAGAATGGCTTTTGTTAAAAAGTCAGAAAAATAACCGATGTTGCCAAAGGTTGTGGAGAAAAGGGAACACATACACTCTTGGTGGGAATGTAAATTAGTCCAGCCACTGTCGAGAGCAGTCTGGAGATTTCTCAAAGAACTAATAGTTCCCAGCACTTTGGGAGGCCGAGTCAGGCGGATCACAAGGTCAGGAGATGAGACCATCCTGGCTAACACGGTGAAACCCCGTCTCTACTAAAAATACAAAAAATTAGCTGGGCGTGGTGGCAGGCGCCTGCAGTCCCAGCTACTCAGGAGGCTGAGGCAGGAGAATGGCATGAACCCCCAAGGCGGAGCTTTCAGTGAGCCGAGATGGCGCCACTGCATTCCAGCCTGGGCGGCAGTGCGAGACCCCGTCCCAAAAAAAAAAAAAAAAAAAAAAAAAAAAAAGAACTCAGAGTTGAACTGCCACGTGACCCAGTCATCCCATTATTAGGTATATACCCAGAGGAAAATAAATCATTCTACCAAAAGAACATGCACTTGTATGTTCATCACGGCATTCTTCACAAGAACAAAAACACGGAATCAACCCAGGTGTCCATCAGTGGTGAATTGGATTAAAAACTGTAGTACATATACACCATGGAACACTATGCAGCCATAAAGAAGAACAAAACTGTGTCTTTTGCAGCAACATGGGGGTAGTTGGAGACCATTATCCTAAGCAACAGGCTGAAAAATTACCTATTGGGTACTGTGCTTAATGCCAGGGTGATGGGTTGTCATACTCCAAACCTCAGCATTATGCAATATACCTCTGTAACAATGTATCCCCTGATTCTAAAATAAAAGTTAAATAAATAAATGCAAATTTAAAATAAAATAAAATATTTTAGAAAAATATGTGGTCACTCAAAGATTACTCTCCTCAACACAGAAAACATTTCTATATTGGGGATGCTTCACTTTGATACATTCTATAATGTTACCATAGTGTCTTTTTTTCTTTGTTTTTCCAAGAAGTGCTTAGAACATCAAGTTGTGACTTTATTTATTAATTTATTTATTGCTTTACTATTTTCATAGGGCTTACTATTCAAAATTCAGGGGATATGAAAATGCATCATTTAGAAATCAAAAATACCTCATAATCTTTTCTGCCTCCCAGTCCTAAAATGTTTTTAATGTGCTAGGGATTTTCTTGTAGTATATAATAAGATAACAAAGGTGACTCGCACATTTCCTAAACACTGACTTCCTTTACTGCCTACTTCATCTGTCAACCTCTAGGGGAAAAAAGAGGCAGGACCAAATGATCAGACCTCAAAACAATGAGGTCCTAAAGGAATCAGAAGCCTTAAGGTTTGAGAAACTCTGTGTGATTCCAACGTACAGTCAAGTTTGAGACACAGTGTTCTAAATCAGTGCTTCTCAAATTTTAAGAAGCAAACAAGTCACTTGAAGATTTTGTTTAAGTGCAGATTCTGATTCAGTAGGTCTGGGGTGAGCCTGAGAGTCTGCATTTCTAGTAAGCCCCCAGGTGAAGCAGTTACTGCCATGCGCCTAACACACTCTAGGTAGCAAGGTCTCAGAAATCAGCCAGCCCAGTGGTTGGCAAGCTGTGTTCTCAGAACTCCAGGATTTGGTGAGAAGTGTTAGATGCTCTGTCAGTCCTCAATTTAAATTTGCTAGCAATGAGGCTTCTCTGAGCCTCCATCCATCACTCATTCTCCAATTCCACCTCCCCCAATTTAAATTTGTCTGTTTATTAAAACAGAATTATTTTCAGTGACTGACTTTACAATATGTAAATGTTAAAAATGTGAACAGAAAAACAGAACTGTTTTACATATAAGATCTTGTTCGATAAGAATGTACATTGCTAAAAAACACTTCTCTATTTCTCTCCATTTCATGAATGGGGAAATTGAGGCCCAAGGAAGATAATTGACTTTATGGAAGTCATGTCACACTTACTTATAGACTTAAACAATTCCCACTTACAACTTGCAGTTTTCTTTTATAATTTAAGAAGAGCCAAGCTGACTGAGGTCAAAGTCATGAAAATGCAATTTAGGTTGCAGATCTTCTCATTTATATGCCTCTCTTTGAATTAAGGAAGGAATGAGACTTAGAAATGCCCCATAACTCCTGGATATGCTGGGCATAGTCACACTGATTTGGAGGCTGGTTCTGACCAGGCAGGTCTATGTTGAAAAAGAAAAGAAAACCATTTTTAGAATCTGCAAGAAGAAGAGAAGAAAATACATTGTGATTTGAAGAGAAAATCTTGAGCTCTGGCGGAATTGAAGTCAGAAAGCAAAAAAAAAAGAAGAAGAAGAAAAGACTAAGACAGAGAGAAAGAACTAGAGGGCTAGAGGGCAACACAGGGAGAACCAAGAAGGCTCTGGTTGCTGTATGGGCACCAAGGTAATAGCCCTAATTGAACAGAAACTCTCTGACCAGGAAGAAATTCCAGGAAGCAGGGGGTGTGAATGCTCAGAGGGCAGTTGAAACCACAGATTTTATTTGGAACCAGAGATAAATTTAAGGGAAAGACTTTAATTCCTTGGAGATGAAAATGGGAAACAAAATAGCCCTGGTTTTCATACTGGTGAACATAATAAAGGTGAATCAGATGTAAAATCGCACACACGGTTAGAGATGTGAGTGCTGTATTCACTGGTGTCAATTTTGCCAAATTATGCTTTGTACCTTTATATTCTTTTATCCTGGTATCTTCATAGAGTTTGTTTTTGCATTCTAAGTGGCTGAGTGTGAGTGACCTACCGCAAGAAGACCCCTGTGGCACACAGCCAGGGACATGAAAAGCAAAGGCACAGACCAAGGGGCAGAATTCTGGGAGATTTTCCCATTACTTAGGGTGACGGCAAAAAGAATCAGGTGGGATTCTTTGGCATCAGATGGGAGAGATCCCAAAATCCCACCTTTCAGGATTCCCAAAGAAACTATTTGGAAGCTCCTCAAAGATGTTGGTGATTGTTACAATGCCTAATATAATCATACTGTCTATATGCCTGTAGGTATGCCTACGTATGTATGTATACCTGCATATATTAGATATGCATTTTATTGTGCTTTGCTGTGCTGTTTTGCACTTCACAGATATTGCATTTATTTATTTTTTTAGATGGAGTTTCGATCTTGTTGCCCAAGCTGGAGTGCAGTGGCTTGATCTCGGCTTACTACAACCTCTGCCTCCCGGGTTCAAGCAATTCTCCTGTCTCAGTCTCCTGATTAGCTAGGATTGCAGGTTCACACTACCATGCCTGGCTAAATTTTTGCTTTTTTTTTTTTTTTTTTTTTAGTACAGACAGGGTTTCACCGTGTTGACCAGGCTGGTCTCGAACTCCTGACCTCAGGTGATCTGCCCACCTCGGCCTCCCAAATTGCTGGGATTATAGGCGTGTGCCACCACACCAGCCAGATATTGCATTTTTTATAAATTGAAGGTTCGTGTCAACCCTACGTAGAGCAAATCTATCAGTGCAATTTTTCCAACAGCACGTGTTTACTTCCTGTCTCTGTGCCATGTTTTGGCAACTCTCACAATATTTCTAACTGTTTCATTATTCTTGTATCTATTATGGTGATCTGTGATGAGTGATCTTTGATGTTACTAGTGTAATTGTTTTGCGATGCCATGAATTGTACCCATACAAAATGGAAAACTTAATAAATCTGTATGTTTGGACCACTCTCCAGACCAATCATTCTCCCATGTCTCTCCCTCTCCTCTGGCCTTCCTATTCCCTGAGATATAATAGCATTGAAATTGGGCCAATGAATAGTCCTACAATGGCCTCTAAGTGTTCACACGAAAGGAAGAGTCACACTTTAAATCAAAAGCTACATGTGATTAAGCTTAGTGAGGAAGACTTGTCGAAAGCTAGGCCTCTGGCACCAAACAGCCAAGTTGTTAATGGAAAGGAAAAGTTTTTGAGGAAATTAAAAGTGCTACTCCAGTGCACAAAAAAATAAATAAAATAAAATAAAATAAGAAGGTGAAACTGCTATATTATTGATATGGTGGAAGATTTAGTGGTTTGGATAGAAGACCAACTAACCACAACATTCTCTTAAGCCAAAGCCTAACTCAGAGCAAGGTCCTAACTCTCATCAATTATATGAAGGCTGAGAGAGGCAAGGAAGTCACAGAGGAAAAGTTTGAACATACAAGAGGCTGGTTCATGAGATTTAAGGAAGGAAGCCATTTCCATAACATAAAAGTGCAAGGTGAAGCAGCAAGTGCTAATGTAGCAAGTTATCCAGATCTAGCTAAGATCATTAATGAAGGTGGTTACACTAAAAAACAGATTTATAATGTAGGCAAAATAACCTTATACTGGAAAAAGATGCTATCTAGGACTTTCATAACCAGAGAGGAAAAATCAATGCCTGCCTTCAAAGTTTCAAAGGACAGGCTGACTCTCTTGTTAGGGGCTAATGTAGCTGGTGATTTTAAGTTGAAGCTAATTCTCATTGACCATCCTGAAAATCCTAAGGTGCTTAAGAATTATGCTAAATTTACTCTGCCTGTGCTCTATAATGAAACAGACGACAGCACATCTGTTTACTGCATGGTTTACTGAAAATTTTAAGCCTGCTCTTGAGACCTACTGCTCAAAAAAAAAGTAGCCCTTTCAAAATA
Organism: Homo sapiens; assembly: GCF_000001405.40. Taxonomy (NCBI): domain Eukaryota; kingdom Metazoa; phylum Chordata; class Mammalia; order Primates; family Hominidae; genus Homo; species Homo sapiens. The sequence goes on from NC_000011.10 coordinate 111,193,064, forward strand.
TTACTGCTCTTTGACAATTCACCTAGTCACCCAAGAGCTCTGATGGGGATGTACAAGGAGATTGATGTTGTTTTCATACCTGCTAAGAGAACTTTCATTCTGTAGCCCATGAATCAAGGAGTAATTTTGACTTTCAATCTTATTATTTAGGAAATACATTTCAAAAGGCTATAGCTGCCATAGACAGTGATTCCTCTGATGGATCTGGGTAAAGTAAATTGAAAACCTTCTAGAGTTTTTGAGGAAATTAAGAAGAAAGGATTCACCATCCTAGATGCCATTAAGAACATTAATGATTCATGGGAGGTGGTCAAAATATCAACATTAACAGGAGTTTGGAAGAAGTTGATTCCAACCCTCAAGGATGACATGAGAGATTCAAGACTTTAGTGGAGGAAGTAACTTGACATTTGGTAGAATTACCAAGAGAGCTAGACGTAGAAGTGAAGCCTGAAGATGTGACTCGATTGCTGCAATTTCATGATGAAGTATAAACAGATGCTTCTTATGGACAAGCAAAGAAAGTGGTTTCTTGAGATAGGATCTAATCTTGGTGAAGATGCTGTGAACATTGTTGAAATGACAACAAAGGATTTAGAATATTACGTAAGCTTAGTTGATAAAGCAGCAACTGATAAAGCAGTTTGAGAGGACTGACTCTAATTTTGAAAAATTTTGTAAGTTCTACTGTAGGTAAAATGCTATCAAACAGCATTGCATGCTATAGAGAAATTTTTTTAAAGGAAGAGTCCATTGATATGGCAAATGTCATTGTTGTCTTTTTTAAAGAAATTGCCACAATCACTCCCACCTTCAGCAAACATCATTCTGATCAGTCAGTAGCTATCGACACAGAGGCAAGACCCTCCAACAGCAAAAAGATGATGACTCACTAAAGGCTTGGATGATAGGTAGCATATTTTAGCAATAAAGTAATTTTAATTAATGTATGTACATAGTTTACAATAAAATGCTATTGCACACTTAATAGACTAAAATATAGTATAGACATAACTTTAATCTGCACTGGGAAACCAAAAAATAACATGACTCACTTTATTGCAACATTCACTTTATTATAGTGGTCAGGAACCAAACCTGCAATATCTTCAAGGTGTACCTGTTTGTTTGTTTACATTTATATTTATTCTGTACACATAATTCAAGGCCTCAGCAGGAAATACATGGCACACTCAAACAGAATACTTGAGGAGAGTTTAATGAAGGGACAATTCACAAAGAAGAGTGTGGGATTGAGGTGACTCAGGGATGGTGAAGCACCCAGCAGCTGGCAAACGGCAGGGAGCTGCCACCACCCCTGGGCCTGAGAAGGCAAGAACAACAAGCATTTATAGAAATCCAGTAAGATCTACAGCTGAAGAAAAGGGCTGCCCAGTGACCCCTGCTGCCAACCCACAGCCCAACAAAAAGGGTGCCTGGGAAATAAATACCCTGATCAGTTCCCTCCAGCCCTCTTATCTCTTGCTGGTACCTCCCATTAGCTTAACTAAAGCAGACACCAAAGGGCAAGGGAGCCTGGTGGGTTCAGTCCCTAGATGCCAGCATCCTGAGACCCAGAGCAAGGGAGAGAATGAACCTGGAGGGGGAGAAGAAGAACAGACAACACTGGGAGACCTTCCCATGATCTCCTGACATCCTACATTCAAGGTGGGCTCTTTACTCTTCCTGCACACACCATCTCCCTGCTTGTCTCCATGCTGTTTTCCCTTCTTGGAGGACACTGAGTGAGGCCACCTCCTTTGCATGCCTAAATCCTACTCAACCTGAGAAGCTCTGGCTACAGAGGTGATTTGCACAAGAAACCTCCCATCTCAAGTACAGCAGTTTTCTCCACTCAAATGGACAGTAAGCTCTTTAGAGGGAGGAGTCGTGATTGTCTCTAACAAAAAGAAGACCATCTGTTTCCGGCAGCCTGCTCAGCAGAAACCACCAGGGCTTAGACTCTGCATCCTAACAGCTTTCCATATGACCAGGGAGACCAGTGGCATGCCAATGAGAACACTGAGCTGTGCATTCCATTTTTATCCTGCCTGCCTGTCCTGTATACCCTGCCTGTCCTGTATACCCTGCCTCTCCTAGCTATGTGATCCTTGACCATCCATGGTACAAATCCAGCCAGCATCAGGGTTTGTAGTCTCTACAGTTCATCAACATGTGTAACTAGCTGTCATCATTTTAAATTCAGGAGATGCCACATAATCTGAGTGTACTGCTTATTTTTGAAAAATCTGACAACATGGGGTCTATTCTCTTGTGACAGCAACCAGCTGGAGCTGAGCAGTGGCTGCTTTCAGATTTCACTACACACCCCATGCAGGATGTTTCACTCATTGACATCATCTGGCTTTTCCCTGGGACCTTCAACTTTCAGATCTCTGCTTTATAAGCATCAGTGCTACAACTATCTCTTCCAAGCTTCCTGCCTTTTGACAGTCATCTCTTGATAACCCATGTCTAATCCTTTCTGTTTAATTCTATGAAGTCCTCACTCGATTATAAATAATTCATCTCTCCTTCAGCCTGATCACACAATGTTGCTTCTATTCCTTTCTGCTGTAGGTTGAATTGTGTCCCCCAAAAAGATATTTTGACATCCTCACCCCAGTCTATTTGAATGTAACTGAATTTTGAAATAGGGCCTTTGCAGATGTAATCAAGTTGAGATGAGGTCATTCTTAACTAGGATGGCCTTAAATCCAATGGCTAGTGTCCTTTCAAGGAGAGAGAGATTTGAAGACACAGAGGGGACACAGGGAAGAGAATGGAGGCAGAGACTGGAGCAATATAGCTACAAGTCAAGGAATGCAAGGATTGCCGACATCACCAGAAGCCAGGACATGAAAAGGAAGGGTTCTTCCCTAGAGCCTTCAGAGCAAACATGGCTCTGCCAACACTTAATCTCAAACTTTCAGTTTCCAGAACTGGGAAAGAATACATTTCTCTTGTTTTAAGCCACTGAGTTTGTGGTACTTTGTTATAGCAGCCCTAAGAAACTAATACACCTTCCTGGAAGTGAAACTGGGATTTTCCCAGAGAAAATCCCAAGAGAAGGATGCTCAAGGATTAACCTTCTCATGCGGCCAGACTGCCTCTTATCCATGCAGCAGTTTGCCTCATTCAAAAGCTCTTTTTTCTTCCTTTGAGGCCTGTGGCATTCAGTGGTTCTCACCACTGCTCCATCATTACCTCCTGGCGTCATAGAGGATTTGGGTCTCTTTTTTTTTTCCATTCCAATTTTTGCCATTGCCTGTCTTCAACATGTGAATAATTGGGTCAGCTAACACTTGACTCCTGGGGTGCTGGGTACTTCCTTCTCTTCCTGCAAGGGAGAGACACAATATTTCCTCCTCTGAGCTGCAGAGGGAAAGATGGGCACATTAATACACAAACATAAGGAGTTAGTAGTGCAGGAGACAGGGTTGTTGGAGGGAAAGAGGAGTGTGGTGGTCTGGTGGGCTTTGGCAGGATGGTGAGGTTTATACACTTGCTGGGGGAGCAGCCAAAAAGAAGTGACTCAGAAGAAATGACCATACCTGGAGATAGCCCCTGTGTCTGCAAACTTTAAAGCCCCATGCCTTAATTGTAATCACCTACTTCCACCATCATCTTCTTCCAACCAAGCCTGTCCATCTTCATTGAGACCACTCAGTCAGAGAAACTTTTAACCCTGAGTTCTTGATCCCCTAGTTGGAGTTCAGCAGGTTTATGAATATCCCAAAATTATATGCAGATTTTTCCCAGGATGCAGTCCACTGCTAGATAAAAAACTACTTAATTCATGCAAATTAGAGCCACCATGACTGTGCGGGTGACCCACAGTGTCACCCAGCAGTCTTCTAATTCCTTCTGAGTGCATTCTCTTTGGCCTCTCCCCCAGCAAGTACACAAGCCTCACCACCACAGCAGAACACCTCTCTCCTCTTTTTCTCCAACAACCCTGTCTCTTGCACCATTACATCTTTAAATGTGTGCATTACTATGTCCATCTTTCCCTCTTCAGTTTGTGTCTCAGAGGAAGAAATGGCATGGCTCTCTTCTGCAAGAAGAGAAGGAAGACCTTTGGTGCTAGTGGTCATCTCCTAGACAGCCTGCTCACAGGGTCAACTGTTGTGGTTGCCCCACAGAAGACGCTTCTACCCAAAATTTGGTTTAAATATTGAGAATGAGGCTGACACGCATGCACCAAGAGTATGAAAAGATTGATTACTCACATAATGAGGCTTTCTGGGCAGAGCAGGTCCGGCTTCCAATGTCTGAAACTGGCTTGAGAGGGCAGAGAAAGGAGACAGGCTTGGCTTCTATTGTGATTAGGGGCTGAGCGTGGGGTGAGGGCTCTCCTGAACTGGCTGGGGCTTATGTAGTTTTAACTTCCCATCAGCACCAAAGAAGGCAGCACCCACACTTTCTAACCAGCTTGCCCAGATGTGGAGCAGAATGGGATGAAAGGGTGATCAGGCTTAAAAGCTGTCAGCAGGCCAGGTGCAGGGGTTCATGCCTACAATCCCAGCATTTTGGGAGGCCAAGGCAGGAGGATCACTCGAGCCCTGGAGTTCGAGATCAGCCTAGGAAACATGGCGAGGCCTTGTCTCTACAATTTTTTTTTAAATTAACCAGGTGTGGTGGCACATACCTATAGTCCCAGCTACTCTGGGGACTGAAGTAGGAGAATCACTTGAGCTTGAGGAGTCAAGGCTGCAGTGAGCTGTGATTGTGCCACTGTACTCCAGGCTGGGCGACAGAGTGTGGCCCTGTCCAAAAAAAAAAAAACTATCAACAATCACAATGGAGTTAGACTCCTTATTGTACTCTCCAAGAAGAGCTGGATCAGAATTTTGGAAATACAGGTCTGTTACTTACTCACTGAGTGATCCTAAGAAGACATTTAACCATTCTGAGCCTAATTTCCACACCAATTACATGAGGCTAATAGCACCTTACCACCGTATATTTATTCATAAGAATTAAATAAAAAAACGTATCCTCAGTGCCTGGCACATGGCAGATACTCAGTAATGTTGGAGCTTTCTCCCTTCTGCTCTCCAAGGCTAGCCCTGTACCATGTGCCCTGGATCCCCTTCCTTCGTGCCTCCTCTAACACCTCACTTATCATCTCTTTCTCTCTTGTGTCTTCCATTTCTTCCACTTCACTGCCTTCTTCTCTAACTATGGGACACATGTAGAGTGCCCCTATGTCCAGCAGGCACCTTCAACAACACATTTCAAACACAGGCCACAAGCTGCCCTTCATGTTCCCATACTGCCAACTACAAATCTTGTTGGTGCTCCAGAAATATTAGAGTTATCCTGAATAACTCCCTTCCATACTCTGAACATCTCATTGGTCACCTAATTTTATTAATTGCAGCTCAGAAATTTCTTCCAACACTTTTATCACTAACTCTATTACCATTTCCTTGCCATTATCTCTGAGACTTTTCACTAGTCATTGTCACAAGTTTCTCAAGACCCCAGTTTAGCTCAAACTACTCTGTTTAAAAAGCTTCATTGTTGGGCCAGGCTCAGTGGCTCACGCCTGTAATCCCAGCACTTTGGGAGACCAAGGTGGGTGGATCATGAGGTCAGGAGTTCAAGACCATCTTGGCCAAGATGGTGAAACCCCATCTCTACTAAAAACACAAAAATTCGCTGGGCATGGTGGTGTGCTCTTATAGTCCCAGCTACTCGGGAGGCTGAGGCAGGAGAATCACTTGAACCTGGGAGGCATAGGTTGCAGTAAGCGGAGATTGATCTCGCACCACTGCACTCCAGCCTGGGCGACAGAGCAAGACTCTGTCTCAAAAAAATAAAAACAACAACAAAAAAAAGCCATGCTTTTTTAGTTACTTAAAAACTGCTTGCATTGTAATACAAAGTGAAAAAGTACAAAAGCCCTATAAGCAGGGGGGAAACTGAAAGAAAATAAATTAAAATGTTAATGGTGATCTTCTCTGCATGGTAAGATTATGGGTATTTTTTTTCTTTGTACTTTTGTATAGTTTCCAAATTGTCTACACTGCAAATATATTGCTTTCATAAATGTTATTTTAAATAACAAACTCCACTGGCTTCCTCATGAATGCTTTTGCAAATCCAAACTCCTGAGCCTTACACACAGGGCACTTCACAATATGCTCCTGTGGTAGCAGGTTTCCACAATGACCCCCAAATGATTCTTGCCTCCTGGTATTCCTATATTGTAGGGCTGACCTGTATAACCAATAGGATATTGTAGACATGAAAGTGTGTGGCTTCCAAAGCCAAGTCATAAAAGACAAGACTTCTGCCTTACATGCCATAGGATCACTCACTTTGGGGGAAGCCAGCTGCCCTGTTATGAGGACTCCTGAGCAGCCTTCTGGAATGATCCATGAGATGAGTAGCTGAGGTCTTCTGCCAACAAAACAGCAATAAACTTGCCAGGCATGTGAGTGAGCCACCTTTGAAGCAGATCCTCCAGCCCCATTGACACCTTAAGGTGACTGCAGCCCCAGCTAGTATCTTAACTGCAACCTCATGAGAGACTCCAAACCAAAATTCCTCTGCTAAGCTGCTCCCAAATTCCTGACCCACCAAAACTGTGAAATAATTCATTGTTCTTAAGCCACTAGGTTTTGAGGTAATTTGTTACACAGCAATATTTAACTAATACGGTCCTCAAAATATCTTTCTAACTTCATCTCCCAAAACTCCTCTTTGTACACTCTACTCCTACCATACTGAAGTTATAACCAATTTCTAGATAATTTAAGAAATTCATGTTTTTGCATTTGTTAGTTCCACTGTTCAACCCTCCTTCTTTATCATCCTTCAAAATATAGCTCAAAACTCACCTCCCCAGTGAAGCAGAATTAATTCCTCCCTCCTCTGCACAGCACTGACCCTTTCTTCTCATCTCTGTAATAGCATTTATCCTGGTCTGCTGTAATAAATCTAGGAGCATGTTTACATCTCCCTCTAGACTGAAAGGTATTCTAGGCCAAGGCTTTGTGTCTCCAGCACCTAACAGTGCCTGATACACAGAAGACAAAAATAAATGCCTGATGAATGAACAGACATCTGAATGACTGACTGAATGAATAATTATAGTACCAAGACTATCTTAGCCAAAATAGGAAACTCTTTGCATGTTAGCTCTTACAAGACATTAAAAAATATCTGTCAGAGCAATGACCCATAAACAAAGTTAACAATCCACAACCACTAATTAATTAATCAGGTCAGAATTAATCAGTTGTGAAGTCGGATAGTAAGGAAATGCCACAAAATGAAATACTAATTAGGCAAGATCTAAATTCGGAAGAAAACACAGTAGAATCCTGCTATAACAGGGCTCATTAAAATGTAGACTTATATATAACTTAGACTGAATTGTGTCTCTCGAAGCACTGTAACTACCAAGGAAGGGGGCTAATATGACACAATTAGGCCACATGACTGATTCTGGTAATTTCTATGCAGTTTGTAAATATTTTGCTCTGAAACCAGTGGTATGAATTGATTAGTGAAGTTGGTTAACAAAGGACACATTTATCTGGAACACTTGCTCTTTTCGAAACAAAAAAAATAAAAGAAAAAAGAAATGTTCCTCTGAAGTAGCCAGTACTTATTTTTACCAACTAAAACTGTGGCTCAACTACTTGTTTATGAAAATGTTTAAGAAGTCAAAAATTCAGTTACATATCTCTAAGACCCCACAATATTATTTTTGAAGGGTTGAGAACTTAATTAAGTAGGCCATGTCTAAGTTCACGCAGCCACAGCTCAATCTTATCCACAAAGCAAGGTAATTTCCAACTTGGACAATCAGCATCACAGAAAAAATGTGTATAACAATAGTATTCTATGTTCTGTGTTTGCTAGCAGTCACCTGTAAAATCCCCTGAGTCTGGTGGGTTGTCTTAGTCCATTTAGGCTGCTGTAACAAAACGGCTTAAACTGTGTAATTAATAAACAACAGAAATTGGTTTCTGATAGTTCTAGAGGTTGGAAGGTCCAAGATCAAGGCACTGGCAGGTTCAGTGTGAGGGCTCACTCTCTGCTTCAAAGATGATGTATCTTCACATGGAGGAAGGGTTGGAGAGGCAAATAGGCTCCCTCAATGCCTTTTATAAGGGCACTAATCCCATTCATGAGAGTGGAGCCTTCATGACCTAATCACCTCCAAAGGCCCCACCTCTTAACAACATCACCTTTGAAATTAGGTTTCAGCATATGAATTTTGGAGGGATACAAAAATTCAGACTACATCATAAGCTTCTGGTTTGTGTTTATTTGTCTGGAGGAGCTGATATTAAATTCTTACCTCCTGATTCAATTTTTTTAGGTTTTTTTGGTGGTGTTTGTTTTTGTTTTTTTGGTTTTTTGGTTTTTTTTTTTTTTGTATTTTGTTTGAGACAGAGCCTCGCTCTGTTGCCCAGGCTGGAGTGCAGTGGCGCGATCTCAGCTCACTGCAAACTCTGTCTCCCGGGTTCAAATGATTCTCCTGCCTCAGCCTCCCAAGTAGCTGGGATTACAGGCACATGCCACCTTACCAGTTAATTTTTCTATTTTTAGTAGAGACAAGGTTTCGCCATGTTGGCCAGGTTGGCCTCGAATTCCTGACCTCAAGTGTTCCTCCCATCTCAGCCTCCCAAAGTGCTGGGATTACAGACATGAGCCACTGTGACCAGCCTCAATTTTTCTGGTAGTTTTAGATCTATTCAGATTTTCTGTTTCTTCCTAAGTCCGTTTTTTAAATTTTATTTTTCTAGATAATAGTCTATTTCATATTTTAAACTTGTTGTCACAAAGTTGTTCATGGATGTTCTTTTTGAAAATACCCACTGCATCTATAGCTTTGTTCCCTTTTTATTCCTATTATTATTTGCTCTGTCTTTGCCATCAGAATAAACCTTGCCAGAATTTTATCTAGTTTATTAGAGTTTTTAGAGAACAACTTCAATTTTATTGAGCTATATACTTAAGATTTGTGCACTTCCGTGTACATTTCTTATAACTCAATAAACTTTTCCTAGAGAAAAAGAAAGGAAGGGAATGCTGAACATAGGATTCAGAATGTTAACTGCTTTGAGTTGAGGGAGCCAGAGGATGACTGAGACTTAGACTCCTTTAGACTTAGAGTGCTACCAGGGTCCTAGCTTTTGCTTAAAGTCGTGGTTTCATGATTCCTATTACATCATTAAAAATAAATACACAATTAGTCCACGCACAGACTAATGATGTCTCTGTCATGGGCCAAAGATTATAAGTCACCCAGTTCTGTGAACCTAGGGTCCAAAGGTTTGGTAAGGAGGGCTACTTGACTGGCGCAACGGTGATACGGCATCGGTGCCTTCCAGCTGTGGCAGATGGTGGAATGTGCCTTTTCTTTCTCTCCTGAAATGCCCTCTGGGTTTCTCAGAGTTTCCACTTCTGACAACTTACATCTGTATTTTGCTGCTCTGAGCAACCCTTCTCTAGGGGCCACTCGAGAGAACCACAGACCCTTGGTGTCTGGATTCTATATTCAAAATTTTCCTGCTGGAATGACTCCATTCTTCGAGGCAAAACCCTTTCTCAGATTCTCCCCACCCCATGATCAACATCTGGCCCACAAGAACATTCACCTTTACCCCCATTCTGTGTAAATGTAGCTTCTCCCATTGTAACTACTATTTTCCCTCTGCCTCAGAGCATCTGACCAGCCTCTTGACATTCTATGTTTCCAAGCATAAATCAGATACCAGGCATAAATTAGGACATTCCTACATCTCCCAAATTACAGATGATATGAGAAAACGTTCCGAGTGGTTATATATTTGAACCCTACCCCCAGCCCCATTTGGTTGACTGAAGGGGAGGAAACACTTAGCTCATCTACAACTCTCTCACTCTAGAATTCCTACTTATCAACATTGAAACCTCCCTTTGCATACTCGGAGGGCACTTCAAACCTCAGCTTTACAAGTTTTACCTGTTCTTCATAGGCGCTATAACACAGGATGTTCTCAGCCTTGGGGGACCTGTCAAAATTCTAAGACAAAAGAAATTGTGAATTTGACATGCTTTTACCTATATTTGGATTGTGAGTTCATCTTCAGTATGGTCTTATTTATGAGAATTCGGTGCAAACTACTTTAAGCACTTGCCCCTCCATGGTACCCTCCCATTGCCATGGTATTACTGGCTCAGGACAAATTTTTATGTTAATTTCTTAGCTGATGGCACAAATTCAAACCCCAAGTCAACAGGAAGCACAGGCTTGTCATTAAAAATTCTCAGGAAATTTTTCCACTCATGACAGGCAGTCTAGTCTCTCTTGTTGCCTCTCTGTACCTATGGACTATTTTCCTAATTCGTCCTTTTATTGACAGTATGGCCCTTCAAAGGTCTTGCTTTTATTCAAGTGTCTCAGGTCTAACTCATCCTCCCCCCTCATTTAGGCCAAACACTCATTGTCTAACCCCATATGAATACTAAAACACAAATCCCTAGATTACAGAAACTGACAACCACCAGCTCCTCAACCCTAGCCCTAAGACAAGGAATATGCTTCTTGATCTGGATTTTTTTTCCTCTTCATTTTTGGAATGAATTTCCCTTACCTTCTTCTAATCATGGCTCTGCCTGTAAAACAATGCCTGTCATCATTTCTTAAGAGCTGACAGGAAGCTAACTCACTCCAACCAATGATTTCCATGCCCCATAACCAGCCAGTCTGTTAGTGCTCAGTGTCTCCTCTCCATAAGACATCTTTCCTCTCACCTGATCCTCTGCTGCAGAAAACCCAGAGCTCCCCAGTTCTGCTTACTTGCCAGGGGAAGTAAACACCAGTCTTCCCACACCCAAACCAGGCCTGAAGGTCCTTGTTAGAAATTAAAATGCAAAAGAATCCCTCTCTCTCTCACCAAAATGGAGCAAGGCAGAACAAACCAGGTCATCAGTGTACACTTTCAGCTTCAATACAGTCCTGCCACTCTCTTTCCTACACTCCAAATCTTACCCCTCACTCAAGGCCAAACTTAGGTCTCAAAACATCTGTGGAGTCTTTCCCCAATACTGGAGCCCACACAAATGTCACCTTTACCATAACCCTATGGTATTCTTTATGCTACCTGATTATGTCTTGCCTCATACCATCCACTGTTTTGTATGTTAAACATATAGAAATTTAGTAATTTGCTTAGGTTTTATAATACATTGCATTCCTAGTCACAATATTGTTATGAATTGAATGTTTGCTCCTCCTTCCCAAAATTCATACATTGAGATCCTAATTCCTAATGTGATGGTATTAGTAGGTGGGGACTTTGGGAGGTGATTAGATCATGAGGTTGGATCCCTCATGAATGAAATTAGTGGCCTTATAAGGAAATATACCAAAGCTTTCTCTCTCTGCTCTTCTTTCTGCCCATGTGAGGACACAAACAGAAGATGGTCATCTGTAAACCAGGAATCAGGCTCTCACCAAAACCCAATCATGCTGACACCTTGATCTTAGGTTTCCCAGGCTCCAGAACTGTGAAAACATAACTGTTTAAACCACTTGGTCTATGGTAATTTGTTACAGCAGCCCAAACTGACTAAGAAAAACACAACTGATTTTTAAAGCATTATTTAGAGCTTATGGATCTAACCAAATGTAGTCACTTGGAAGAAAAAATATGTATATATTTATATATGTATTATGTTCATATATATGTATTTTAATAATGTTATCATTGCTGACATTTTTCTAAATCAGACACATTTCTTCATGATAAAATCTCAAACACCTTAAATCTTCAGCAAAACTCTAAGGTCTTAGAGGGCAGGGACTGGGTTGGGTACTCCTTTATTCAAGTTCCACACTCCTACGAGGCACATGTTGAAGTAGAGATTAGGAGTGACATGCCTGGATGACGCATGATGAAGGGACTGGGAAACTGAGGTAGGCCATTGAGGGACACGGATCTGGCAGAGAGAAATGGCAGCAGGCAAGTTCTCATAAGGTGAGGCAGGTCTTGAGGAGGCAGAGATTGTTGCTAATGATTAAGCCTGTCTGTCTTCTGTATCAGGCATGTTCACCACAACATTGGAAACTGTCAACTAGGCTTTGCTTAGCTCATTAGGGATCTCTTTTTTTATTTTGAGACAGAGTCTGGTTCTGTTGCCCAGGCTGGAATGCAGTGGCGCGATCTCAGCTCACTGCAAACTCCACCTCCTGGATTCAAGTGATTCTCCTGCCTCAGCCTCCGAAGTAGCTAGGATTACAGGCGCATGCCACCACATCAGTTAATTTTTCTATTTTTAGTAGAGACAGGTTTTGCCATGTTGACCAGGCTGGCCTCGAATTCCTGACCTCAAGTGATCCTCCAGCCTCAGCCTCCCAAAGTGCTGGGATTACAGGCGTGAGCCACCGTGCCTGGCCCTCTTTAGGGATCTCTCAAAAGACAAAAGCTCTCTGGGAAAATAAAGGGAAGGTATGTCTCGTTACTTGGTCTTAGTCTTGTCACTAATGAAGACAACTGGAAGCACTCTGACACTACGAGAAGACCAGGGAGCAGGTCCTCTGCTCAGACATATCAGTGCAGAACACAAACTTGAAGCCAGGCATTCATGAGTTTTGTTTCCTGCATCCCCAGCATTTCTACAGTGCTGGTACACAGTAGGCATTCACTGAGTGTTTGCTGAATGAACTAATGTTAGCAAGTTGGTGTCTTTTGGAAACATGCTACCTTGTCTCTGGTTAACTCACCAGGGCTTGAATACTAACTGACTTGACTTGAAGGTGACGTGAACTGTGTACATGCTGACTTCAGTGGAAAATTTCATTTCTTGGAAATGCTATGAACTGAAAAACCAGCTGCATGGTGAAAATACAGGAAAATGAATAGGCAGAATTGAATATAAACCAGAGTAAGACCTGTACTTGAATGGATGGTTCTCTAATTTCTACTTAAAATAGTTTCTTGTTAAACCAAATTTTTGAATATTCAAATAAATACTTAAATACACCTTTAAGTATTTAAATAGACGTAGTTACCAGAAATGTCTTATCTTCACCAAAGACTCAATGAAGACACAAAGCCACATGGCAATAGGCAAAAGCCAGGAGCAGGATGTGCCTTTATGTCATCTGATAAGACTTGGGGCACTGAACCAAATAAGTTCCAGCCTTAATTCCTTTGTCTTAGCTCATCACCAACTCTTTGGTAAATCTGAGAAGTCATCAATAATTTCCAAAAGAATTATGAAACTCTATTAATTTAGATGATTTATTATTTCAGTATTTTTTGAAGCCACGACCTTTGTTGTTATACATTTCATGCTGAACAACAGAACAAAACTTGTTCTTTCATAAACACCAAATTTTAGTAAAAGGCATAAAATGTGGTGGTTTATATAAGCATCAAGAGTACTTCCTGTAACAAATATTCCAAAAAAATATTAGTTTAATTTTAGATACATGTGCATAAAGTAAGGAAACACACTTTCAGCAGTACATGAAGGTAAACACCCTCAGAACTTATATTTGCATAGAATATAATCCCAATGGAATGCCATGTTTAAATAATAAAAATATTTCCTTATGAAGTATTTGATAATGCCTAAGCCAAAGAGAACATGACTCAGCGTGATGCAGCCAAAACAGAGACATTTTTAAAATACTTTTTAGAGGAGTTCCTTAGTGAATTTTAGTCCTAAATTCTGAATGTTTTGTGTGTACCCTACTCTGACAACAGGGGTTATCAAGTGCTCCTGGTTCTAGGTTCTGCTGTTGCAGACAGCCAGGCCTCCTAGAGGACTGGAACATAGAAAATTATTGGCTCAGATGAAGATACCACATTAGATTTTTGAGGACCCGAAAATAAGTAAGAGCAATAAGCCTAATCCCTCTCCCTGGGAGCTGCCATACTTCAAGGGAGGATCATCCACCTAAAACGGCATCCTCAGAGAGGTGTCAGGACCAATCCCATCAGCCTCACACTACACTTTCTCTGTACTACTCCCTATATACCTAATTCTGATCTATTCCCTTCCCTCACAAATCCTTCAAATGGGCCCTTGGACTTCCCAATCTGCAACTTACAAACTGTTCTGTGTAATCTACTTATTCTTGTGCCTTAAGTTAAAACCTGGCTCTCTCTTGTAGACACACTCTGATCCTCTTCCCTCTCAGCCCCCTGGAAGCAGCCCCACATACTTTAGTAGGGGTCTTCTGGGTCTCCCATGACACTCCCATGCCACAAACAGCCTTCACATGTTCTTGATCTTGAGAGGTGCTTGCCATCTTCTCTCTCTACTCACTGCTGACAGCTAATCAAACCTGTAATCACTTCCCTCATTTTTTTGAAGAATTTGACCCTAGCCACAGAAACTTTCAGTGTTCCAACTCATTATCATTCTCTGTGACTTCAGCAACCACATGAGAGAAGCAAAAATATACGGCAAAACGCTCAATGTGACTAGTAATCAAGCAAATGCAAATTAAAACAAAACCTCATCAGCTCCAATGATGATCAGATTTGCAAACTTGTTAAAATTATAAGCCTGATAATGTCAAGTTTATTGAAGATGTGGATGCACAACAATTCTCACACACTGATGGAACTGTACCTTGGTACAGCCACAGTAGAGAGCAATTTGGCAGTAAAAGCCAGGTTAAAGATAAACATAGCCAGAAATGTCGCTTCTAGATACCTGACCACATGTACAAAGAAACCAACATTGCAAAGGTGATTTCAGAATTGTATATTCATGCAAAACAACCCAAATGTCCATCAACAGGTAAATGGAGAATTAATTGTGACTTATTCATACACTAAAATAGTAGATACAATTTAAATACAATTAAAAACAATAAAAACATGAAGTTGGATAATGGTTATCTCTGGAGTAAATAAGGGGGTAGTGGGGCTTGGAACAGGTACAAATGGGGCTTCCTCTGTATCTATGTAATATTACATCTTATTTACTACATTAAAAAAGAGAGAAAGAAACAGGAAACAAAGAAGGCAAAAGAACTGAACCTGAGTAACAGGTAAATGTTTTTTAAAAAAGAAAAAAATGTTCAGCCAATTCTCCTTGGTAACAAGGTTGGAAACCTCGGATAATGTAAGAATTTCAAATATGTCCTAGAAATAAAAATGTCATATACATAGGAAAAAGAAATTTGGCAGTTATTCAATTAATTTTATTGGTATTAGACATCTAAAATTAAAATCTGCATTAAAATCATTCATGTGAAGAATAAATTATTCTTAAATCTTTAATATTGATCACAATTACCAAATAATAGTCAAATATCCACTACAATTACACTTTGTACTATAGGGAAATAATCTTATGCAAGTAAAAATTCCTAAAATATTCAGCAAAAAAAGTAATTTGTTTCTACACCTGGCCTTACTTAAGGAGAGTAATGCTTTATTTATTCAATGTCATTGTGAAATGATGTGTTACAAATAATTTTACACCTTTAAGTGCCAAAACATCTTTTTTTTAAATAATTATAGCCACTTGGATTGGAATCATCTTTGGAAAGCTATTACACACTTGGATATTTTTCTATCTTTTTTAAGCAATAGATAGAATATGATTAAAGTTTTTGTGTTGACCTTAGGTCAATATCAATTAGGCTGCTAATGTCATTTGTATCATCATTCCAAAGAACCCTTACCTTTGTCTCCAGGAAATATATGTAGTAGTAGTTCCCTTCATACTCTCGGCTGCTAAACAATAGATGTTTCTTGGGAAAATTGCACTCTTTCATATCCAAGCTATTACTTCATTCAATTTCACTGAGCTTGAGTAACATCTATTCACAAATACATATTTGCCAATATCCCTGTATTTCCATGATGTTTCAGATTGATCTAGCCCATACTTCATAATTACCTTCACCAAAATCAATAGCTATAATCTGTACATAAGGACTGTTTGTCCCAGCAGTAAATGACTTTAGAGTTGCAGGTGTTTAATTGTTGTGTCTTTTTAAGTCCATGTCCTTCTTTAGTCTCATGCTGTCAGTTTGCAGCAACAGCTTTTCTATTTCTCCTGTCTAGTTTGCTGTTTCCAATCCATCCTGGACTAGGAAATCTATTTTAAAGTAATAATACATACACTGTGACTGACAGGCCCAAGTCTTTCCTATGACAGAAGTGTGTAAACTTGGGTACAATAACCATTTCCTAAGCTCTGCATGTATGTCTATTTCTTGCTCCTCTGAAATGTCACAGAGTAATCCAATTGCTAGAGGCTCCCTCTAAGTAAGCCATTGCTGAGATTGGCACCACTGTCTGCAACTCAGAGGTGAATCAATTCTAGTGGCTCATCTGTACCATTATAGAATTTGCCCTTCTTTTGATTCCTCTTCTAGATGGATAAGATGGCATTAGACACCACTGATTTTTTATTCTTGAAAATTTTTAGGTCAAATTCTAGCACTTGGGAAATTTTATTAAAAGACTCCTTACAAACTGATAGCAAAAGCACTCATTGTAATTACCACTCCATGCTGGATTTTATGAGTGGCCTACCAGCATTTATTTAATTCCACTTATTTCCAAACCAGCAAAAAGTTTAAAAAAGATTGTTATGCTCTGTAAGCCAGTTGTCAGCAAAGAACAGCCTGCAGGCCAAATGCTGGCAGTTTGTGCGAATACAAGTTTTTTTCAAAGCTCATTTCAATCGTTTACATATTATCTAACATTGCTTTTATCCTACAATATTAGGGTTGAGTGGTTGAGACAAAGACTGTATGGCTCATGAAGACTAAAATACTTATAGAAAAAGTTAGCTGCCCCTATCTAAGTTAACTAGTCACTTCACCTAAACAGGTTTACCTCCACAACGAGGCAAATTCCAACAATATCTTTCTTTTTCTAAATGGAAAAGATATGAAATAATCAACAGTCTACCAGGCGAATGCTTATTAATGAGCCACTTCAATGTTGTTGGTAAATTCTTAATGTCTGACATTTTTCCCACAGGACAAAACAAGTTATAAGCAACAGTGGAGTTTACACAAGTACCTCACAAGAATTCCAATGATGACATCCTCTAACTGCAACAAAAGTGCATTGGAGGATGCACATCATAATTTTATCTGAGACATAAAATTAGATAAGAGATAGAAAACTCCTTAAGTAATAATTGTGTTATACAACACAAAGCATAACTGATGTAGTGTCAGACACACAGTCTGTAGGAAATTCTACAAACACTGAGAAATGGCTGGTAATTAACAGACTGTAACATCATTAAGGCAACCTACAGTTTATAATATTTTTAAAATAAGACATAAACAATATTTGGAACTACTTACATTTTATCTGGGTTATATCACTATAATACTAAGAAGAGGAAATACAATTCCTTTCTAAATTTGCTACAAGAAAATAGAACTAACCCCTATGATTTAACTGTTATGTTTTATGATGCATATCAAGGGCTTTCTTGAAAGATGTAATTATAATGTTTGAAGGAACATGATTTGACTCATGTTAACCCAAATCCATGAAATAACTGTTTAAATGTTATATGAGTTCCAACATATTTATATATGTAGCACATATGTTTAACAAGCCCATTGGGTGGGATTTCATTAAAATTCAACTTTATTTTTGCCTCCCAATGCCCTTTAAAACTATTCAATGAATTAAGTTTTGCCCCTGCACCAGATGAAAACTTAGCAGGTCTCATAAGTTTTGTATTCATTTTAAGGTAATAGAATTGCCACAGTCACTTAAGAACAAAATTCAGTCTCATTTCAAAAACAGGCCAAAATATTAATCAACATTTCAATCTTCACTCCACTAACAATTCCTTACACTCATGTGGTCCTTACTAAGGGAAGGTACTATATTCGGTATCTAACCTTAAAAACAACCTTAAAAGCTACAGTAATCAAGACAGCATGCTATTGGTGAAAGAATAGAAACATGGATCGCAGCAGATTATATCAGAATAGAGGACCCCAAAATAGACTTACGCAAACACAGACAACTGATCTTTGAAATAGAAATAAAGGCTATTCAATGAAAAAAGGATAGTCTTTTCAACAAACGGTGCTGGAACAATTAGATGCCCATATCCAAAAAAGTCGACCTAGGCTCGGACCTTATACCTTTTACAAAAATTAACTCAAAAGGGATCGCAAACATAAATGTAAAATATAAAACTATTGAACTTTTAGAAGAAAGCATAGGAGAAAATCTAGGTGACCTTGGGTTTGGCAATGAGTTTTTAGATTCATCAAAAGCAAAATCCATGAAAGAAAAAAATAGATCATAAGTTGTACTTTCTTAAGATTCATAATTTCTACTTTGCAAAAGACACTGTTAGAGAATGAAAAGACAGCCAAAGACTAGACAAATCTTTGCAAAATACATCCTAATAAAGAACTTACACACAAAGAGCTCTTAAAATTCATCAATAAGAAAACAACCTACTTAAATAATGGGCCAAAGATCTAAACATATAACTCACTGAAGAAGATATACAAACAGCAAATAGAACACAAAAAGATGCTCAACATCATTTGTCATTAGAGAATTTCAAATATCACTACATACCTATCAGAATGGCTAAATTTTTTTAAAAAATCACAATACCAGTTGTTAGTGAGAAGGGGGAACAGCCACAATAAAAGAGAATTTGACAGTTTTTTACAAGCCAAATATAGTTTTATGCACTCCTAAGTATTTACCCAATTGAGTTGAAACTATATCCACACAAAAACCTAAACACAAATGTTTATAGCAGCTTTATTTATAATTGCCAAAAATTGGAAGCAATCAAGATCTCCTTCAATAGGTGAATGAAAAAACAACCATGAAGCATTCATACAATGGAATAGTATTCAGTGACAACAAGAACTGAGCTATCAGAATCTCGACTTGTGGAGGTGGAGCAAGGTGGCGGCAGAGAAAGCTCCACAGATCACCAGCCCCCACCCCTAGGAAACCAAATTATCAACTATCCGCACAGAAGAAAACACCTTCATAAGAACCGAAAAGCAGGGAGCACTCATAGTACCTGGTTTTAACTTCATAGCGCTGAAAGAGGGACTGTAGAGACAGAAAAAACAACACTGAGCCTGGCGTGGTGGCTCACACCTGTAATCACAGCACTATGGGAGGCCAAGGTGGCGGATCATTTAAGCTCAGGAGTTCAACATCCTGGGCAACATGGCAAAATCCCCATCTCTACTAAAAATAAAAATTAAAAAATAGCCCCAGGTGGTAATGTGTGCCTGTGGTCCCAGCTACTCAGGAGGCTGAGGAGGGAGGATCACTTGAGTCTAGGGGGCGGAGGTTATAGTGAGCCAGGACTGCACCACTGCACTCCAGCCTGGGTGTCAGAGTAAGAACCTGTCTCAAAAAGAAAAAAGAAAAGAAAAAACAATCCTGAATCTCTGACACTACTATGTAGCAGCAGTGGCAGCCATGTGGTGCCAAGAGTATCTCTTGGCACTGGGGGAGGGAGAGCACAGCAATTGTGGGGCATTGGACTCAGTGCTATCCTTTTAGAGCAGAAAGGAAACCCAGACCAAATTCAGCTGATGCCCACCCACAGAGGGAGCATTTACACCAGCCCTAGCCAGAGGGGAATTACCAATTCCAGTGGTCCAAACTTGAGTGCCCACAAACTTTGCCACCAAAGGCCAAAGTGCTCTCAGTCTCTCAGTAAACTTGAACAGAAGTTTAGGACATAAGGACTGCAATTCTTAGAGTCCTAGGGCTAAAGTAGGCCCAGAGACAGTGGACGGGGTGGGGGCATACAACGTACTGAGATACCAGCTGGGGCAGCCAAGAGAGCTATCTCCCCTAACCCTGGCATCACCCCTCCCCTAACGCAGGCTATAGAGCTCATGGCTTCAAAAGAGACCTCTCTCTATAGCTTGAAGAGAGGAGAGGGAAGACTGGGGAGACTTTGTCTTGCATCTTGGATACCAGCTCAGCCACAGCAGGGTAAGGCACCAGTCAAGTGAGGCACCCCCTTTCAGGCCCTAGCTCCCACACCATACCCTGGGCCAGAAAGGAACCCACTGACTTGAAGGAAAAAATCCAGACCTGCCAGCATTCATCACCTGCTAACGAAACAGACTTTGGGCCCTGAATAACCAGCCATGATAGCCAGGTACTATATTAAGGGCCTTGGTGAGCCTCTGAGACTTGCTGGCTTCAGATACCAGCACCATCACACGGCGGTAGAGCACCAAGTGGGCTCCTGGGGTCTACAATTTCAGGATTTGACTCTTGGATGGCATTTCTGGACCTGCCTGGGCCAGATGGGAGTCCACTGCCGTAAATGGTAAGCCCCAGGTCAGGCAGCATTCACTACAAGCTGACTCAAGAGAACTTGAGCCTTAAGGAAACATCCATGGTAGTCTGGCAGTATTCCTTGTGGCTAGGGGTTGTGATGGCTATGGGGTGAGTCTCCTCTGTCTTTGGAAAGGAGAGGGAAGGGGGAAGGACTGCTTCTTGTGGTTTGGGTGCCAGCTCATCCACAATACAATGGAATAACAGGTAGACGTCTAAGGTTCTTGACTCTAGTCCCTTACTCCCAGATGGCACTTCTGGACCCACCTGGGGCCTGGGGGACATTGCCACCCTGAAGGGAAGGACATAGGCCTCGTTAGCTTTGCCATTTGCTGATGGTAGAGTCCCAGGGCCTTGAGCAAACATAGGCCGTAGCCAGGGAGTGGTTATAGCAGTCCTTGGGCAAGACCCAGCACTGTGCTGGCTTCAGGTCCCAGCACAGTAATGGTGGGGATGGCCACAGTGGTGCTTGTGTCACTCCACCCCCGGCTTTAGGTGGCTCAGAACAGAGATACTCTATGTTTGGGAGAAAGTAAGGGGAGAGAACAAGAGTATCTGCCTGGTAATCTAGAGAATTCTCCTGGATCTTGTCCAAAACCATCAAGGTGGTACCTCTACGACTTTGCAAGAACCACAGTGCTACTGGGCTTGGGGTGTCTCCTAAAGCAGAAACAACTTAGATCACAACACTCAAGTTCTTTCAAATATCTGGAAAGCCTTCCCAAGAAGGGCAACTACAAATAAGCCCAGACAGTGAAGACTACAATAAATACCTAACTCTTCAATGCCCAGACACCAAAGAACATCTGCTAGCATCAACACCATCCAGGAAAACATGACCTCAGCAAATGAACTAAACAAGGCACCAGGGACAAATCCTGGAGAACCAGAGATATGTGGCTTTTCAGACAGAGAATTCAAAATAGCAGTGTTGAGGAAACTCAAAGAAATTCAAGATAAAACAGAGAAGTAATTCAGAATTCTATCAGATAAATGTACAAAGAGACTGAAACAATTTAAAAGATTCAAGCAGACATTCTGGAGCTGAAACTGGCATACCAAAGAATGCATCAGATTCCCTTAATAGCAGAATAGATCAAGCAGAAGAAAGAATTAGTGAGCGTGAAGACAGGCTATTTGAAAATACAGTCAGAGAAGACGAAAGAAAAAAGAATAAAAAACAATAAAGCATGCCTACAGGATATAGAAAATAGCCTCAAAAGGGCAAATCTAAGGGTTATTGACCTTGAAGAGAATGTAGAGAAAGACATAGGGGTATAAAGTTAATTCAGGCCAGGTACGGTGGCTCATGCCTGTAATCCCAGCACTTTGAGACGCCAAGGAGGGCAGATCATGAGGTCAGGGGATCGAGACCATCCTGGCTAACACGATGAAACCCCCTGTCTACCAAAAATACAAAAAATTAGCCAGGCATGGTGGCACACGCCTGTAGTCCCAGCTAATCGGGAGGCTGAGGCAGGAGAATTGCTTGAACCTGAGAGGCAGAGATTGCAGTGAGCTGAGATCACACCACTGCACTCCAGTCTGGGTGACAGAGCAAGACTACATCTCAAAAAAAAAAAAAGTTAATTCAAAGGGATAATATCAGGAAATTTCCCAAACCTAGAGAAAGATATTAATGTCCAAGTACAAGAAGGTTATAGAACACCAAGCAGATTTAACCCAAAGAAGACTACCTCAAGGCATTTAATAATCAAATCCTCAAAGGTCAAGGATAAAGAAATGATCCAAAAAGCAGCAAGAGAAAAGAAACAAATAACATACAAGGGAGCTCCAAAATGTCTGGCAGCAGACTTTTTAGTAAAAATGTCACAGGCCAGAAGAGAGTGGCATGATATATGTAAAGTGCTGAAGGAAAAAAACTTTTACCCTAGGGTAGTATATTCAGTGAAAATATCCTTGAAACATGAAGGAGAAATAAAGACTTTCCCAGACAAAAACAGGGCCATCCTACAAGAAATGTTAAAGGGAGTACTTAAGTCAGAAAGAAAAAGACATTAATGGGCAATAAATAATCACGTGAAAGTGCAAAACTCACCGTTAATAGTAAATACACAGAGAAACACAGAATATTATAACACTGTAACTGTGGTGTGTAAACTACTGTTACCCTAAGTAGAAAGGCTAAATGATGAACCAGTCAAAAATAATAGCTACAACAACTTTTCAAAACATAGTCAGTACAATAAGATATAAATAGAAACAACAAAAAGTTAAAAAGCATGGAGACTAAGTTGAGTTTTTTATTACTTTTCTTTTTGCTTGTTTGTTTATGCAAATAGTGTTAATTTGTTATCGGGTTAAAACAATGGGTTATAAGATAGTATTTGCAAGCCTCATGGTAACCTTAAACCAAAAAACATAAAATGGATACACAAAAAGCAAAAAGAAACTAAATCATTACAAAAGAGAAAATAATCTTTACTAGAGAAAGACAAGAATAAAAGAAAGAAGGAAGAGAAGACCACAAAACAACCAGAAGATGGCAGGAGCAAGTTCTTACTTATCAATAATAACATGGAATGTAAATGGACTAAACTCTCCAATCAAAAGAGATAGACTGGCTGAATGAATGAAAAAACAAGACCCACTGACCTATTGCCTACAAGAAACACACTTCATCTATAAAGACACTCAGACTGAAAATAAAGGGATAAGAAAAGATATCCCACACCAATGGAAACCAAAAAAGAGCAAGAGTCATATCAGACAAAATAGATATCAAGACAAAAACTCTAAGAAGAGACAAAGAAGGTCACTATATAATAATAAAAGGGTCAATTCAGCAAGAGGATCTAACAATTTTAATTGTGCAACATGTGCACCCAGCACTGGGCCATCCAGATAGATAAAGGAATTATTATTAGAGCTAGAGAGAGATAGGCCCCAATACAATAATAGCTAGAGAGTTCAACACCCCACCTTCACCATTGGACAGATCTTCAAGACAGAAAATCAACAAAGAAACACCAGACTTAATCTGCACTATAGACCTAATGAATCTGATAGATATTTACAGAATATTTCATCCAAGAACTGCAGAATACCTAGTCTTTTCCTCAGCATATGGATCATTCTCAAGGATAGACCACATATTAGGTCACAAAACAAGTATTAAAGTATGCAAAAAAAAACTGAAATAATATCAAGCATCTTCTCTGACCACAATGGAATAAAACTAGAATTTAAAAACAAGAAGAATTTTGGAAACTATACAAAGAGAGAGGGGGACCTATCTCTCTCTAGCTCTAATAATATTTCCTTTACCTATCTGGATGGCCCAGTGCTGGGTGCACATGTTGCACAGTTAAAATTGTTAGATCCTCTTGCTGAATTGACCCCTTCATTATTATATAGTGACCGTCTTTGTCTCTTCTTATATAAATACCTGGATATTACAGTATGCTCCTGAATGACTGGTAGGTTAATGAATAAATTAATAAGAAAATTAAAAATTTCTTGAGACAAATAATAACAGAAACACAACATAGCTAAATCTATGAGGCATAGCAAAGGACTGAGAGGGAAGTTGATAGCTATAAGTGCCTACATCAAAAAAGAGGAAAAGCTTCAAATAAACAATTTAACAATGCATCTTGAAGAACTAGAAAAGCCAGAGCCAACCCAACCCCAATTAGTAAAAGAAAAAAAAAATAATGATCAGAGCAGAAATAAATGAAATTGAAATGAAAGAAAAAAAAATACAAAATATCAATGAAACAAAAAAAAATTGCTTTTTTGAAAAGTTAAACAAAATTGACAAATCTTTCACCAGGCTAAACTAAGTAAAAGAGAGAGAAGATCCAAATAAATAAAATCAGAAATGAAAAAGGAGACATTACAAGATATACCACAGACATTCAAAGGATTATTAGTGGCTACTATGACCAACTATATGCCAATAAAGTGGAAAGGCTAGAAGAAATAGACAAATTTGTAGATACATACATGCTATCAAGATTAAACCCAGAGAAAATCCAAAACCTGAACAGACTAATAACAAGTAATGAGATAAAAGTCATAATAAAAAGTCTCCTAGCAAAACAATCTACAGATTCAATGCAATCCCTATCAAAATACCAATGACATTCTTCACAGAAATAGAAAAAAAAATCCTAAAATTTATGTGGAACCACAAAAGGCCCAGATTGGCCAAAGCTATCCTAAGCAAAAAGAATCAAACTGGAAGAATCACATTACCTGAATTCAAATTACACTACAGAGCTATAGTAAACAAAACAGCACAGTACTGCCATAAAACAGACACGTAGACCAATGGAACAGAATAGAGAACCCAGAAAAAAATCCACACACCTACAGTGAACTCATTTTCAACAGAGGTACCAAGAACAAACAAGTAAGTGGGAGTCACTGAAAGAACTGCCAGTGGTCAAAGCTGGAACAATCTGAGTAAGAAAATAAAGTAGTATTGGATTATAATCCAAAGTATTAAATAAATATCCATTAATTCATACTGATATAAATGATTGAATAAATAAGTAAATGGCAGAGAAGAGGCAAATCTCTAGGTAGGACTCCAAATAATTT
Organism: Homo sapiens; assembly: GCF_000001405.40. NCBI lineage: Eukaryota > Metazoa > Chordata > Mammalia > Primates > Hominidae > Homo > Homo sapiens. Next base: position 111,217,939 of record NC_000011.10, read on the forward strand.
ATGTAGATACTCCACCCTCAAGGGTGGACATAGTGACTTCCTTCCAAAGAGTACAGTATGGAAAGGGAGGATACACTAGCTTCACAGTGGAGAAATCTGAATAATACCTTAGCTAAGTGATCAAGATTAATATTAACAAAGATAAATCGCCCTTGATTTTAAATACCCTTGATATGATGTGACGATAATGGTACTTTACCTCTGTGGTCTTTCTCCCAAAAAAACTATGACCCCAGTCTCATCCTGAGAAAAACATCAGAAAAGTCCCCATCGACAGACATTCTACAAGATACCCAACCAGTATTTCTCAAGACCGTTAAGGTCATCAAAAACAAGGAAAGTCTAAAAAACTATCACAGCTAAGAAGAGCCTAAGGGGGCATGGCAGCTAAAGGTAATATGGTATCTTGTGTAAGATCCTAGAACCAGAAATGAACCTTTGGTATATACAAATGAAATCTGAATTAAGTGTAAATTTTAGTTAATAATAATCTATCATTATGGGCTCATTAACTGTAGCAAATGTACCAAAGTATAGTCAAGTGTTAAGGAAACTGGTGTGGGATATGTGGGAATTCTCTGTACCATCTTCATAATTTTTCTGTAAATCTAAAACTTATAAAAAATAAATTTTACCTAGAAAACTACAAACCTAATGATGTGCATACTATTACTACTCCCACTTTATAGGGGAGGAAACCAAATCATGGAGAAAATAATTACCTCCTCACAGCTGCCAGAGCTGGGATATGAACCAGTCTGATTGCTGAATCTGTGTTCCCACCCACTATACTCCACTGCCTCAAAAAGGAACTTGCTTCTTTTTTTTTTTTTTTTTTTTTTTTTGAGACGAGTCTGGCTCTGTCGCCCAGCTGGAGTGCAGTGGCGCCATCTCGGCTCACTGCAAGCTCCGCCTCCCGGGTTCACACCATTCTCCTGCCTCAGCCTCCCGAGTAGCTGGGACTACAGGCGCTCGCCACCACGCCTGGCTAATTTTTTTGTATTTTTAGTAGAGACAGGGTTTCACCGTGTTAGCCAGGATGGTCTCGATCTGCTGACCGCGTGATCCACCCGCCTCGGCCTCCCAAAGTGCTGGGATTACAGGCGTGAGCCACCACGCCCAGCCGGAACTTGCTTCTTTCCCCATGTTTACTAAAGGCTGTAATGACATCAGGGAAAGGGATCTAGTGAGCGCTTTCTCTCTTTCTCTGCTGGTATCCTCCCCACCCACTACCAGCTTTGGGCCAGGAAGGCCGAAGTAGAAAGGGAGCCGAAAGTACTGGAAGTTCCTGCTTGGCTGGTAACTGGAAACGACTGTAAGTTGGCATCAGGCTCTCTGGGTCCAACATGCTTAAAGCTGAAGGTGTTTCCATGGGCTCTTTGGAGGCTGCTTGTGGGGCTCCAACCAAGGTCCCAAAAAGTAGGTATTTTTCTCCATATCCCCTCAGCTCTGGCTCTTGGCAGTTTATGTCCTGCCAGGCTGTTCTCTAAGGCAGGACATAAACAACTCTACCCCATCAGCACCAACAGCTGAAAGTCCAGAGAAACACACAATACTAGACTCTCTACTCTCTCTTTGCTGCCATAGCAGCCTTAGATATCTGAGGTGTTCTCTACCTGCAAGGAACACACAGTGTGCACTTTTAATCACCTGAAGCCCCTCTCCTCCCCCTCCCCTCCCCTCCAATTAGGCTGGCAGGGAGGAAGCAGGTGCATTAACACACACACACTCTCTCTCTCTCTTTTTCTCTCTCTTACTCTAGGGTCAAAGCTCAGCTTTCTCTAGTGAAATCCTGTGCACAAAATCTAATCCTCATACTTTGCACTTGATCTGATTTAGGTGATCCAAGAATCGTGGAACCATTCTTTTTTTTTTTTTTTTTTTGAGACAGGGTCATGTTCTGTCATCCGGGCTGGAGTGCAGTGGCGCTATTTTGGCTCACTGCAACCTCTGCCTCCCAGGTTCAAGCAAACTTCCCACCTCAGCCTCTCAAGTAGTTGGGACTACAGATGCATGCCACAACACTCGGCAAATTTTTGTATTTTTTCTAGAGGCTGGGTTTTGCCATGTTGCCCAGGCTGGTCTTGAACTCCCAGGTTCTCACCTTTGTCTCCCAAAGTGCTGGGATTACAGGCATGAGCTGCCACACCCAGCCATGGAACTCTTCATAACCATTGCTTTAGAAAATCATGTATTATTTTTCCCACATCTCATTTTGGCAAACCATATCTATTACCTTAGTTGAAACTTGAACTTTAATGCCCTGGGCTTTTTTTATTGTTATTGCTTTTTAACTGTTACTTTAGGCTCAGGAGTACAGGTGAAGGTTTGTTACATAGGTAAACTCATGTCATGAGGTTTGTTGTACACATTATTTCATCACCCGAGTATTAAACCCAGTACCCAATAGTTATCTTTTCTTCTCCTCTCCCTCCTTCCACCCTCCACTCTCAAGTAGACCCCTCAAGTTGTTCCCTTCTTTGTATTCATAAGTTCTCATTTAGCTCCCACTTATAAGTGAGAGCATGCAGCATTTGGTTTTCTCTTCCTGCATTAGTTTGCTAAGGATGATGGCCTCCAGCTCCAATCATTTTCCCACAAAAGACATGATCTCGTTCTTTCCTGAGTTAATGTCCTGTTATGTATGTATATAAGCACATATTCAGGGACCAAGAAATACTTGTGAGATAGCTTAGTCATTAGACAATGCTAAAGATAAACCTATAACTTTTTATGTTACCTCCCTAACTAGATTATAACCTCCTCTAGTGTTATAGTCACATCTTCTACATTTTTGCAGTGCATACACACATACACACACAAACACACAGGTATAGAAACATAATTCTATCCTAAAATTTACTCAAGAAATCCTGGTAGTTGATTTGATGATGTATCTCTGTATACTTAATTCTACAAAAGCAATCAAGCATGAATCTGAGGTTAGAAACACATACTTTGGAGCCAGAACTTGGACTGCTGGGTTTCCAGCTAAGTCACTAGTAACCACCTGCAAAGCTGGCTTGGTTTATCATCAGCCACAGATTCAGACTAGCCAACCCTGAATATTAAATCAATGGAATGCCAAATCTTGCATCCAGAGCAAACTGAACACCCAAATATACATCATAATACATCATCCAGGTCAAATATTGTTTTTTACCTTATAATTTAACTGAATCTGTAAAAATAATATTATCAACTGGAAGATTAGCTCCTCTAAAATTGGCAGCGACAGAGCTTAAAATTCAGGTGAAATGCATCATTTTCACTCACAAGCTAGAAAATCAGCTGTGTTCACTAAATATGTAACAATGGGAGTATACCCATGGCTTCCCTGGTTTAAAGAAAAATCTTTTGTTTCTGAACGCTTCTGAATCGTTCTTCCTTGGCCAGCGATGCAGTTTTGCTTTCATAGCTCCTCCTTTACACAAGTGTGTCAAGTTTCTCATCTTCTATGTAGGGCCTTACAGGGATCCAGCACTGTAGTACAACAGGCTGTGCATGGACAATGGATGGATTGGTGGGTACTAAGGACCAACCACTTGCTCCATCCCCAGTCCTCACCAAGCCTAGATTTTTTCCCTCCTCATTGCGAACACTCCCATCTGCATTGTTTCTCTACCTCCTCTTTTTCTTCCCTATTCACTAGCTCCAGGCTTACCTGCCTTTGGGGATGGAAAACTCTAGCTAAATATAGGCATGCATCAGTTTTCTTTTCTCCTGTTAGGCCAGGGGCTCTTAAGTATGTTTCTGCTTCCGTACAGTTTGTGGAGGGGAAGACAGCCCCCAGGGCACCCATGAAAGCAGAGAGAGAAAGATATGCTAAACTTGGAAAACTCACAGATGAATACTCTCGAGAGGTGACAGCGTGCTGGCAGTCCTCACAGCCCTCGCTCGCTCTCGGCGCCTCCTCTGCCTGGGCTCCCACTTTGGCGGCACTTGAGGAGCCCTTCAGCCCACTGCTGCACTGTGGGCGCCCCTTTCTGGGCTGGCCAAGGCCGGAGCCGGCTCTCTCAGCTTGCAGGGAGGTGTGGAGGGAGAGGCGCGAGCGGCAACCGGGGCTGCGCGTGGCGCTTGCGGGCCATCTGGAGTTCCGGGTGGGCGTGGGCTTGGCGGGCCCCGCACTCGGAGCAGCCGGCAGGCCCTGCCGGCCCCGGGCAATGAGGGACTTAGCACCCGGGCCAGCGGCTGCGGAGGGTGTACTGGGTCCCTCAGCAGTGCCAGCCCACCGGCGCTGCGCTCGATTTCTCGCCGGACCTTAGCTGCCTTCCCGCGGGGCAGGCCTCGGGACTGCAGCCCGCCATGCCTGAGCCTCCCCCCGCTCCGTGGGCTCCTGTGCAGCCGGAGCCTCCCCGACCAGCGCCGCCCCCTGCTCCACGGCGCCCAGTCCCATCGATCACCCAAGGGCTGAGGAGTGCGAGCGCATGTCACGGGACTGGCAGGCAGCTCCACCTGCAGCCCTGGTGCGGGATCCACTAGGTAAAGCCAGCTGGGCTCCTGAGTCTGGTGGGGCCTTGGAGAACCTTTATGTCTAGCTCAGGGATTGTAAATACACCAATCGGCACTCTGTATCTAGCTCAAGGTTTGTAAACACACCAATCAGCACCCTGTGTCTAGCTCAGGGTTTGTGAATGCACCAATCCACACTCTGTATCTAGCTACTCTGGTGGGGCCTTGGAGAACCTTTGTGTGGACACTCTCTATCTAGCTAATCTGGTGGGGACGTGGAGAACCTTTGTGTCTAGCTCAGGGATTGTAAATGCACCAGTCAGCGCCCTGTCAAAACAGACCACTGGGCTCTACTAATCAGCAGGATGTGGGTGGGGCCAGATAAAAGAATAAAAGCAGGCTGCTGGAGCCAGCAGTGGCAACCCGCTCGAGTCCCCTTCCACACTGTGGAAGCTTTGTTCTTTCGCTCTTTGCAATAAATCTTGCTACTGCTCACTCTTTGGGTCCACGCTGCTTTTGTGAGCTGTAACACTCACCGCGAAGGTCTGCAGCTTCACTCCTGAAGCCAGCGAGACCACGAGCCCACCGGGAGGAAGGAACAACTCCAGACGAGCTGCCTTAAGAGCTGTAACACTCACCGCCAAGGTCTGCAGCTTCACTCCTGGAGCCAGCCAGACCACGAACCCACCGGAAGGAAGAAACTCTGAACACATCCGAACATCAGAAGGAACAAACTTCAGACGCGCCACCTTAAGAGCTGTAACACTCACCGCGAGGGTCCGCGGCTTCATTCTTGAAGTCAGTGAGACCAAGAACCCACCAATTCAGGATACACTTTGACCTATAGCTGCACCATAAATGCTTTCCAATCTGTGTCTTCTCCTCTTCGCAAAAACTGCTCTCCTTGTTCACCTCCCATGTTGTGTTCTTTAAAGGCAAAATGGTTTGAAAACAAAAAGTGACACAATTTGAACATGTTTAACGAAGCTAGACAAGAGATTAATAAACAGAGGCAGGATCATGGCCAAACAAGAGAATTTCATGTGAGGCTATGTTGAGACCATGGTCAGGGACAGTAGAAAAGGGAATCTTAGAGTTAAGACCACAGTTGGTGGCCAGTGACCAGGCAAGGAAAGTAATCGTCAGCCAAGGGAAACCATGCCTGGTGCCATCCACAAGGTGGTAATCTACAACAGCTAGCTACATTTTTCCTGATTGGGAGAGGAAAAGGTACTAAAGCTCTATAGGAATTCATCAGATCCAAAAGAATGAATTGGAGCTCCTCTAGGTTGAATATGTGAACCAAATCAGTCAAGATGGAAATAAATTCTAGAATAGCTCCATAGATGTTCCAATACCTATGTCTGGTCTGAGAAGGTTTCAATAGACATGATTTTTTGGATTCTTCGTGGACTTTGAGTTTACTCTAAGAAGGCAATCAATAATCCTACATCTTCATCTCTAACTCTCATTTCAAAGTACATAAAAATCTATAAAGACCCAACACCAAGTGATTTTTATTATTTGTTTCTGATTAAGATAGCACCTGATTAAGGTATTAGGAAAAATCTATGTTTTCATCCAGAAACTTCTACAACTTCTTACTGATAAAAGTAATTATCAGTTATAATTATAATTATAAATATAAATATAAAACATAAAATATAATTATAATTATAACTGATAATTACTTTTGCCTTTACTCTCCTTGTTCACCTCCCACGTTGTGTTCTTTGAAGGCAAAATGGTTTGAAAACAGAAAATGGCACAATTTGAACATGTTCAAAGGGACACTTACGTCCTTAAAAGAAAAGTTTATCAAGTAAAAGTAATTATCAGTTATAATTACTTTTATACGATAAACTTTTCTTTTAAGGACGTAAGTGTCCCTTTTGGAACAAATCATGTTCCAGAGGCTTGTAACCAGTATATTGCTCTGTCTCAACTCAATGGTGTATGAACACAAAGCAGTTTCATTTTTCTCTAATTTAATTACTCCTTCACTGAAGCTCAATCAAATCTGCCCTTTGCATCCTTAATTGCATCCTAGGAAGATTTCAAAACTTTGTCCTTTATTTTCTATTATTAAAAGTCAGTCCACCACAGCTAACATCTTACTGAAAGGGGAAAAGCTGAAAGCCTTTTCTCTAAAAACTAGAACAAGGATGACCACTCTCACCACTCATTCAACGTAGGACTGGAAGTTCTAGTCAGAACAATTAGGCAAGAGAAACAAATAAAGAGCATCCAAATTAGACAGGAGAAAGTCAAATTGCCATTGTTTGCAGGTGACATAATTTTATAGACAGAAAAACCTAAATATTTGACCAAAGAACTCTTAGAACTGCTAAACGAATTCAGTAAAGTTGCTGAATACAAAATTGATACACAAAAATTAGTAGCACTTCTGTACATGAACAAATTAACTAGGTGAAAAAGAAATCAAGAAGGCAATCCCATTTATAATAGCTACAAAAATAATACCTAGGAATAAATTTAACCAAGGAGGTAAAAGACCTTTACAAGGAAAACTACAAAACACTACTGAAAGAAATTGAAGAGGGTACAAACAAATAAAAAGACATCCCATGCCCATAGGACAGAAGAATTAATATTGTTAAAATAACAATACTACCCTAAGCAATCTAGAAACTCAATGCAATCCCTATAAAAATACCAATGACGTTTTTCACAGAAATAGAAATAAAATCCTAACACTTATATGGAATCACAAAAACCCCAAATAGCCAAAGCAACCCTGAGCAAAAAGAACGAAGCCAGAGTTATCACAGTTCCAGACATCAAAATATACTACAAAGCTGTAGTAACCAAAACAGCATGGTGCTGACATAAAAACAGGCACATAGACTGATGGAACAGAACAGAGAACCCAGAAAGTAATCCACATATCTGAAGCCAAATGATTTTTGACAAAGGTGCCAAGAACACTCATTGGGGAGAAGATAGTCTTTTCAATAAATGGTGCTGGGAAAACTGGATATCCATATCCAAAAGAATGAAACTAGACTCCCCACATGTCACCCTTTACAAAAATCAACTCCAAATGGATCAAAGACCTAAATGTAAGACCTGAAACAATAAAATTACTAGAAGAAAACATAGCACAAATGCTTCAAGACTTTCATCTGAGAAAAGATTTTATGAATAAGACCTCAAAAGCAAAGATAACAAAAGCAAAAATAAACAAATGGGATTATAGCAAACTAAAAAGCTCTGCACAGCAAAGGAAATAATCAATACAGTTAAAAGACAACCTACAGAATGGGAGAAAATATTTGCAAATTCCTTATCCAAAAGGGGATTAATCTCCAGAATCTATGAAGAACTGAAATATCTTCTTAGCAAAAAAAAATCCAATGGATCTGAAGAGACATTTCTCAAAAGAAGATATACAAATAGCTGAAAAATATATGAAAAAAATGTTCAGCATTACTAATCATCAGGGAAATTCAGAGCAAAACCACAGTTATCGCTATTATCAAAAAGATGAAAAGTAACAAATGCTGATGAGGATGCAGAGAAAGGGGAATTTTTATATACTGTTGGTGGGAATGCCAACTAGTACAGCCACTATGCAGAACAGGATGGAGGTTCCTAACTACAAATAGAACTACCATATGGTCTCACAATCACACTGCTGGGAATTTATCCAAAGGAAAAGAAATCATTATATTGGAGAGACATCTGCACCCCCATGCTTATTGCAGCCCTATTCACAGTAGTCGAGATATGGAACCAAGCTTGGTGTCCAACAACAGATGTGTGGACAAAGAAAATGTGATATATGTACACCATAGAATATTATTCGGCATTAGAAGACAATGAAATCCTGTCATTTGGGGCAACATGGATGGAATTAGAGGACATTATGTTAAGTGAAGTAAGCCAGAAACAGAAAGTTAAATACCTCATGTTCTCACTCATGTGAAAGCAGAAAAAAGCTTATCTCCTAGAAGTAAAAAGTAGAACAGAGGATACTAGAGGCTGGGAAGGGTAGGAGGAAGGAAGAGATAGGAGAGATTTTTTTAAAGGATACAAAATTACAGCTAGATAGGAGGAATCAGTTCTAGCTTTCTACACCACTGTAGGATAACTGTAGTTAATAAAGTAGAGTTTCAAAGAGCTAGAAGGAGGAAATTGAATATTCCCAACACAAACAAATAGTAAATGTTTAAGATGAACATGCTGATTACCTTGATCTGATCACATTATGTATATTGAAACATCAATATGTACTTCATGAATATGTAGAATTATTATTAGTTGATTAAAAATATGTAATTACATTTTTAAAAAGCAGTGTGGAAGAGAAATCAAGGCCTCAGATATTGTGAAGCAGAGGTAGGCTACCCACATCCACACTGGGCCTTGTCCAAATTTGTGAACCAGAGAATCTGTGAGCAAAGTAAGATGGTGTTTGTTTTACTCTACTAAGTTTGGAGTGGTTTGTTATGACTTGGAGGTTGTTGTTTGTGTATGACAGCTGGAACTGTGGTTGCCACCTGGGGACCTTGAGGTAGCGAGAGTAAGAATCAGCCAACGGAATTGGAAAGGACCTTATTCCCCAGTGACATTATTGAATAAATTAATTGACCAGTCCAAGAACTGCTCTGCCTACTGACCTTTTATTATATGTGATTATAAAGTCATTTTTGTTTTGGTCACTTGGGGGAAAAAAACTACTCCAATTAAAACTTTAATCTCAAACTTGATTAACACGTCATGTCCTCTCCTCCTGTGAGTACGGTTTGTTTAAGCTAAGACTTGGGCGTAAAGGCTCGGAGGTGCTTCCTCCACCCACTCTTCAAGGCCTGCTTTCTTCAGTTGGTCAGCAGGAAGGAGGCAGAGGGCTGGAAGGAGGTGTCTCTTACAACTGACTGCTATGGTTCCTCTCCCCATAGGTTACTCTGCTTCTCAGGGAAGCATGGACAAGCTCTAAACACCTTCAATGTGGTTGGTGTTCAAATCCCTGCTCTTTCAAGGAGCCCATGTGAGAGTTCTCCTCAGGGCTCCCAGGCCCCAGCATAGTACACTTCCCTGACCCAGGAGACTTGTCTCTGGTCCTACCTCTCAGCTCCCCATAGCTTCCACCTCTAGGGGTACTTGTGACAGCACCATGACAACTCATTGCCAGAGTCCCCTTCTCATCTGGAAGCTTTTTTTTTTTTTTTTTTTTTGAGATGGAGTCTCACTCTGTTGCCCAGGCTGGGTGCAGTGGCATGACCTCGGCTCACTGCAGCCTCCACCTGCTGGGCTCAAGCAATTATCCTGCCTCATCCTCCTGAATAGCTGGGACTACAGGCGCACGCCACCATACCTGGCTAATCTTTTGTGTTTTTAGTAGAGACGGGGTTTCACCATGCTGGTCAGGCTAGTCTCGAACTCCTGACTTCGTGATCCGCCCACCTTGGCCTCCCAAAGTGCTAGGATTACAGGTGTGAGCCACCGCACCCAGCCAGAAGCTATCTGAAGTGGCTCAAGCTACCTTCCCCTGTGACCTCTAGGCCCATGGGTGACATGTTCATACTTGCCTTGGTCACACCCCCACCCTGCCCTGCCATCTCTCAGTTCTCTTTCTCCTGCTTAGTGGGGCCCAGAGCAGATCAGCAAGTCATCCAACTGGGGGCCAAGATGTCAGCCTCCCTTTCCAAGGCACCTCTAATTTCTACAAGTAATTTTCTTGGAGCCTCGCCTCACTGGGCTGGCTGGGGGTGAGAGGGTGGGGATATAAATTTCACCTCAGGGGGAAGAGAAGAAATAATTTCTCAACACAAATGCCTCACACTCATGGCTTTCTTCCCCATTCCTCCTTCTTCACACAATCCCATCCTAGTTGATTCCTGCTGCTGTAACAAACTATCTTAGACTTAGACTAGGTAATTTACAAAGAAATTTATTTCTTACAGTTCTGGAGGCTGGGAAGTCCAAAATCAAGGCACCAGCATTTGGTGTCTGGTGAGGGACTTCTTACTCCATCTTCACATGGCAGAAGGGGCAGTGTGTCCTCATATGGCATAAGGCAGAAGGGCAAAAAGAGCTGAGTTAGTTCCCTTGAACCCTTTCACGAGGGCCCTAATCTCATTTCCGAGAGTGGAGCCCTCGTGGCCTAATCACCTCTGAGAGGCCCCACCTCTTGATACTATCACATTGGGTCTTAGGTTCCATCATAATGAATTTTGGGGGAACACACAGATTCAAACCATAGCACCCCCTTCCTAGTTTTCTTATGTAGACTTGCGAGAGGGATACAAGTGGCTAATGGTAGAAGGAGCTACTCGTTACCTCCTAACCAGTCTGGGTGGGGGTGGCTTCCAGGGACCTCCAGGGCTTGGTGGGTCTCCTTACAATGGAAGATAGTTCACACCTCTTGTTTCCAGCTATGGCCCTAGTGCCCATTTAGGGATATCAGGAGAAGGACCACTCAACATCCTTCAGCAGCCTTCAACAAAAAATGGGCAAGCTTTAATAAAAGAAAAAAAAAAACAAAATATTTTCACCACAGAATCCAAGGCACAAATCTGTTTGTCAGGGATGAGTGAGACTATGTATATCTTTTGTGTGTAGACACAGAAATCCTCTCCTGACCAAAAGGTTCAGCTCCTGCGTGAGCCGGTCAGGAAGAAAGGGCTAGTTCTCCAGCTGAGGAAATCAAACAGCTGTTTAGCGGCAGGGAACGGCTCCCAAGGCTTCAAGACCCTGACACCTGAGGGGGATCATCTCAAAAATCCTCAGCTCGTGGAAGATTTTATTTTCCCCATTATCCAGTCCTCACTTACCCCCAACAGTCAGTCAAGAAGCCACTAACTGGAGGACAAATTGGAAGGACATAAAGCACAAACAGTTCAGAGAAGTCGGAGAGGCCAAGAGTTGTTATCAATAGAGTAGAGGTTATTCTCTTAGTGATTTTCAGAGTAAGCCCCTAAGAAGATGGGAATTTCATTTTAAACTTAATAAAGAATAGAGGACTACTGTATCCAGGGGGCTGACTGTGTTCTCTCCCTTCACAGCTCCGTGCATCCAATAGTTGGCCAGTGAACCAATGACTTTGCAGTCCCTACTGTTTGCAATGTGGAGACAGACAGGAGAGCCGGTTCCCACCCCTAGACTGCTGGGAGGGAAGACACGCACTCCAGTAACAATGCCCAGCAGATACAAAGCATATTGGCACAGTACCTGGCTATAAGAATCACTGAATAAATGATTTTATACCAAACTGATTTCAAAGGTTTTATATCAGAGTACCCAGAAATGTAAACCAGAACAAAAGTGCCAAGTTAGATGCACAATGGTTACAAGGGAAGGGAGTGCCGAGAGCAAGCTGATTGTGGGCAGGATGTGGGGGGCGGGGCAGCCAACTTTGAGTTGGAACGCTGGAGTTACAGTGTAGGGGTTCTGCCTCCCACAGAAAAAAATTCAAGGCCAGGGGAGCAGATTACCAATCTTGTGTCAGCTTTGTGGTCAGAAGGAGAAGTAGCGTTCTCTCAGTCCTGGAAGGAGGAGGCATACCAAGAATCCTTCTTAGAAGACTAGAAAAGATGTGGGCTCGTATTTTATCGTGAGGGCCAGGAAGATGGCAAATGGAGCCTACCAAGGACCAAAGTTTGCTTGGTTTCATCTAGTGTCTAACTGGATCAAATAAATCTAGTGCTAATAAATAACAGCTACATCATTACAATGGAACAATCCTGAGACAGGCCAATGTCTTTCTCCCCATTTCTCAGATGAGGAAACTGAGGCACAGAGAAGCTATGTGACTCGCCCATGTTTACATCATTTGTAAGTGGAGCCGGGATTCAAACCTGGCCCTATAGATTCAGAGCCTGTGCCCTTAACCACATGGCTTTCCCACCTGTGGTAAACTAGAGAGTTCTGCATGCCCAGACCACTCAGAGAAAGAGGCACCTCCTCTATGTGCCATGCTATGTAGTGATCCACAGCAAAGCGTAGGGGAAAGAATTGGAGGGATAGGCAGGGAAGGTCGGGAAATGGATTCCTTCTCTGCAACCAGTCATGGAAGGAGCATTTCAGGTTGATGTCCGCGATTTTCAGGAAGAAAAGAGTACCTTCCTTCCAGGTCACTGCAGTTCCCAAAAAAATCCTCGCTCTTGCCCAGCTGCCGGGGCAAGCCCTTTTGGCGAGCTGCGGATAGGGTTGAGGCACCACCTAGTGGCTTAAACTGAAAATACTCCCAAATGAATGTCCCTGGTGAAAGGAGGCAAGAGGGGAAATCGTGATCGCCCAAGGCAGGAAAAGGGAATCGAAAGCAAAAACTACTCATGCTCAAAGCCTCCTTTCTGCATTCCCCTCTAGCCTACAGCTACGCATCATTAAAAGATGTCCTTTTTATGCCAGCCTGGTCAAGAACTATTATGTTGTTGTTCGGGTTTTTTTGTTTTTGTTTGTTTGTTTTGTTTTGAGACGGAGTTTCGCTCTTGTTGCCAAGGCTGGAGTGCAATGGCCCGATCTGGGCTCACTGCAACCTCCGCCTCCCGGGTTCAAGCGATTCTCCTGCCTCAGCTTCCCGAGTAGCTGGGACTATAGGCTCGTGCCACCACATCTGACCAATGTTTGTATTTTTAGTAGAGACGGGGTTTCGCCATGTTGGCCAGGGGTCTCGAACTCCCGACCTCAGGTGATCCGCCCACCTCAGCCTTTCAAAGTGCTGAGATTACAGGCGTCAGCCACCGCGCCCGGCCAGGGTCAAGAACTTTTATGTGAGGGAGGTTAGTAGGTCAGGTCAATGGATTTCAACACCCCCAAAAGAACTGTAGTCTAGATTAGGCATGTGAATAAGGAGAGTTAGGGAAAGGAGGGCAGATAGGAGATTCAGTCTGAGGGGAGAGGTTTAAATACAGCTTCTAGAACTCTGAGCAATGTTCATACATTGGTGTCAGGTGCAGATGAGGCTGTCAACTGGTGAAGTCAATTCAGGATGGTTGATAAGAAGGGTTTGTGCCAGGGTCCAACCTCAGGAAACTAGGCAGCTGATTGGGCTCCCTCACTCCACCTCTAGAAACCTGGGGAGATGGGGAAATTTCAAGCATTCAAAGGATCAGACAGGAGAGGTGGAAAACAGACAAAATCAGATTCAGGAAGTGGCCAAGTTTAGTGTCAATTTATGCCAGGTTGAATGATGGTCAGTCTGTACAGATTTGGTCCCAAGTCTGTTCAGGTTAGCAGCGTGCAAGGTGTGATGGAACCCTTGACCCTGCAGGCATTGATATTCTGTTATGTTTTCTAAGAATGATACTCTAGATGTTTCTCTCTGCCCCTGGGCTTTGTTACATCTGCTCTCCAGGCACCCCAGCCCCAGCAACCCCTCAGTATTCAGACCAAGGCAGAGGATGGCATTTCTTCTATTTGACCATCAAGGACTTGCCCTTCGGGCATATCAGGACTGACACTGCAACTCACTCCTTCACCTTTCCTTTAGCCTCTGTAACTCAGCTCCCTAAAGTTTCAGGCTCCCCTGCCCCGTTCTCTCTTTTCTATTTTGACTCACCTTTATTTTCACTTTTTAATGTTGACTCTATCCTTGAGTGAAGTGTGACTTCACCTTTTGTTCTAAGCTGAGCTCAGGGCTCAGTCTCACTAGCGGTCAGATGGTTTTGCTGGTCAGAGTCGTGTCAGGAGCCTCTCCACTTGATCTCAGATTCCTGCCACAGCTGCCAGACTGCTGTTTCTCCTTATTGCAAAAGCTCAGGCCATTGAAGAGCTCCCTAAACTTATGTAGGCTAAAGGGATCTCCCTTGGGTCTTTATTTATTTATCATACAGAACTGATCATCCCCAGGGATCAATGAATGAATGAGCCTTCCTATGTCTATATTAGTGATGTATTTATGTCATAACATACTTAACATAGTCGTGTTTCCAATTGTATATGCCTGAAAGGCTAAACTGCTGTAACAGGCCCTGAGTTACAGTGTCTTCAAAATAAAGTTTATTTATCTCTCATGTTACAGTTCAGAAAAATATCAAGCTATTTTTCTGGACTCAGTCATTCAGTGACTCTTCCATTTTATTTCCTCACCACCTTTCAGAGAATTTCCCTATGTTCAGTAAATATTTGAGCACTTACTATTTAAAAGGTTCTGGGTCACATTTTACAGGAGATAGGTAGTTCAGCCTTCTCAGAACTCAAGATCTAATGGGAACACAAAGCAAGTAAAGGAATAAGTACAGTTGAGAGAAGAAAAACAAATACAATAGAGAGATCTGCAGGGATCAAATGAGGAAGGAATCACCTTCAGTTCAGGGACAACAGGAAAGTCTTCACAGAGGACATGTGTATAAGATAAGATTTGAAGGATAAATAAAATTTTAGTAAACAACAGAAGAAAATGTTACCAGTGGAGAAAACAGTATGAACCAAAGTTTGAGGATTAAAATATATATAGAAATGCTCCTAAATGTCCATCAATGATAAATTGGATAAAGAAAATGTGGTACATTGGTTTCACCGTGTTGGCCAGGATGGTCTCGATCTCTTGGCCTCACGGTCCGCCCACCTTGGCCTTCCAAGGTGCTGGGATTGCAGGCATGAGCCACTGTGCCTGGCCTTCATTTTTTCTTTGAGTCAGGATCTCACTCTATCACCTAGTCTGGTGTGCAGTGGTGCAATCATGGTTCACTGCAGCAAACTCCTAGGCTCAGGGAATCCTCCTGCCTCAGCCTCCCAAGTAGCTGGGACTACAGGCACATGCCACCATATCTGGCTAATTGGTTTTTATTTTTTGTAGAAATGGGGTCTCACTATGTTGCCTAGGCTGATCTCAAACTCATGGCCTTAAACAATGCTCCTGCCTCTGCCTCTTGAGTTTCTTGGATTACAGGCGTGAGCCACTGCACACAGATATGGTTGTTATCTTTATTATACTGATGCTTTCATGGGTATATGTCAAAACTTAGCAAATTGTACACTTTAAGTGTGCAATTAATTGTATGTCAACTATACCTCAATGAAGGTATTCAAAAAACTGCACACACAAAAAAAGAAAGTGTGGTACATATACACCATGGAATACTATGCAGCCATAAAAAGGAACAAGATCATGTCCTTTGCAGGAACATGGATGGAGCTGGAAGCCATTATCTTCAACAAACTAAAGCAGGAACAGAAAACCAAACACCACATGTTCTCACTTATAAGTGGGAGCAGAATGATGAGAACGCATGGACACATGGTGGGAACAACACACACTGGGGCCTGTCGGAGGGAGTGGGAGGAGGGAGAGCATCATAAATAATAGCTAATGGATGCTGGGCTTGATACCTAGGTGATGGGATGAGCTGTGCAGCAAACCACCATGGCACACGTTTACCTGTCTAACAAACCTGCACACCCTGCATGTGTACCCCTGAATTTAAAATAAAAGTTGGAAATCTAATAAATAAATAATAATTTTACCAAAAAAATTTAGGAAGAAATGAGGATAACAGAATAAGGCATAAGGAGAATACAGTTTTGAGAGAAGTTAGAGCCTCATTGTGGAGGACTTGGATGACAGGTGAGGAACCAGTTCTTCACTGGTGGGCCAGGGGCAGTCATCTGAGATTTGTAGTTGGGGAGGAAATGATCAGAGCTCTAACATTAATTGAGATGGACTAAAATGGAGATGCTGAGCACGGGAAAACTAACAGAAAACTACCGTAAGTCAAGGAGGACACAGCACAGACTGGATTCAGGTCGTAGGTTCAGAGAAGGGGCCTGAAGAGAAACCCACGATGAAGGCAAGACCGACAGCTGTGGAATGCTGGAAATGAAAGGGGGAAATAAAGCATAACTCAGAGTTTTCAAGGTTTATACACTCAAAAAATGGTGATGCTACTAACTGAGATATGGAAGTCAGAGCATGATCTGAGGTTGGGTGAGGGTAGGAGGGTGAAGAGTTCAGTTCCAAACATTAAGTTTAAATTCCTAGCAGACTCAGACACAGCTTTCTAGAAGCAGCTCAAAATGTATATCTGAAGCTGAGAAGGTAAAGTTGTTTCTTGTATAAGATATGGATTTAAAAGTAGTCTGTAGGGAAAGAGACATGAAGAGGAAAGAGGTCGCCAAGAAAGAGAACATAGAGCAAGGGGCTGGCGGAACATTAGAAAACTCACACGCCTTAATTGTAGGGGAAGAAGCTTCAGGGAAAGAAGAAGGAAGAAGACATATCTGAAAAGCTAAAAAACCAGGAGTGTGCAGTGTCCTGGGAGATAAAAAGAATTCTCAACAAGGTCCAACTATATCAGAAACAAAGAGAACTGATGAGGCAGATGGAGGAAAAAATATTGAATTTGATAAGTAGTTTGTAAGTTACAACTTTTAGGATGGTAGTTTGGTACGCTGAGAGGGATAAAAACGAACAAATTAAACAGTGGTTTAGGGAAGTTAGGAAACAAATATGGAAATTTAGGAAAGGAGCAACAAAATAAAACAAAAGGAAGTAGAAGTGAAGGATTAATAAAGCACAGATTAATGAATTAGAAAATAACACTAATAAATACAAAAGCTGTATTTAAAAAAATGAACTATTAGCTAACCTAGTTTTAAAAAGAAAGCACAACATACATAAGAAGAAATAAGTGGCCAGGCACAGTGGCTCATGCCTATAATCCCAGCACTTTGGGAGGCCAAGGCAAGTGGATCACCTGAGGTCAGGAGTTTGAGACCAGCCTGGCCAACTTGGTGAAACCCCATCTCTACTAAAAATACAAAATTAGCCAGGTGTGGTGGCGTACACCTGTAATCCCAGCTACTCAGGAGGCTGAGATAGGAGAATTGCTTGAACCCAGGAGGCAGAGGGTGCAGTGAGCAGAGATCACACCACTGCACTCCAGCCTGAGAGAGACAGAGTGAGACTCCATCCAAAAAAAAAAAGGAAGGAAGGAAGGAGAAATAAGTGAGACACCCCAACACATAAATAAGAAACTAAAGGAATCATAATAGGCTACTTTGTTCAACTCTACACAAATGAATCTGAAAATCCAGATTAAAAGCATAATTTTCTATGGCTATATAATCACCAATAATATCCTCAGATGGTATAATGTATATTTTGAAAACACAATATAAATTACTGTAAAACTACTAGAAACAATAAGATATTCCATACCATAAAGGAATGACAAACTAATATACAGAAATCAACCACTTTCATATACATAAACAATGAGCGAGAGTATAATAGAAGAAAAGACTCAATTTTTAATATAAACAAATAGACAAAATCACTATAATTGATAAGATGTGTAAAACATACAAATAAAATTTAAGAACTATGAAAAGATACAAAATAATATTATTGGAACATATTAAAAATCACTAATTTGCAAATATAACATGTACCCAATTAATAAATATACCAGAAGAGTTGTTTTCTCCTTATTTCTCTTCTCTATCCTTCTTTTTCCTTTTTTTTTTTGGACTAAACAGTTTAATTCTAAAGTTCATATGAATAATTAAATAAATTATGGGAATAGCTAGGAAAACTCGGGGAAAGAATAATGAAGAGGAGTGACTAGCCCTACCAAATATTAAAATATTAAATCTCAGGGGTTCAGTGATGTCATTTGGGTCCATAAATAGACTAAGGGAACAGAAGACAAAGTCAAGATATACACGGAAATATATGTGTGAATTGGGATTATGATATAAGCGACATCTCAATCAGGGTGAGAAACATAAAGTATTCAAAAAATAGTTTTGTTGTCTGGGTTCCAGTGGGATGTAAGAGTTAAATATTTTTTAGAATAATAATAAAAATACTAAAGGAAAACAAAGGAGAATTCCTTTATAAACCTGGCATGAAAAAGACTTTACTTATTTCGACCCCATAAATAGAAGCCCTGGAGAAAAGACTGATATATTCAGCTAAGTAAAAATAAAAACTTCTGTACAAAATAAAAAACTATGAATATTAGACATAAGCAACATCAAAAGATAAATGGCAAACTAGGGGGAGTTATTTGCAACTCCTATTACAGAGCCTTAATTTATAACATCCTCCTAGAATTTGATAAGACAAAAACCAGTCAACCCAATATAAAAGTAAACAGATCACAGGAGAGGATATAAATGTATGAAAAGATGTTTGAACTCACTCCTAATAGGAGAAATGCAAAGTGAAACTACACTGAGAGCGTTTATTACTTTTAGATTGGCAAAGGTCCTTAAATTTGATAACATGATGTAGAGTTTTCAATTGCTGCCGCAAAGAATTACCACAGACTTAAAGGCTTTCACATTTACAACACAAATGTGTATCTTACAGTTTTGTAGGTTAGAGCCCAGCTTGGGTCTCACTGGGCTAAAATCAAGGTGTCAGCTGGGCTGTGTTCCCTCTGGAGGCTCCAGGAGAGACTGTGTCCTTGCTCTTTCCAGCCTCTACGAGCAGCCCGTGTTCCTTTGCTCATGGCCCCTTCTTCAATCTTCAAAGGCAGCAGCATTTCTCCTCTCTCTGTCTTTCTTCTATTATCACATCTTCCTGTGATTGACTCCTCTGCTGCCTCCCTCTTCCACATTGAAGGACGCTTGTGATTACACTGGGCCCATCTGGATAACGCAGAAAAAAGTCCTATCTTAAAGTCAGCTGATGATCAAACTTAATTCCTCTTTGCTGTGTTACCTAACATATTTACAGGTTCCAGGTGTTAGGATTTGGACATCTTTGGGGGCCACTTTTCTCCCTATCATGCATACTGTCAGTGAGGCTGTGGGAAACAGACACTCTCATCATTCCTAGCGGGAGGGAAAAACTCCTACAAGGACTATGTAGGGTAATTTGGCAATATCTATCAAGATTTAAAATCCACATAACCTTTGATTCAACATTCCATCCTGAGAATCTAGTCTACAGATACACTTACTTGCACTAGATGAAATGATGAATGTCCAAGATTATTTACTATAGCAATGTTTGCAATAGCAGAATAGTGTAGTAATGTTTGTAATAGCAATTTGAGTTGCAATAAACAACTCAAATGTTTATAAATAGGAAACCAATAAGATTAATGATCGTGCATCCATACAAAAGAATGCTATGCAGAAATTTAGAAGAATATTCTCCAAGGTAATTAAGTTAGGAAGAATAAAGGAAGGGGGAATAGAATAGTGTATAGTGTGCTAACTTGTTTGTAGAAGCTGGGAACCAGATAAGAATTTATATTTGTATTTACTAGTAAGTACGTAAAGAAACCCTTGAAAAAATACACAAGAAACTAATAATAATGACCATCTATGGCAGAAAGAATGAGTACGTAGACTTTTAATTATATCTCAAAACACGGGTGCACACATGTATGCACACATATACACGCATCTTGCAAGACTCAGCTGAAATGCCAACTCCTCTAAAAGACCTTCCTCCTTTCTGAACCCCTTTTCTAGGCCATTTATAACTCCCTGGACATTTGTGCCATATTAGGGCTCCTGCACTCTTTGTATTGCCTTAATTTGTGCAGAACTAGAACAGTGATTTGAAGAAGGACAAATAGAAGGAGGACAAGAAAACATGAAGAGCAAGAAGCCACTTTCTGAATCTTTAGGAGGAGGAGATTTTAATGTTTATCAAAAAGAAACATGAATTTTTAAATGATTGAGAAATACTACACTGATATAAACACTTAGGGGGCTGGGATAACAGTCTCCAAATGGCACTTCTCACACTGCATTCTAATCATTCATTTATGCCTGTCTTCCCCACTAAATCATCCGCCCCTTAAGAGAATGGATTTTGCAATTTCCTCACACACTGTAGGTGATCCATTTGAAAGACTGAATGAGAATTAACTTCTATTCCTTACTAGAGGAAAGGGATGGCAGCTTGAGAAAAATGAACACTCAGGCACATCAATTTTGGAAAAGTTCTTCCTTATCCTATGGACAGGAATATACCTATGTTTTTACATAGGTATCTTTTACTACATTCAGTGTCTCTGAAATGGAGTTGTACCCATAGTCGCTGTTGTTCAAGCAATGGTTGTGGTGTAGTTGTGACCGCCCACATCATGACAACTTAGACATAGCTGTTTATGCTGTCACCTCCATTGAGGTATGTGCAAGACGACCACATAATTTTATCCTCCAAAGCCACACTCTTTTGAGAATGAAAAGGGACACTAACCAGATGGGACGCCATGACAAGAGCAAACCTAGACTGTCGCAGGCAAATGTGGACAGATGAGGTGCCTTGTTAGTACTGCCTACGATGGATTTAAATGTCATTCCAAATGTCTTCAAAAAGAGTGCACTATGATAAGCATTTAAATGAGAAATGACCACATCCACAAAAAGCACAGAAACAGCTGTGAACATAAATTTGGGAATGGTAAAACAAATATTCATTTTTGGAGGAATGGTCACAATTCTGTGTTTCCTTACAAAGCAAACACCTAGTATTCATGGAACCTTAAGTAAATACTTACAGGTATACAAAGGTGTTTTACATCATTTTGATAGGAAATATGCAAAAGGGTTGCCTTTTAAATGCCAGACAAGGCAACTGAAAGCAGGAGAAATTGCCAAGTCCCTCAAAATTGATTTACAAAAAAAAAAAAAAAAAAACTCCAAAGTAAGGAGAGGCGCTGTGACTAATCTATGTTTCAGGGGTATTGCTAGGCATTATGGTATAGTCTAAAGCAGCTTTTTCCTTCATTCTCAGTGATACATAAAGTCACGGTGTGTCTAACAATCAGTGGCACCTTACCTTCAATGAGATACCATATTTTGTCTAGATCAATGAGAAAGAACCCTTCTCATCAATGCATACCCGGCTGTATCTGGATAAAGACTATTTCTGAAGGTGGTTTTATCACATCCCCTCGGTTCTTCCTGGAGATGTGCTCAAGCCAGGCTTCAAGCCAAGCCTCCAGCCAGAAAGCAAGAATCCCTGAATGGACTTGGCTAGCTCTTTTACCCAGATATGTTTGCTAAAACTCTAGCAGAATTAAAAGATTGTAAAAGCTGTCTTTAGCAAGTCATAACATCTGAATCTAACATCTGGACCTGGGTACTATTTCATGTTACACCACCAGTACCATTGCCCATAGGTTACATAATAATGACACCAACAAACACAGCCACTCTGCAATTATGGAGTTATGAGAAGTCTGTGGACACAAGGGGTCAGCTATTTACAATGTCACAATGTTGCAGAGTGGGTGAGCACAACACATCTAGCCAGGGCCTCCTACCCTTTGGCCAGCTGGCTGCCTTGCCCCTCATAAATGTGAAAGAAAATCCCTACTTTGTTTTGTTGTTGTCGTTGTTATTGTTTTGTTGTTGTTGTTGTTTTTGCGACACACTCTTGCTCTGTCACCCAGGCTGGAGTGCAGTGGTGTGATCTTGGCTCACTGCAACCTCCACCCCCTGGGTTCAAGCTATTCTCCTGCCGCAGCCTCCCAAGCAGCTGGGACTACAGGTGTGCGCCACCACGCCCAGCTAGTTTTTGTATTTTTAGTAGAGACAGGGTTTCACCATGTTGGTCAGGCTGGTCTCAACTCCTGGCTCAAGTGATCCACCCGTCTCGGCCTCTCAAAGTGCTGGGATTACAGGCATGAACTACCATGCCCAGCCCAAAATCTCTATTTCAATAAAATTACTTAAATCTGTTTCTTGACTTACATAGTCAAAATCTTCAACTGTCATATTAAGTTATACACACATACACATATACATACATATACATATGTGTATGTATGTATTATACATACACATATACATACATATACACATATATGTATGTGTATGTATGTATAATATACATATTATACATAGTTATACATATATACACATACACATATATACACATGTTATATACACATATATACATATGTTATACATATATACACATGTTATACATACATATATACCCATACACATATGTATATACACATTCCTGAATATATATATAGGAAACTTATTATTCTAAAATCCTGGCATTTTTGATAATCCAGGACTAACTCATAGTGGGGAAGAGGGTTTCTTTATGTCCCTAGCATCTCTGCTTCTTTCCCTCATGACACCATAGTTAAAGGGTCCAGAGGCAGACTCTTTACCAAAGGAAGAAGTATTAGAGTCGAGATAGAAATGAGCAGGCAGGCATTCACCTTCAAGACCACCAGCCCAGCTCACTCAGCTTTTTTACCAATCTCTAAAACTCCTTCTCTCCTGAATTCTGGGAATGGGCTTGGGAAACTGACTGATTTCTCTAAGTGTGAGGCTGATGGACCAAGGCCCTACACACTGCTTAGAAATAAATCCAGCCATCTTCCCTGCCCCAAAGAAATACTTTCAGCACTCTCATTGCTTTCTGGAGGGCACATTGGGTGTCACAAAATGGTGTACCCTAAGAAGTAAAATAACTGCATCCCAAAGGCTTCCCCAGCCCATTTCATCCATCCTCTCCCGTGGTTACGGGCCAGCCACTCCCTGGAGCATGTCTTACCACCAAAGCCATACCCCTCAGGTGGGGACTCTAGACCCCCAAATGTCTGTAGCTCCAATGTAACCAAACAAAATGCCAGGGTCAATTTAACCATTTCCCCAGTGCTGGTGATTTACTCTGATCCAGCAGACCTAGGACTGGGTTTTCTCCCATGTAAACCAGGGAATGTAAGCTGTCAGATCTCAAGTGCCCCTCCCGGTGGAAACAGTCTCTCATCCACATTTTATTCTCCAACTGAACTTCCATATGCCCAGATGCCATGGTATTGGCAAGACAGCTGTTTTCAGATTCAAGGGAAAGCTGGTGGCCACAAAACTGACCACACGTAGAAAGATCCAGACAGTAAGTGCCCAGCTCATCCCATTCCAAATCCCAGGGCAGGTCTCTTTAAGTAACAGTTTAGTTGGCCTGGAGTAGCCTCTCTGGTACCTTTCCTGCCCTTTGCTGTACCCCGGGTCAGCCACTGGCTCTGTCCTCAAGCCATCTTCACTTCTGCATGCAAACTGTGGTGGACAAGCCTCTTCCTTCTGCTCATCCTTCACCAGAGGTCACTGTGCACCCCTCAAAGAAGCATGCGGTCAACGGAGCAGACCCAGAAACTTGAGTTTGTGTCACTGGAGCAGACACAGCAACCTTTTTGGGGGTTCCTGAATCAAACAGCTCTTCACATCTCTCCGGTGTAGGGAGGAGAGAAACTTGCATCTGCATGTGAGGATATACCATAGGCATATATGTATAAGAAAAAACATGGTGCATATGGGGTTTGGTACCATCTATGGTTTCAGGAATCCACTGGGGGTCTTGGAACATATCCCCTGTGGATAAAGTGGGACTACTGTACTCATGGTCATGTTTCTTTACCATGAAAAATAATGGACTCCCCCTTGATATACTTTATCATTTGTATATTGCTGCTTGTTCATGCCCATTCTGTTCTCCATTTGAGGGCATCTCTTGTGTCACCAGCACATTTCTCCTCTGCCTCCTCATGGATCCTGTCTCACCTGCTCCTAGGCCCCCCATGTACTGTGCCAATGGAGCATAGCGTCAGCCCACACCACTGAGCAGCCCTACCTGCTCCTTCCACTGCCCATATAGACAGGCCTGGGAAATAGCGAAGCCTTAGAACAAAGGCAGGATAAGGGAAACAGAAGGTGCCTTAGTTCCCACCCTAGTGTGCCTGCTTCAGGGTCCCTCACACCTGCCCTCCACACCTTTACCTTCATTGTATCTACCTTTTAGCAAACTTGTCGGCAAAACCCCTGCCAAGTCATCAGGAGCTACACAACCCGAAGAGCAGGTGCCCAGTCCTGGAATGAATAAGGAGGCTGATATAAAAACGTTGTGGTTTGGAGTATCTGAGGGGTGTTCCCAATACCAGATAAAGGAAAAACTACCAATCATTTCTCTGCTCTATAGATGTGTGTTTATTCTACCCAAACTTACCCTTGTTTTCCCTCCTTGTTAACAGGGTGCCCCAGACCATCATCAGACCTTGCTATGACCCAGCAACCTGCCTGATAACACAGGTACCAGGTTTTTGAATCCCTCAGCAACTGAAGCAAACAGCCAAAGCCACATGCATCCAGCAGAAACCATCCCCCCAGTTCTATGGAAGACTTGCGTCCTTGGTATAAGAAAACAATCTTTTCTGAGATTTTAAGAAATATATTTAATCATGTGTAATCAATTTGGAGTGAGTAATTGCATCTGAGCAAATGCAGCACGTGTACTAGAGGGTATTTTGAAGAACAGGCAAGTGTTTATTGCAAATCAGTTTCTCAGTTTCAAAGCACTTCAGCTCTTCCAATGACGTCTCATATCTCAAATGCTTCTACAGGGCACTAAATATTTCTACATCAAACTTCATTACATCTTTGAATTTCAGACATAGTCCAGCCCACAGGGAGATGGGTAGAAACTCTTCGGTGCTCTGTTTGGTTTGTGGAAAGACAAATATTATGCAGTAATTCCCCCTTATCCACAGTTTGGCTTTCCAAGATTTCAGTTACCCATAGTCAACTTCGATCCAAAAATGTTATATTTTGAAAGAGAGATGGAGACCACATTCACATAACTTTTATTACAGTACATTGCTATAATGAGTTATTATTGTTAATCTCTTACTGTGCCTAATTTGTCAATTCAACTTCACTATAGGCATATATGTATAAGAAAAAGCATAGTGTATATGGGGTTTGGTACCATCTATGGTTTCAGGAATCCACTGGGGGTCTTGGAACATATCCCCTGTGGATAAGCTGGGACTACAGTACTCACGGTCATGTTTCTTTACCATGAAAAATAATGGACTCCTCCTTGATATACCTTATCATTTATATATTGCTACTTACCCAGAAGCCATCATCTCTGATGCATTCTGCGGAGGGTTCAGCATGGCTGGCCCTCACTGGGGCCCTACTGTGTGCACAGCACCATAAACACAGTGCAGTGCTGTGGGACTATAGAGAAGAAAAGAGAGAAAGAGACAATACAGTTGGAGCTGGGGGATGGATATGCAAACCACTGACAAGAATGGAAAGCAGCATGAAATCAGTTCTATTACAGATTCATGCAAGGAGCACCACGAAATGGGCTATTAACTCAATCTTGGTGAATATACAAGCAAATTACAATCTACGTGAAGAAGGTAGCATTTGTGCTGAATCTTGAAAGATTTGTAGTACTTTACTCTTGCCACTAATCTGGCTTGCTTCAAACACAGGTTATCTGGCATGATAACCAGATATTCTGATTCAGTCAGTCTGGGGTAGACTGAATTTTATAAGCATTGCAGGTGATTCTGAGGCAGGTGGCCCAAGACCACACTATGAAAAACCTACACCAGGGCACAGGCTGCCTGGAAGGAAGCAAGCACAGATGAGGTAGAAAGGTAGGATGGGACCAGGTCACGGGGAGCCTTAGGTGCCATGCTGTGAGGGTTCGTCTTTATTCTATCAGCAATGGGGAGTCACGTCTGTTTTTAAATGGTTCCCTTTTCTGCTTGAAAGGTTTAAAAAGTTCTAGCCTCTTTTAAAAGCACAGTATTTAGAAGAATCCACATGCTTCTCAGGTATCTACAAAGAAATTGTGACTAGTTCACTTAATAATGTTATGTTTCATTTGAATATAGAGCTTTTGGTATGAAGAGTTAGCAAGAACAGATTGGGATGACTCCTAGGGCTCCCCTGCTTGGAAAAAAAAATACAAGTCTTGGTGGCTGCCGGGTCAGCGTGACTACGCTTTCCTTGTCTTCTCATTTGCCTAAAAGGAGTGAAGGAAATGGTACAGGAAGCTGGGAAATTGAGTCAAATGTATTTTGGTATTCTTGTATAAATGTGGAAAGCACAAGTGCAGACACCTTCAGATTTGTGCATTAGAATGCCCTAGAACCTCATTTAAACTACGGATGTCCCTCTTGAGAAGCAGTTCCCAAACATTCCTGTTTCAGGACTCCTTTATTCTCCTATAACTTATTGAGGACCCCCAAGAGCTTTTTTACTTAATATGAGTTATAGCCATATTATGTTAAAAATCAAAACTAAGAATTTTAAAACGATTCATTTAAAAACAATAATAAATCATTATGTTAACATTAATAAACTTTTATTTAAAAAATATATTTCCCAAACCAAAACAAAAATTGAATGAGAAGAGTGGAACAGCTTTGCATTTTTGTAAACTTTCTTAATGACTAACTACGTAGAAAACAGCTGGATTTTCATATCTGTTTCTCCAATATCAGATATCACAATCTGTTGTGATATCGCTGTTTTCTCTAGAAAACTCTCCTGTACCTTCATGAGAGAATGGGAGAGTAGAAGGCAAATGACTGACTAGTTTTATTGTGAAAATAGTTTGGACTTTTGCAAAACCCCTCAACCAGTCTCCAGGACTCCAGAGTCTCTAGAACATATTTTGATTCTAGATTCCATTGGTCTGACATCGGGCAAGAGTACCAGAGGCACAGCTAAGCTTGAGAACCACTAGATGATACCCACTGGAAGTCCTGAAATGCCACGTGTTGTACAAATCTAGAATGCCTAGGAAGATGTCCATGAACTCTAACTCTGTTTAGAACTGGGAGGTAGAACCAAAATTAGGTTAAGCAGCAATCGTGAGTAGTTGAAGATGAATGAGAGGAATGTCAGAAAGTACCTAAAAATTGGTTTTTAAAAATTTTTTGCTCTAGAAGAGTTGACAACACTATGTATCAAAAAGACTCTTTTTTAAAAAAATGAGAAAGCTTGTTTTAAAACATAACTATTCAGGCCCTACTTCAAAAGATTCTGAATTCCACAGCAGTGGGAGCTGGACAAAGATATTTTTAACCAGCTTCACAATTGATTCTGATGTACTAATAGGATTAGGGACCTCAGCTATACATCATATATTTATGTTTTAGACATAATAAAATGGCAAACCAATTGTATTAAAGTGACATTAATTGTGATTCCTATTCCTAATTGAAAACATTTTCTTAGAATTTTCATCTCCACCTGCAAGATGCCCATCTCTTAAAAATCATGTACCCATAACCTAAGTACTATAGGCATAGTACCTACTGGCAAATATGGGCTTTTGCATGCATACATATATACATACATTTTTTTTAAATATAACTCTAAATTAAAGAGGGTGGAAAATTCCACTGTTATTCATAAAAGAAATAAGAGATTCCTTTTTTTCATAATAAACTTTTAAGAGAGTTTGTTCCTAATGGAAATTCATTCATGGGGAATAAAAATCTTCATGGGGAGGGAAAAAGTACCTTCATATATCATCTACATTGAGGATGCAAATTGTAGAGAAACACACACCAAAGGATTTGCATTTAATCAAATCTAGAGCAAGTCATTTCAGAAGCATCACTACCGTGTGCAGAAGGCTTTCCCACCAGGGTCAGGCTGAGCTTTCTAGCAGACCAGGACCCCTTACCAAGGAGTGAACACCATTCACAAGAAATTCTGCACTGCTGTTAAGAAGGAAATCCACCAGAAACATCCAGAATGGAAAGTGGTAAGTCAACATCAATTATTATAATTTAAAAAAACTTTAATCCTAATTTTTATTTTTGATAACACAAAGTCATAACATAAAACAAAGGTTAAGGAGAAATCTCCTAACTCTGGCATAGAACATATAAAAATATAAAACACAGATCAAGGACTACCTATTTAGAACTCTTGGTAACATTTTCCTAATTCTAGTTACATTTAATTACTAATTGTTTGATTTTGTTTTGCTTTATAGAGTTTACAGAGATATTCTGAAAGATCAACTCAGTTGAACATTATTTTCATAAAATAAGTACTTGAATATCAAAGCCTTCTTTTCCAATATATAGTGAAATTTTATTTTAGCAAATTTCAGTAAGCTCTCAACTATAGAGAAAGTGCAGAAGAAGAATTCACATTCATATAGAACCTGAAACATCTTTTATTCATGCATCTTGTTTTAGGCTTTTAAGGCTAAGAAGTAAGGTCATTCTATTTACATATGATAAGGAAGAGTCTGGGCTGTTATTTCATGAATCTAACTAAATATAGATCTTTCCCCGGATGTTCATCCTGAGATACAAATGTGAATAGTCAACAGAGAGCAAAGCCCACCTGTTCGCGAACAAATTTAAGATTGAAAAAGTCAGCACTTTAAATGTTAACAAATGATGACAGAGGGAGCATTTCAAAAATGCCTTGTAAAGTACCTTAAAAGAAAAATTAATATTTTTTAAATGCTGCAATTCTTCAAAGTCTGATCTCAAAAGGTAAGAAGATAGAAAGAGCTCTAAGAGCATCTATCTTCTGCAGCATAAAATTGGTTATTAGCTGTGACAATTTTTAAAAAATAATAAATTGTATTGTGTATACTTGAGATTCACAGCATGTTATTATATAGATACAGATAGTAAAGATGGTTACTATAGTGAAACAGATTAATATATCTATCATGTCACTTAGTTACTTTTTTGTGACAAGAGCAGCTAAAATCTACTTATTTAACAAAAATCCCTAAAGCACTGCAATGTTATTAACTGTAGTCCTTATGTTGTACATTATATCTCTAGAGTTTCATCCTACACACTGGCTACTTTGTATTTTCTGATCTACATCTCATTTCCTCCCCCACCTCAATCCTACCTATGGTGACCAGTTTTATTCTTTATATACTTGACCTTTTTTTTCCCTAGATTCCACATTCAAGTGAGATCATGCAATATTTTTCTTCCCTGTCTGGCTTGTTTCACTTAGCATAATGTCCTCCACTTCCAGCCAAGTTGTGGCACATGGCAGGATCTCCTTCTTTTTAAGTCTGAATTTTATATATTCATACACATACACACACACAGAGAGAGAGAGAGAGAGAGAGAGAGAGACCGTATTTCTTTATTCATCCATCAACAGATGGCTGTTTAGGTTGTCTCTGTATCTTGGCTATTGTGAACAATGCTGCAATGAACATGGGAGTGCAGCTATTTTTACAAGGTGTTAATTACAGCTTCTTTGGGTATTGGATTCAGCTATGAAGGTACATTGGGAGGAGTTTGTGGATACCTACAGTGTGGGCAAATCAAACTTCAACAAAATCCTAATATGTTAACTGATTTGACCTAGCATCTTTAAAAGTTAGTCTTTATTTCAAGTTTAAGATTTCATAAATAGGCCGAGCGTGGTGGTTCATGCCTGTAATCCCAGCACTTTCGGAGGCTGAGGTGGGTGGATCATGAGGTCAAGAGATCGAAACCATCCTGGCCAACATGGTGAAACCCCCATCTCTACTAAAAATACAAAAATTAGCTTGGCGTGGTGGCGGGCGCCTATAGTACCAGCTACTCGGGAGGCTGAGGCAGGAGAATCACTTGAACCCAGGAGGTGGAGGTTGCAGTGAGCTGAGATCGTGCCACTGCACTCCAGCCTGGTGACAGAGCAAGACTCCATCTTAAAAAAAAGATTTCATCGTGTGTAGTATTTTCTGCTTAATAATATTTTGAATATTTCAAGATTAGTTTATGAGCTTGGAGACTATAAGTGGCCTTTTTTTTTTTTTTTTTTTAGACGGAGTCTCGCTTTGTCGCTCAGGCTGGAGTGCAGTGGTGTGGCGCGATCTCCGCTCACTGCAAGCTCCGCCTCCCGAATTCACGCCATTCTCCTGCCTCAGCCTCCCGAGTAGTTGGGTCTACAGGCGCCCGCCACCACGCCCAACTGATTTTTTTGTATTTTTTTAGTGGAGACAGGGTTTCACCGTGTTAGCCAGGATGGTCTCGATCTCCTGACCTTGTGATCCGTGTGGCCTTTTCTTGTATTCTCCTGGAGGTTTTCCACAATATAACTAACATATCATCTCCCCAGATTAGAAGTGAAACCACTAACCCTGAGTTCCTAGTGGGCGTAAGGCTTACTATTCATTCCTAATGGGTATCTGCCTTCCCTTCTGTGACAGGAGTCTGATTCTCAGTAATGTGGACTGAGCTGGGATAGTGGGGTGAGGGGAGGGATGCCCACAGCACCAGAGCTGGTACCTGAGCCAGACGCTGACCCAACACACTATATTGCCATTGCACTGTCCAGGACCTGATTCTTGGCATCTCCCTGACAGGCAGAGAATGGACCAAATATAGATCCATCCACCAATGACCCGTTCTGGATTTTAATTCTACTCTGTCTTGAGTGACAGTGTGGCTACATTCTAGTGTCAAGAGGGAGTGTAATTCGGAGAGACATTCTCTACCATCTTAATTGTGTCATTGTCTATCACATAACTCAGAATATAAATTCTTTATTTCTAAAGTTATGGGATGATTTTGCTTTTTCTTTCTTTTTCTTTGTTTGAACTATCTCTTTATTCCCTTACGTAAAGTCACAAAAACCTGCTTAAAAACATTAAATAATTTAAAAGCAGTAACAGGTACCTCAGAGAATGTCATCAAAAATAGTAAAAATAAGAAGGTGCTTTAAGTGCCATAAGTGTATTTGATATTTAATAACTAAAACAGTTTAAAAATCACCTGTATTTTAAATGACAAATTGATTTCAGAATACGTGTTTGATTTGATAGAGAAAACGTTTAATTTTGAAAAACAATCTTAAGGTAACATCACCATTAAGTCTACTATAGACTAAATTCTTCGTCATTAAAGTAAATGAGAAGGAGATGACATGACTGAGACAATTTGTTGCATGGACACAAACACAGTCCTACAGTGCAAAAAAACATCTTTTTCCAAATTCTACAGGATGAGTCGATTCCTATTAAATTTGCTTGTGCTTTCTTTCCGGAAGCACACGTCTTTGTTTTCTCAACAACTGATCTGAATGCAAGTTTGTATCTAGAGTATTTGAATAAAAACTCTTAAGCTCTCCTGGTGTATGCAGGTGTGGATTCTTTAAATAGACACAATGCACAGGGGAAAAAAATGTTTTGGAGTAGGAATCCTGGTAAAATTTTTAAACTCTAAATATCATTCCTCTCCAAAAAAAAGAAGGTGGGAGGTAGGATAAGTTATGAAACTTTCAGAATTCTCAAAAACATGAGGAATACTCAGCATATTTTAAAGAATTTGTACCAGTTTCCATTGCTTTGTTCAAATTTACTTTAATTCACCTTTTGTGCTGTTGCAAAATGTAAGCATTCACTTACCTGTACCCCTGCTTCAGAGCTTGGTTATCCCATTAGTCCTGGTTTGTCACCACCCAAACTCCCATGAAACCCCAGAGAAAGATTTCACCCTCACATCTTAGGAAACTGCTCTTTCCCATTTTCTAAAGACCTCCACCTTCCCAAACTCGACTGTCTTTCTTACCTTCGTTTTCCTCAACTTCTCTAAGGCGTTTCATTTATTTCATAAGCATTTATTGAGCAACTACTAAATACCAGATACTTGACAACACTGATTGTTCCTTTTTCTCTCTAACCCTCTTTCTTTCATTTTCCTGATGCTACTACTCTGGTATATTCCTACATTTCTGGCCTCTCCTCCGTGCACCCCTACCGCTTGAAGTCCTTCTCCAGCCCCTCTCTTCCCCTGCGCATCAGAATGGTAGCATTTCCCAAGACTTCAGGCTTGAATTTCTACTCTTCTCTTGCTACAAAGTCTTCCTTGGAGAACTTTACTTTCTTAGCTTCAATTACCATAATTCTAAAGATGCTTCTTAGATGTACAGTTTTTACCAGGTCCAGGTTCTCATATCTCCAGAATATTTTTATTTTTTATTTTATCATGTCACCACAACCTCAAAGCCAACATATTAAAAACTGCATTCTTCTTCCCCATCAAAACCGACTCTTTCCCCGACCTTCTTGACTTCTCTTATTAATCATAGTGCTGTTTTGGGGGGGTTGGGGGGTGTGTGTGTCTTTTCCCTTGAAAGGTCTCTTAAATATGTCCTTTCCTTGTCATTTCCAGTATTTCTGGCTAGCCTCTGTTTTACCATTTCCCATCCTCTCAGTTTCCTCATCCCCAGCCCATTCTAGAATCTATCCTCAGACTGAACTTCCAAAAAATATAAGAGTCATAGTACTCTTCTGTCCAAAAAATTTAGTGGTTTCCATACGTTACAACATAAACTGTAAATTTTTGCAGCCAAGTTTTTAAGACCTTTAACATGTCCATTATTTTCAACCAAAAACAAATTGTTTTCAACAAATATTTACTGAAAGCTTCCTGTGTTCCAGGCACTAGCACTTGGGATGCATGCATGAGTAAAAACAAGCAAAGCCCCCACTTCGTGGAGCTTACATTCTAGCAAGAAGCAGACAGACAATAAACAATAGATGTACTCCATAAGGAAATGATATAGGACATAATAGAATGGCAAGTGCTACACAGACAGAAAAACTAGAATAGAGTAAGGGGATCAGGAGTATTTTCTGGGGAGGATGCAACTTGAAATATGTTCTCCTTGAGAAGATGACATTTGAGCCAAGACTTGAAGTAGACAAAATCATTTAGCCATGTGGATAATGGGGAAAAGAGTACTCCAGACAGCAGAGACAGCCAGCGCAAAAGTCTTAAGGCAGAAGTATTCTTGGGGCACTTCAGAAACGCTGGGGTACAGTAAGCAAGGAGATGAGTCTTAGGAGATGAAACCCTGTTTCAGGGAACAGGGTCATGTAAAGCCATTATGAGGACTTTGGTTCTTCCTGTGAGCGTCATGGTGGACCATTGTAGGGTTTAGAGCAGATCAGGGACACAATTGAACTTGCGTTTTCAAAGGATCATCCTGTCTACTGTGTTGAAACTAGACTAGGGCAGGGTGGATGTGGAAGCAGGAAAAACAGTTGGAAGGCTGCCACAGTAATCTACATTACTGTAGAAATTGCCCTGGATGGAGCCTGGATATTATCAGAAGAGTAAAGAAAAGTCAGCAGACTCTGGATGTATTTTGTAGGTAGCACCATCAGGAATTGCTAAAGAATAGGCTGTGAAAGATGAGACAGAGGAGCCTAGAATGACTCTACAGCTTCAGGACTCAGTCACCACAAAGACAGGCTGCCATCAACTGAGATAGGAAAAGTTTCAGATAAAACAAATGTGGAAAGGAAGAATGGAGTTCATATTTGGATGTGTGGAGTTTGAGATGTCTACTAGACATCCAATCATAAATGGATATCCAAGACTGAAGTCCACGTCTGGGCTGGAGATACCCATTTGAAACTCGATTACATCTATATGGCATTTAAATCTAGTATCTCCAATTGTACTCATTCCTTACCACTGCACACATCTTTTCTGCTTCCTGTCTCTTTGTTCTTGCTCACAGATGCCTGCTGTCTACAAGGTCATTCTCCTTCCTCCTAACCTGTCCACATGCTTCTCATTCCAGCTTAAGTCCCATCCCTTCCCACAAAACTTTCATCAACAATCCAAAGTGTACTCTTCCCCCTCCCCTGCTCTTTCACATGTGA
The DNA here is from genome assembly GCF_000001405.40 of Homo sapiens. NCBI lineage: Eukaryota > Metazoa > Chordata > Mammalia > Primates > Hominidae > Homo > Homo sapiens. The sequence goes on from NC_000011.10 coordinate 111,251,750, forward strand.
ATGTCTGATTTCTCTCACTAAAATAAGATCTCTTTGAGGACATCTGCTATATGTTCTAAAGTTATTTTGCATCCCCTGTGGCATATAGCCCCGTGCTTTGCACTAAGTCAGTGCCAACTGGTACATAAGACTGATTGTTTTATGACAAAACTTCAGAAGTTTTGATCTGGATATTTGCCATCTCATGAACTTTATTCCTCTATTAATCACCATGTGGTTATTTGTTAAACTTATTTAGAATAGGTGTATTTCCCCTAGGCTTTTTGGCATACACATAAAGTATAGATTGCTAATTCAGATAAAAATCATCAATTAAAAAGCACTTTAAAAAGCAAAGTAGAGACAGTCTGCAAATATACAAAGGATCCAGCCTGGACCTCCTCAATTCCCAGGCCCTCCTCCTTCCCAGAGTTGTCTAAGTCCACATCGACCTCAGTCAGTCAGATACTCCCCCTCTTGCTCAGCCAGGACTGCGTAGATTAGAGTTGACCACCCCACCTCCACAGGAACCTTCTAAAGGCCTTACTCATATGTATATCTGTGGTTCTCCAACGTCAGAGAGCATCAGAATCACCTGGAAGGCTAGGCCCCACCCTAGGGTTTCTGATTCGGTACATTTGGAGTAGGGTCGGCGAATTTGCATTTCTAGCAAGTTCCTAGACAATGCTGATGCTGCTGGTCCAGGGATCACATTTGAGAATCACCGACGTATATTCTTTGACTTGTCTGTCTGGCTTTGACCCCTGCCTGGTTCTGCCCAGTTTTGAATTGCTCTCCTATGCCAGCCTGCTTGATGTGCACTAGAGCGGTCGTAGTAACTGGCCATACCACCACCCCGCCCACACCCTGACTTTCTGTATTTCAGTCTCAGAAGTTGAGGGTCAATTTGTGCCCTTGACCTTAATTTCTTTCTGCCTTTTCAAGACCTCTTTCCATCATTCTGTCCCTCTCTTCTAAGCCATTAGTCTTCCCTCTGTCCTCTTCAAATATTTTCAACTCTCTCCCACTCATAAATGCATAAATAGATATAAGAACATAAGCAAACCTCTCCTTGACACCATAATTCTCTCTAATTATCACTCAATCTCTTGTTTCCCTTTCTCATTCAAACTTCAAGAAGAAATAGTCTCCCCTTCCTGTGTCTACCTCCTCCATTGACATTATTGTCTGGCTTCCAGCCACCCCGCACTTCTGAGTTATTCTTGGTAAGCTCAATGCCAACCACTGAATTGAAAGTAAGAGATGTTTTTCTGTCTTTATCTTCCTGAACTACTCTGTTGCCTCTGATTTTTTTTAATTTCTTTCTTGAAATCTCTTCCCCAGAATTCTAGGATGCTTTATTCCCCTGGTTTTTCCTGTTTCTTCTCCAATTAGTCTTCCCTTATCTTCTTCATAGGGTTCTCCTCTCCTCCTCTGACAACCATTCAAATGTCACTGTTCCCCAGGCTTCCATCTTTAATCATTTAGTCCACAGCTTCCAAACCTGTGTGTCAGAAATCAGTGTTATAGGCATTCCAAAGATACTGATCCTCTTAGCTCTTGGAAGTAGCCTGACCTGTTTACCCCAGTATGCCAGGTGCTCATTATTCTTTTCTATGTGTGCCACCATGTGACTTTATCTTTCAATCACTCCCCCAAGGGATTTCATCCTCTTTCTTGGTTTCATTACCATCCACATCACGATGGTTCTGAAACTTATGTACTGAGAGCAATTCCATGGTGGAAACTTGAGATTCACCCTTGAATCTTCTTCTCTCTCATGTTTAAATAATGTTCAAACCTGTCTGATCCTTGCCCTCCCATCCACCACTACTCAGTCCCCATCAGCTCTTGCCTGGATTATTCTAGAACCCTCCTGACTGATCTTCCCGCAGCTTTGTGATTCTCAAAACCACCTTCCTCTCAGCTGCCAGAAAAGTCTATATAAAATGCAAATCAAACCAACATCACTGTCTTTCTTAAAAGCCCCCAATGGCGTATGGCCTAGAGGATGCATTCCAAACTCTTCCCTATACCAGAAACATCATGATTGACCCCTACTCATTTCCCCAGCCTCACTTCCTGCCACTTCCTCTTTCTGTCCTTGCCTCCAGGACTTTGCCCGTGCTGTCTTCCTACCTATTTTGCCATCACCACACACACCCTACCTTGCTTTAAGCCCCAACTCAGGTATCACCCTGCCTTCCCTGAGTCTCTCTCCCCGCTACAAGGAAGTGATGCGTTCTGGGTTTCTCTGACTATCCTAGGTGTATTTCTGTTCTTGCACTTAGCACGTTTGCATCACAATTATTTTATTTTAAAGTATTTCTCTCCCCACTAGATAGCCATGTTCTTTTGTATCCCCAGTTCTGACACACAGAAAACACTCAATCAATAATCAATAAATCAATGTGACCTTAGGCTTTTCCAAAAGTAGAGCATCACACACAATTCTAGAAGCAACATTTAGATTCCTTTGGAACAATCATAAGATCAGTAAGCTTTAAATTTGAGGCTGATTTCAAAGAAGTATTTCAAGCTTCTTTAATTATAGCATATATGGACCAAATCCTGTCAAAATTAGACACAAATGATGATTCAAATAACTTTGTTTTGCTGAAATAAGGCTGCATGTGGCTTTACTTGAATTAAATAATACATTGTCTTGGAACCTGGATTTGTTTTTCTTCTTCATTTTGTATCGGTGTTTTGTATGAAGCTTGTTAGCTTTCAAGGAATTTTCACATGTATATCCTATTTTTGCCTTCTAATCCTCTGAAGACAGCTAAGAAGAGGTGATTATACCCATTTTACACATGAGGAAAATGGAACTGAGAGATTATTATTGTTCCAAGCCAGTGACTAATGTGTAACTGTGATTACCAGCAACCTCTTTTCTCCAATGCACCATACTACCTCTGGTTGTAGCTTTAATTTCTTCCTTTCTTCCTTCCTTTCATTCTTTTTACAATCCAATTTGACTCACAAATCAAATATATTCTGGACTATCTACAAATTCAACCAGATTAGAGAATAATTTTGGTTATGTGCCTCATACGTACATTTGTTTTTATATTCTGCCATACACACTGATGCTGAATTCTGTACCAGCTGAATTTGCTGGTAAGCCAGCAACACCTCAACTATCATGTATTTAATTTTAATTAAATGGAAGTTGTCTAACCTACTACAGAACAACAATTATAATAATTATAGTTAGAAAACATCTTAGAATTCCTCTAGTGGAACCACTAATACAGTGTATAAATGCTTTCTAGAATAGGCCAAACAAAAGGTTCTCTTATTATTTCTTCACCATCCTCAGTAATAAGGTTCTCACTATCCCTAGAAGCAATGCTGTCAATTTTAGAACCTTGGGGAAACGTTTTACTCTATAGTCTGTTATCTCTCTGTAATTCCCTCATGGTGAAAACAGCATATTTTTCTGGTTGTTGATACTACAAACCGACCTAAGTCTGGATTCCAGCTCTATTGCTTATAAGTAGCTGTGAGACCTTGCAAATAATTTAGTCGCAGACCTCAGTTTCCCCATCTGTAAAACAGATCAAATGAAGCAATACATGTAAATTGCCAAGCACTACAACATCTTCAGGAAGTGAATATAGTAAGTGCTCAATAAATATTTGTTAAATGAATGAATGATTCCTTATTTATCCTCGGCCTTATTTTGAAGCAGTAACTCCTCATGTTGAATCACCGATTTTCAAAAACAAAACATTTATTTAGTGCAGTAAACCAATAACAAACAACTTTCTTCTTAGGAACGTAATCTTCTTAAAACTCCTGCTGACCTGCTCACTCCCATCAGGTATAATAGGGCAGGAATACTGTTATGCTGTAACCTGAATCATACAAATCTAACTTCTACCTCATGTATTTAGAAGCATCATTTCAAGTTGCATCCAATCCTTGGACTTGTGATTAAAGCATAATTTGTAAACCTTGCCAGAGTAAATCTTGACAAGTCAGAGTACAAGGAAGGGACTTTGAAGAGCTGTTGTGTAGATGATGGAACAGTGTTTCTGTCACTTAGTAGAGCTTAGATGAGTCTCTATCAAAGATCAGGAGACACGGCTCTATTGAAGCTACTCTATCAAAGCCACTTCAAATCCAGGAATTCTATCATTCTATCAAGAAAATGACATCACAATGATCAGCCCCCTAAACATGTCCTTTGGGAGCTTAACCTAATGATTCCATCCACATTCGTTGTGACTATTCCATTTGCTTAAGTCCCAGGAGACTACAGCAAACGAGTGTATCAAGGAGTGAGAGTGAAGCATACAGTCAAAGATCTCCTGGCAGAAAAACGATCCGGGCAGACAAGTAACTCAAGACTTAATGTAAGTCCCAATTTAATATATTCTGAGGTGCTTGCAGGTTCTCTCTCCTCTCCCTTTATCCACACACCAATCACCTACTTCCTGGGTCTGGTATTCTCAAAACAAAGCCTTCCTTTAACTGGCACGCAGTATAGAATTATTCTGTGACAGACAATCTTTCTCTCACTTAGTGGTGCCAGCATTTACACCTTAACTTACACTCCCTCTACTTCAATCTCATCCTAGTCTATTTAATGCTGGTTTTCCTGCCCTTTTTGAAAGAGTTTTCATGCCCTTTTTGAAAGAGTTTTCATGCTTTGTTCATCTGCTATTGACTATATGCCCTTGGAAACAGAATTCCTATTCCCTCATAACTGGATGTCATGTAAATCACATAAATCACAGTCAATAAATGCTGGTGCTCCTCCTGACTGAGGAGCCTGATGGAGTGGAGGAACACCAGTAGAGAGGGGCCCTGGCCCTTGCCGGGAACCAGTCATGTGGCCCTGGGAAAGTCATTTTACTCTTCTGGACCCAATATGAAATGAGTTAGGCAAAATGACCTCTGGGGTCCCTTCCAGCTGTAAATATCTCTAATCATGGCACGTCTGTTAGCAGCCAGCAGGCGCGCCAGGAGCTCTGTGATCTTACTGGCTGGCTACTGTAGTTCATGGCAATTAAAAGATGGTGTGTCCTGACTTTTTCATTTCCCCAAGCCATGGATTACCAAGGGCTTGGTTGGTGGGAATAATACTCACCTTCATCCACGTAATTGTTACTCTAAACCCAACAGAGATAACTTAAAAAAAATCTTCTGTGTAACATGCAAAATCAGATTTTAAAATCCTAGTAGGAGATGTTCTGAGTCTAAAATCTTTATCTGCCATCCATGTCTTTATAAATAGTTCTACTGTATACCCCAAATGTTTAAGTAGTTGCACCAGATCTCCAGAAATGATTCTAAAATGGCAATATCATTTGGTTACCAAGATCAGCATATAAACACCTATTCTATCAAGTAAAATATAATCACATGAATGTCAGGCATCTGTTGGCACCTGCTGGGTGCAGAGCATGAGAGCAGATGAACAGAAATAAATGAGACAACCATGTCCAGTACCTAGTGCAGGGGCTGATACGCAGCAGGTACTGGTTCTTCCAGCATGTATGCTGAGAATGTTGGCACCATGTTCAACTCTGCTCCAAAATCAAACTCCTGAGACATATTTCAAATGAACGTTCAATTTCCTCCCACCCAAGAACACCTTTAATTGCATATTTTATGTTATCTTTTTTTTTTTTTTTTGAGATGGAGTCTCGCACTGTTGCCCAGGCTGGTGTGCAGTGGCGCAATCTCGGCTCACTGCAACTGCTGCCTCCCAGGTTCAAGCGATTCAAGCGATTCTCCTGTCTCAGCCTCCCAAGTAGCTGGGATTACAGGCGCCTGCCACCACGCCCCACTAATTGTGTTTTTTTGTATTTTTAGTAGAGAAGGGGTTCCACTATGTTGGCCAGGCTGGTATCAAACTCCTGACCTCATGATCCACCTGCCTCGGCCTCTCAGAGTGCTGGGATTACAGGCGTGACCCACCGCGCCCAGCCGTTATCCTTTCTTTTAAACCACCACCTCTCTTCTAGTTAAATAAATGGAGCTTATCTGCTACAGAGAAGTCTGAATAATTGGCTCCTTGTCTGCTCCTAGTTCAGTGCTTCTCACAGTGCCTGCTCAGAATCACCTGGGGTGTGTGATAAAAATATCAATACAGCAGGGCACAGTATCTCATGACTGTAATCCCAGCACTTTGGGAGATTGAGGCAGGCAGATCACTTGAGGCCAGGAGTTCCAGACCAGCCTGGCCAACATGGTGAAACCACATCTCTACTAAAAATACAGAAATTAGCCCGGTGTAGTGGCTCATGCCTGTAATGTCAGCTACTCAGGAGGCTGAAGTGGGAGGATCATTTGAACCTGGGAGGCAGAGGTTGCAGTGATCTGAGTTCGTGACACTGCGCTCCAGCCTGGGCAACACAGTGAGACTCTGTCTCAAAAAATAGTAATAATAATAAAAATAAAATATCAATCCAAATCTAGTCTCTTGAGAGAGAGAGAGAGAAGGAATTCAGAATCTACTTAAAATGAACCACAGCTTCAAGTGGAAGTCACGCGGGTTGCTTGACCACAGTAACTGCAACTAACATGAGACAGCAACTAAATTATGAATGTTGATGAAAGTTTCAGGCAAACTATCAATTGGAAAGGCAAGAGTTGCACATATGGGTAATATCCATTGTCAGGGAATAAACATGGTGTCTGCCCAGGGTGAATGAGTGTGTAACTCACACCTTGTATCATTATCAATGCCTGTATACAAATGATAAGGCACTATACCAGAGTTATAGAAAAAGAAAAGTTACATTAAAGGGCATGAAGGCATATATCCAAATGGCGGACATACTTTTTTCTTTAAAATTTACCTAATATGACTTCTTGCTCAAGATCTGTGACTATCAAGTCACGGATTTTGTTTCTTTTCTTTATTTTTTGGTGAGTTTTTACTTTTTATAAAATGAGACAATGTAGACATAATTAATTATAAGCCATATTATTTTATTTCATTTTAAAATACAGATCCCTGGACCTGTCCCATGTCTACTATTATTGGGTTGGAGCCAAGGCATGGTCATTGTGTCATTTTTTTTACAAGCTCCTTGGATGGTGCCTTTGCACTTCATTGTTTGAGAACTTTGCCATAGAATAAAGAGCAAGTGTCTAAGCCTCACATGTCACAGCCAAGGTTTTTATCTCTCTTCAGATAAGAACTTGCTGAGGTCTTGCTATTGACCCAGTGACAGTGGGTCTTTTATGGAGAAAGTGGATACAAGAAACACATGTAATATATAGTTTGTGCCATTGGACACCAAATAACCTGGTGAAAAGAAAAAATACTTACACATTTGAAAAATACAAGAACTTAGCAACCAAGCCCTAGACTGAAACTGAAGACAAAAGACCAGGCAGCATAGACATGTAATATGAAGACTATAATAACATGTATGTAAGGACAGTTTAAAGGGCACTTTCTCATGTGTTGTTTCATTTGATAGACACACTAACCCCGAGATTGATATTTACAGTTTCCCAGTTTACAGATGAGTGCATTGAGAACAAGAGAAGCGAAGTAATTATTTCAAAGCTGCACAGTTTACAAGTAGCAGATGACTCCTAATTCCACATTCCTTTTTTTTTTTTTTTTTTTTGTCTGAGACAGAATCTGGTTCTGTCGGCCAGGCTGGAGTGCAGTGGCACAATCTCGGCTCACTGCAACCTCTGCCTCCCGGGCTCAAGCAATTCTCCTGCCTCGGCCTCCCGATTAGCTGGGATTACAGGTGTGTGCCACCATGCCTGGCTAATTTTTGTATTTTTAGTAGAGACGGGGTTTCACCATGTTGGCCAGACTGGTCTTGAACTCCTGACCTCAGGTAATCCACCCACCTCGGCCCCCCAAAGTGCTGGGATTACAGGCGTGAGCCACCGTGCCCAGCCCACATTCCATATTTAAAGGGAATGGCCAAAGGGGACTAGAATAGAATAATCGCTGATACAAGCAAACAAACGGGTTTTTTAAAAAGAAATATACCACGTAGAGATAACTTCTAGAACAAAAAAAGTACGCACCGGTTCTAACCATGGTAGCTATTCTCAGGCATCAAGTGCATAGATGATATGAACTCATCTTTAACTTCCTGTCCCCATCATATTACCCAGCATCTCAACACTAGTATCTTACGCTCATCCTCACTTCACTGACTTTTTGAATTCAGATAATTAAATGCATAAAGTCCCAAAATGCGGTTATTTGGACTTTAGACATTTGCATGAATTGCCCTTACTGTCCACCTACTGATGTTTCATCCTCTTAACCACTACTCTAGAATATCTGTAAATCTCAAGGATATCATATGCATTAGTCATTGACTCTTGAGGACCTATTTCTGTCCCTGTTGCAAACGCAATCCAATAAGAAAGAATCATGGACCATCATGTTACGGGAGACACTGTGGGGCTCTGATTTGATGGCTCATACTGAGACCACCTCCCCTTTTTCATACCAATGCACTAGGACACAATGATTCTCATATATCGAGTAAGTTAAGTTAGAGAAGTCATTCATTAGACATGCTCAAAATTTGCAGCTGACAGCATGAGTAATGACCAGTCAGAGGCCCTACCATGTGGTTTACCATAAATGCATTGTAATAGGTTAAAAAAAAATGGGAGCCCCAAAGATCCCATGCCAAATCCCTGGGACCGGTGAGTTCTGCTTTATACGGCAGAATTTGTGGTTAAGTGAAGTATCTTTAGAAGAGGCCCTTACCTGGCATTATTTAGGTGAGTTCTCAGTATAATCACATGTATCCACAAGTATCCTCCCTCACAAGGGGGAGTTTTGAGAGAGAAACACACACACCGGGGAGAAGATACACAAAAGATGAGGAGGCAATGTGACCACTTAAGCAGAGATTGGAGTGATGAGGCCACAGTCAAGGAATATCTACCAGTAGCCACCAGAAGCTTGAAAAAGCAAAGGCAAATTCACCCCTAGAGTCTGGAGGGCACACAGCCCTGCCAACACCTTGATTTTGGACTTCTGGCCTCCAGAATTATGAGAGAATCAATGTTGCTAGTTTTAACCCACCCTGTTTGTGATAATTTGTTACAGCCATCCTAGAAAACTAATACTCACATATTCTGCATATTCTGAAAACTATGTCCCCCGCCGGATAGGCATACTTCAGGAAGTATCTATTGGATGCCCAAATTGCTGCTCTTTTATTTGTGACGACACTGATAAATTTACACAAGACTCTGTTGATCCATCTTTACCGCAGCTTCCCTCATGAACATCTGTTTTTGATACCATGAAATGTTTTTCACATCTTTGCAGTAGGAACAAGAAAAAATATCCCTTGCATCAAAAGAGACTTTTACCAAAGACTAGAAATTAAAACCACTTCTATACATTTTAGCTACAATTCTGTGGTTTCACAACTATTGCTATGTATGTCTATTTTTAAATAATGGTTTTTCTTTTTTCTTTCTTGAATTTTTCTGTTATTCTTTACCACACTACTAGATCTTCTACCAAGATATATAAATGTGAGCCGTTCACCACCATCTAGTACCAAATACACACACACACACACACACACACACACACACATAATTAAGTTCTGATTGCTGCTTTTTTTGAACTACACTATTTCAATTGAGTTCTATAAAAGCTAAACATCGAATTATTTTCAAATAACATCATAAAATTCAATAACCTCTTTATTATATGTAGAAAAAAGGCAATAAACCTAATAGTCACAATTTTTCAGTTTTGTTTTGAAAGTTGGTGAGTGATTTTCAGACCATTGTTCCTTTTAATCAAGTTTTTCTTAAGCTATCTTATGGATTTATTTAAAATTGTTGAATATACATCAGCTGACATGAGGGGGGAAAAATGTAAAACTTGCTGTGTAGGAAAAGGAAATCAGCTTGGAATTGAAACTGTTGGGGAGATGGGGAAGTGTCGTGTAGTGTAGGGGAAGCTAAGATTGAGCCTAGGAATCAGGATTTGATGTTCAATTTATTTGTTGATTTATGAACAAAGTAACAGCTCTTTTGCTCGGCTCATTCATCAAAATGCTATAGCCAGGAACAGTAAGAAAATAGACATGAAAATTCCTTCAAGTTAATATCCTACATAAACCTAAGGAAAAATAAATGAAGATTTCTGGCTCTGTTTTTAGAAGGTCTGAATTGAGTAAAATGTTAAAGAGAAATATCCCAAGTGAGAAATGTATTTAGATAATAACAGCCTTGATTTTTACATGCTCTACATATAGAGACCAAAAGTGAACTATTTCCACACAGCGTGATTCTTGCATGCCAATCTCAAGTGTTTGCTTTTCAAATCAGTATTACTTACAGTTATTTTCTTTCTGTACATTATCCTAAATTCTTACATTTAAATTATTTCACTGCTAAAATCTCTACATCAAGGGCATACAGGATAAGGCAATATTGTCAGCTGGGTTTCTTGGTTAATAATCTTTCCTAATTATTTTGGAGGGTTAATATTACAAGCAACGGATAGAAGTATGACAATAGTACGTATTTGATGGGAAATTTTGGGGGAACAGAAGGTGAATAGGCACCATTCGGTGTGTTTATGACATAGAGCAATTGCCATAAAGTTGGGCAGACTTTAACTGTAGAACAGATGTGCATTGTCTATCTTAGTCCCTAAAACCGCCTGTCCTTCCAGCAAGACTGCTAGTTGGACGTTTGTTTAGTTACACATTCAGCTGCTGCTTTGCTATACCAATTGTGCACAATTCAGTTACCACAAGTGTAAACATCATGACATCTAGATCTGTGATTTGCATTTGGATTTCTTGTGAAGTATTAAGAGGAAAAAATACATGCAATTGGAAGCTGCATATTCTATCATCTCAAAGTTTCTTTGATTTCCATGAAACTTTGGGTAACACATCTCTCCTCCACCAAAAGAGAAGCTGCTCCTTCTTTCGTCTGTTTGAACCCCTCCTTCTGGCTACAAATGGTCTTGGGTAATTCCCTTCTCTTCTCTGAGCCTCAGTGTCCCTGTCCATAAAAGCAGAGAGTTGGGCCATGCGTCTAAGATTTCTCTAGTTTCTGTGCTTATTTTTTTCAGATAAATTTTACTGTGTATAACTGATGTTTGCAACATGACCTTATGGGATACATATATATAGTAAAATTTCCACTATAGTGAAGCAAATTAATACATCTCCTATCTCATCAGCCTTGATTTATATATACTGTACAAGTACAGACCAAAATTTAACTATTCCAAGTGGTCTGTTTTTTTCATTCCAACCTCAAGTGTTTGCTTTTCAAATCATTATTACTTACTGATACTTAGTTACTTTTTGTGGCAAAAGCTGCTAAAATCTACTTATTTAACAAAAATCCCTAACACAATTCAACTTTATTAACTATAGCCCTCATGTTGTATGTTGGATGTCTAGACTTGTTCATCCTACATATCAGCTACTTTGTAGATTCTGAGCTACATCCCAGTATTCACTTTTAAGACTTAAATTTTTTAAAGTTTATTCCATTTATTTATCTTTGTTATTTTCATTATTTATACTTCAAATATTTCCATTTCTTTAAATATTTAAATCCTAATCTCATTGTTTAGGATTTAAAATAGACCTGAGTCTCAGACAACTAGCTCTTACCCAATTTGAAGCACCATTGAGCTGATGTTTCAGATTACTCTGTTGTCTGGGAACCTACAACACTCAGGTTTACTGAAGTTCTTTTTTTTTTTTTTTTTTTTTTTGAGACGGAGTCTTACTCTGTCATCCAGGCTGGAGTGCAGTGGCATGACCTTTGCTCACTGCAACCTCCACCTCCTGGGTTCAAGTGATTCTTCTGCCTCAGCCTCCTGAGTAGCTGGGAATACAGGCGAGTGCCACCATGCCCAGCTAATTTTTGTATTTTTAGTAGAGACAGGGTTTCACCATATTGGCCAGGCTGGTCTCGGACTCCTGACCTCGTGATCTGCCCACCTCGGCCTCCCAAAGTGCTGGGATTACAGGCGTGAGCCACTGTGCCCAGCCTGAAGTTCATATTCTAAGACATAGAAAACACAGCATAGCGAAGAGTTTGGGCTCTAGATCCAGATGACCTGAATTCAAATCCCAGCTCTGCCATTTGCCAACTGTGTGGTAACAGTAAAGTTACTTAACCTTGCTGCTAAAGGAAGATAATAACATCTACCTTGCAAGGTTATCATAAGGATTACATTTAATATTTGCCAAGGGCTTGGCACATGGTAGGTGCTCAATCAATGCCATTGCTATTAAACACTCAACTGCATGTGAGGAGTGATGTTTGTTAGAATTCAAAACAATATAAGAAATTCATTGCCCTTAAGAAATGTACTGCTCAGTTGTGGGGTAAGAAATTATAAGTGATTAAAAATAAAAAGATGGCTTTGCTCCAAGTGCCAAAAGAGTTGAGTGTGACCATCAGTAAACATGAGGGAGGTTCAGAGGAGGGAAAGCAAAGCATGAAGCAGGTAGGTAGAAAAAGACTTCTTGGGTGGGGTACAGTGGCTCACGTCTGTAATCCCAGCACTTTGGGAGGCCGAGGTGGGCAGATCTCTTGAGGTCAGGAGTTTGACACCAGCCTGGCCAACGTGGTGAAACCCCATCTCTACTAAAAATACAAAAATTAGCCTGGCATGGTGGTGTGCACCTGTAATCCCAGCTACTCAGGAGGCTGAGGCACAAGAATCGCTTGAACCCGGGAGGCGGAGGTTGCAGTGAGGCGAGATTGCACCACTGCACTGCAGACTGGGTGACAGAGCAAGACTCACGAAAGAAAGAAAGAAAGAAAGAAAGAAAGAAAGAAAGAAAGAAAGAAAGAAAGAAAGAAAGAAAGAAAGAAAGAAAGAAAGAAAGGGAGAGAGAAAGACAGAAAGAAGAAAGAGACGAAAGAAAGAAAGAGAAGAAAGAAAGAGAAAGAAAGAGAGAAAGAAAAAGAAAGAGGGAGGGAGGAAGGAAGGAGAGAGAAAGACAGAGAAAGAAAGAAAGAAGAAGAAGAGAAAGAAAGAAAGAGAAAGAAAGGAAGGAGGGAGGGAAGAGACAGGAAGGAAGGAAGGAGATGAAGGAAGGAAGGGAGGGAAGGGAAAGAGACAAAGAAAGGGAAAGAAAGAAAGAGAGGAAGGAAGGAAGGAAAAGAAAAGAGACAGAAGGAAGGAAGGAAGGAAAAGAAAAGAGAAGGAAGGAAGGAAAAGAAAGAGAAAGAAAGAAGAAAGAAAGAGGGAGGGAGGGAGGGAGAGGAAGGAAGGAAGGAAGAAAGGAAGGGAGGGAAGGAAAGAGAAAAAGACTTCTTGGAGGAAAGCATGCCACGAGCTAAGCTTTGAAGGAAGAAGATGACCCAGGTGAGCAGTGAGCAGGAGTAGAATCCAAGCAGAACACACGAAAGGGGCAAAGGCACAGGGGAAAGGAAGCAATTCCCTGTGACGTGCAGCGGATGAACCAATTTTGTCTGCAGCATAGAGAAGTGAAAGAGAAGGTTGGGAGGCCTGCACAATCCTTCAAAATTCAGTTCTCATCTTGCCTGTTAAGGTCTCCCAGACACTCCCCTCTGCTCCCAAAGCCTCCGGAATATTTTTCTGCTAAAATATTCTTACATTGCACTGTCACTTCTTGTTTTCTTAAATCTGTCCCTCAACTGGCTAACATCTTGCCATTTCTGTTTGTTCCTTTCGGAGCCTCCAGCCCAGGAAGAATAATAGTGTGGTAAAGTGATTAAGTGCCTGAATATCAGAGTCAGACAGACCAAGGTTCTGACTCTTGTGTGTGAAATTGATCTCACTTCTCTGGGCCTCAGTTTCCTCCTATGTAAATGGGAACGGTGATAGCTACCATGGAAGGTGTTGTGAAAGTGAAATTTGATAATGTCTACAAAGCACCTGGTATAGCATATGGCATGCTGTAAATGCTCAGCATATGGCAGCTTTTATGGTTTTTACAATATCTGGTACATAGCGGTACTTGATAAATGTCTCAGCAAAGGTGTGCCACACTAAGGTAGATAGGCACTGGATTATAGGGAGCTCTGGATAGCAGCCTTGAAAGTTAGATCCTCCTGTCATCACTACTATTAATTTTAATATAATATACATAAGTGAAACCATTAGAAAGGCTACTGGGTAACTTTTGTAGGTTTGAAAACTTTATTCCTAGGAATAAATTAAAAAAAAAAAAGTGGAAGCTGTAGTTACCCACATGCTGATTGAGCTATACCACTGTCCTCCATTCTTCCAGTCGAGATGGCTAGAGTTGAAACTCCAACCTGGTGCATTTCATTAAGATAATTTCAACTGCTCCCATTCTGTAGTACTAAATATCCAAAAACTCAATCAGTTTAGGATAACAAACCTATAATTATACTTATCCATCACGAACTGCCAATTTAAAAAAAAAACAGCTTCAAATGACAAGAAGAAAGAAATGAAAGTCTGAATATTTTGATCAGGATTTGCCACCAATTTGCTGACCTAACAAGTGATGTGACTTTCTGAAGCCTGCATTTCCTGAATTTAAAAAATCTTCTGAGGGGTGCAGATGGGAGAGGGTCAGCATTCAGTGTTCTCCGTGTGTTTCCCCCGCTGGGTGCAGCTGTTTCTCCTCCTGACTCAGTAGATTTTCCCAGACCTCAGAACGTGTCCCACCCACTGGCACCCCTACCCCCAACATCCAAGGCCAAGCTGAACCCCCTCTGTAATCTGAAAAAGATAAATTCCCTTTTCTCTGATTCAACTAGAGTTTTGCAATCTGAGTTAGCCAGGAATATAGGGAATAGAAAAGACACATAAAGCAGAAGAATGATTATGTAGCCTCCAAAAGTTCTGATGCTAACGTTAATATTGGGTCAAAGATGAGCATGGGGGTACAATTGAGTTGACGTTCAGACCTGAGTCCCCTTCCCACCTGTTCAGTTCTCTCTGGGATAAATAGTAATGAATAATAACAATAATTATCACTTACCACTGGGCTCTGAAATAGGAAATTTACAAATAATTTCATTTATCTATTTTAAAATATATTTCATGTATCAACACAAGCATGGCAGCTTTCAGAGGGTGGTACCCATATCTGTTTTTGAGATCAGAAAAATAAGAATCAGGTTGAAAGTAGTGAGGCTTAGATTTGGAACTAGGTTTGTGGGACTCCAGGTCTTCACTTCACCCACCCTATTGCCCTCTTACATTATGATTCCAGCCCAAGGATGGGTGAGCTTTGGAGTGGTCACTCTGCTTCAGGCCCTCCTGCTCAGCTCTCATGTCACCCTCCAGATTTCCTGTGTGATGGGTGGCCCCAATTATGACTTTTGCTCCCTCTCGGGAACACATTTGTCTCCCCAATCAGCCCCACAGTGTGCCTGTAGACTGTTCAAGAGATGATGCCACACCCAGCCCAAACCAGTACCAGGACCTTCCTTTCCTACGATACTCAGACATCTTAGAAGACACTGGACCCAAGAAGTTTTCAATTTCCTTATAGAATTTATCTCCAGTTCTATCCCAGAACCTGCTTTCTGTCCCAGAAACAGCTGCATCCAGTGGGGGGAATATATGGAGAACACTGAATAGAGTCCCTCTTGGTCATTCTCCACCACTCCTGGACCCCCTGGCCTCGTAGGGCT
This sequence comes from Homo sapiens, assembly GCF_000001405.40. Taxonomy (NCBI): domain Eukaryota; kingdom Metazoa; phylum Chordata; class Mammalia; order Primates; family Hominidae; genus Homo; species Homo sapiens. The sequence goes on from NC_000011.10 coordinate 111,267,329, forward strand.
CTATGTGGCACCTGGCCCTCTCTGTCTGAGAGGAAATCGCTTCCTGAACCGGAGTCAGAGTGTGCCGTCCTGACCTTGCAGAAGCCTCTTTTCTGTTCTCTAGAGACCTCTGGGGCCTACTCACATGACCCATTTCTCTCTGAGCTTTTCTTCTTACCTGAAGCTTACTCCCCTGGCATGTCTTTGGATTTCTTTTCTGAATATCGGCAAGTTATTTGAGAGGCTGGCATCCATGGCTCACTCATGGGACTGGATGCAGAATGCCACTTCTTCCACTTTAGAAGGCAGAGACAATATCAGCCCCCTTTCGAGGGCTGGAAGAGATTCCTGAGCCCAGTGAAACATAGAGTTTACCAGATCAATTGACCTGCTGTCTCTGGTGACCCACCCCTTCAATGCTCTCCCAGCCCCCGTGGTGTCTGGAATTCTCTCATAGTTGTACACACTGTGGAGCCTTACATATATTCTCAATAAATATAACAGCTGATAAGGAAAGGGGAGAATACTTTCCTTAAGGCTTTACCTTCTTATGAAATATGAGAAAACATGGGGAGAGGAAGACTACCAATGCCCTCATTTCCTAGATACTAAGCCAATTATTAGTATTCCATGCTAGAAACAGATAGAACCCTTTACTAATGTAGAAATCTAATACCATACTACTGCTCTTTGGCATTCTAATGGTGGTGCTAAACAACAATGAAAATGCCAAAAGAAGAAGAAGTCGAATACAGGTAAGAGCAAAAACTGGTACACAGGCCTTAAAATTAAGGAGTTGGTCATACATAAATCCAAGGAAGAAATCACAGCCTCCACAACCATCAGCATATTGTCACACCTGAGAACATAACATGTGGATAGTATATTGAATCTGTGATGGGAAAAAGGGTAAGCTTTGGACCGAGGCATCCCGAGCTCTGCAGGTATGAGTGCCAAACAGTTGGCACCACTGCAATTACAGGAAATACGGTCTTCTCTGATTTCTTAAAATTTACCATAAAAATTATTTTTCACCTCTTCAACTCATAACCTGAACCGACCCTACAACATGTTTTGATTTTAGTAAGATTGTTGTGTCTCCCTGGGCACAGCAAATGGGCATCAGGTGGCCCAATGTGTGTTTTATTGGTTATTGCTACATTTTTCTTTTTTTATTTTATTTTATTTTATTTTATTTTATTTTATTTTATTTTATTTTATTTTATTTTATTTTATTTTATTTTGAGATGGAGTCTCGCTCTGTTGCCCAGGCTGAAGTGCAATGGCATGATCTCGGCCCACTGCAACCTCCACCTCCTGGGTTCAAGTAATTCTCCTGTCTCAGGATCCCAAGTAGCTGGGACTACAGGCACACGCCACCATGCCTGGCTATGTTTGTTTGTTTGTTTGTTGTATTTTTAGTAGAGACGGGGTTTCACGGTATTGGTCAGGCCGGTCTTGAACTCCTGACCTCAGGTGATCCACCCGCCTCAGGTTCCCAAAGTGCCGGGATTACAGACATGAGCCACCGCACCCAGCCTCTTTACTTTTCTTTTCTTCTCTTAGCTTTTTATTTCTTTCCATATTATCTTTATTTTTCTTAAATTTTTAGAAATCCCTGTTGTTCTCTTTGTGTTTGACTGCTAAGGCTCTTAAGAAACCTGCAATTTTCCTTTAATAAATATATCTTATTTATCCTTGCTACTTTTTCATGAATGCCAGCAGAAGAATCTATTTCTCATTTGAAATTTTGCAAGGTTATTGATAAAGGGAATCAGTATTCACCCTGGGAACATCTCCCTATACCTTTTGCTCCATCTCATAGCACAGTGCTTTGCATATTGCTTGTTAACACGGCCAGCTAACCCCCTCCACGAGCCTACAAAGAATTTAAAAAGAAAAAAAAAATCTTCCGAGGAGGCAGTGTCTAGTAAACTCAAAACACCAATGTTTGAATACAGAGGTACACACTATATTCTTGGCATTCATTTGAATGAATGCTTTACTAAGCCTTTCTAAATGGCCTATTGTCTGACTTTAATTAGCCCACTGTCCTGCCCTGTTTAGAGATCTGAACCACATTCCCAGTGCTTTCTGTGTTCCCCACCCAACCACCTGCTCCCTCACAATCACAGAAATTTTTAAAATAATAATAAAGGCAAACCTTTTGCAAGCAACTTATTTTTTCAGCTGCTCTATTGGTTCTGCAGGGTTTTTTTAATGTCATAAAATTTAAAATAATTCCTGGTGGTGAATTCTTTCATGCAGCTTGCAAAAATAATCAGTTTTTGCAGCGGAACAGCCGTGGCAAGTCCATCTGGCAGGGATGTAGTTCTGCAGATTCTGTTCTGACCAAAGTGCATCTCAGTGACTCCTGTTGTTCTAACTTAGCTACATAAATACAAATAGCATTCCAAAGGCATGCCAAGATCCAGGGGTAAAAAATGTGTTTCATTTTGTAACTTAGGCAACAGAAATCACTTTCTCACAGAGACAGCCTGAACATTATTTTGTGCCAAGCAGGAGAGTTTTAACAGTAAAATTTTAAGAAATTATCTGAAAATGGGAATTCTGCAACCATCTGAGCTTTCCAAATGACATAAAATAGTTTATATCCCAGCAATTGAAGACAGTTGACATCACAGTTTTCAAAAGATTTGAGATTTGCAATAAATATATGACCTAAAGTCTATTTATTAATTTTTGTTAAATAGTTGCTTTAATTACAAAAGAAATTCAGTGTAAAATTTCAGACAGAATAAGAGTTAAAGTGAAAAGCAGAAGCTCACTGAAGTCTTCCCTGTCCCCAGTTCTCTTGTCCTACATCCCAAAGGCCACCCCAGTGAGTTTCATGTAAATTCTCCCAGAAAATTTGCTATGGCATTTTATTAAAGAGAAATTAAGTTGTTGCACCAACAAGTTAATGAATACCAAAATTTGTTAGATAATTACATGCACTATTACAAAAAATGCATAAATTAATGTTTTTGTGGCAAAATCCCTTCCTGAGAGAGAATTTAAACATGGCTTTTAGTTTTCATTTTACCCCTACACATTTGAAAGCCTTGAGCAAATCACTTAATCTTTTTATGTCAATAACATAGCCCTTACTGTCACCTAAGGCTGGTGATAATGAGACAGGGTGCACAAAACCAGATGAACTCTTTCTTTGTAAGATAAATCCCCTATAACCTAGGCTTTGTAGAAACAGGTAAATGCTTTTGAGGATATATGTTTCAATATTCCCTCCTCAGTCAAAAATTCTTCTTGGCCTTAGAATTGGGCCTATACCATGCCCCATTAAATTAAGTCATATAAAAAGTAGGGTTTTTTTATTTGTAAATATGTCAGTATGAGGAAGACCTGCCAGCCGCCTCTCATACAGGTATCAGCAGTAAGGTTGGTGATAACAAAGAAAAGAGGAAGAGAGCCCTGGAAATTGTACAGCATCCAGGACAGGTGGCCAGCAGTCCTCAGCACCTATGGGAGAGTATCAGCCCTTGTTGATAATCCTCTAAAAGGAGGCCAAATAGAAGTGAGTAGAAATGGCACCTGCTGGCCTTCTGAAATCCCAGCCCTACTGAGGGCCATCAGACCCTCATCACTGGGCTCTATTCACCTATAACAACCCATACACTCACCCCACCAGTCATTTCCAACCTGTCATTTTAGCACCAGATTAAATTTCCTCGAGCAATATTTTCACCATGTCTACACTGCTAAGAAAGTTCTGGGCGGGGTGCAGTGGCTCATGCCTGTAATCTCAGCACTTTGGGAGACCGAGGTGGGTGGATCACCTGAAGTCAGGAGTTTGAGACCAGCCTGGCCAACATGGTGAAACCCCGTCTCTACTAAAAATATGAAAATTAGCTGGATGTGGTGGCAGATGCCTGTAATTCCAGCCACTCGGGAGGCTAAGGCAGGAGAATCGCTTGAACCCAGGAGCCAGAGGTTGCAGTGAGCCGGGATCATGCCGCTGCACTGCAGCCTGGGTGACAAGAGCAAAACTCCATCTCAAAAAAAAAAAGAAAGAGAGTTCTGAAGGATCACTGCCTGCTACCAAAGTCTAAGTTCCTTAGCGTGGCTCAAAAAAACTCTTTTTTATTTCTTTTTTTTCTTTTCTTTTTTTTCTGAGACAAGCTCTCACTCTGTTACCCAGGCTGGAGTGCAGTGGCATGAATTTGGCTCACTGCAGCCTTGACCTTCTGGGCTCGGGAGATCTTCCTGCCTCAGCCTCCCAAGTAGCTGGGACTTCAGGCATGTGCCACCATGCTCAGTTAATTTATTTTATTTTTTGTGGAGATGGGGGTCTCACTGTCTTGCCCAGGCTAGTCTCAAACTGTTGAGCTCAAGGGATCCCCCTGCCTCTGCTTCCCAAAATGCTGGGATTACAGGCATGAACCACTGTACCTGGCACAAAAAAGGCTAGGCATGGTGGCTCACGCCTGTAATTCCAGCACTTTGGGAGGCCAACGTGGGTGGATCACCTGGGGTCAGGAGTTCGAGACCAGCCTGCCCAACATGGTGAAACCCCGTCTCTACTAAATACAAAAAAAAAAATTAGCCGGGCATGGTGAAGGGTGCCTGTAATCCCAGCTACTTGGGAGGCTGAGGCAGGAGAATCACTTGAACCCAGGAGGTGGAGGTTGCAGTGAGCCAAGATTGTGTCATTGCACTCCAGCCTGGGCAACAAGAGTGAAACTCCATCTCAAAAAAAAGAACTTTATAACCTGGTTCCTGCATCTTCCTCCAGCTTCTCTTCAGCTTTCTTGTCTTCACACTTCCTGCCCACATTTCCAGGTATGTGACATGCAGTTCCTCACATTTTGAGCCTTTGCTTCTCCCTCCAGCAACAATAGCCCTTAAACTGATTTCCTTTTATCTAGCCTTCAGAACCAGACTCAGATATCATCTATGTTTTGATGTGCTAAATCACATTCCCCCAGGACAGTAAATCACCTCATCACCACCCCAAACTTCATCCCTGCCCCCACCCCCATACCTGCACTAAATCACATTTAGAATTCAGGCTATGTCACTTAGCAGCTTTGTGACCTTGGACAAGTCCTTCAGAAGTATCTATTAGTTTTCCCATCAATAAGCTAGGGATTATAACAATCTATCTCATTGGTTAATGGTGATGATCTAATGAAATAATGCATGTAAATCATCTCACACTCTACAGAGTACATAAAGAACCCAGACATTAGTTGTCACTAAAAATGATCACACAGACACACTAACATATGTAAAGTGCCAGACACAGAGTCTGGCGGGAAGTGGCACCAGGAAATGCTAGTCTTCTCAACCACAACCCTTATTTCTATTATTGCACCAATTACATATATATTTATGCACCTGTTTTTGCGATGAAACTGTGTGCTGTCGAGAATAGAATCTATGTCTTACTCCTCTTTGTATTTCTGGAAACTACCACAATCCTGGTGCAGAGTAGGCACAGAATACATTTTAATAAAATGAATGAAATGAAACTTCTGCTCTAGACAAGCCAACTTGCTTATTATTCCCTGAAGAAGAGCTGTGCTTTCCCACCTTGTGTTTGGTTCACAAAATTCCTCCTTCCTGGGAGCTTCCTTTCTCCTGTCTGCATCCTCTCAGCCTTCAGCACCCAATTCAAATCCTCCACACATTGATTTGCCCCTTTTCTGATGCATAGTAGATGCTTATAACTGTAGTTTATATTCATTATAGAGTATTTTTCTTATTTACAATCAAATATATAACTCAGATAAGTGGCCTATAAATCAAAACCTGTTTCAAACTTTTCAAAAGTAATAAGATTTATAAGATATGTTTGAGATAGTTTAGCCAACACACCAGATTTCACACCAACCGAAATGCCCTTGGTTCTACTATATACTTCTCCTGTTAACTAAGGCATGTAAATCTCTATATCCATTTTTTTTTTCTGGGGAGATGTTACAACCTAACATCAGTGCCCATTTAAAGACTAACTGTGTTAACATCCAGCATTAACCTTCCTTTAATTCCAAAGTTGGAGGAAAACCACATGACCTATGGTGGATCTAAATGTAGACATTAAAATGTGGTGTCAGATGTTCAATATGGTATCATCAGCTCCACCTGCCTCACAACCATAGAAATGATGACAATGAAAAATTAAATGTATAAAATACTATGAATATCTCAAAGAGGGATATCACCTGTTCACAAGTGGCTATGATTATTATTACTTAAGCATTAGTAGCAATATCTTTAAGTTTGAAGACTTATTTTCTAAACTAAATTTTATCTCAATTTGAATTAAGAAATAAAATTATACAGCAGTATGAAACATGTCATGCTAGTCAGACATCACTTCCTTAGTACATTTCAATATGTCCTTCAACTAGGTTGGCACCTAAAAATATTATTATAGGATAATAAAATGACTATAAATGTACTCAAGGGAAACTCCTAATCTTATCACTTTACTACCTTGGTGACCTATTAGTTCAAATTAACTCATTTTCATGGAGGGGCTTTGGGGGCAGCTGTGAGCCTGCCGTGTTAGCTGCAGGAAGTTGCAGGCTGGCAAATTTCATTCAAATATAAACCTCTAAATTTGGCTAGCTGGCATTGCAGGATCCTGTTGTTTGCAGTATGCAAAATAAAAATTATATACCATCTCGCTTGGTCAAAAGTTATGGGCTCTTCAATGTTAATTTCAATGTTATTTTTTGGAGGATTTGCAGGATAAGAGGCAACTGTGTGAATACAATATATTGAACCAAGAAAGAAATGTAAGATTTCCCTTCACGTAGGAAATGACAATTGAGTGCACATGCTGAAGGACCCTGGCTTAGGCTTTTCTCTCCTGACCCGTGAAATCTGGAAATGGGATGGAGAAGCAAGTGGTAGCTCTGAAATCTTACCAGTGGCACCCTTCCCAGCCCCATGCAGGCCCTTTAGGAGTCTTCTAGGGTCTGTGATACCAACTGAAGAGGTCCATTATCACTGACTTTTGTGTTTATCCATCAAAATATTTCCCAGGTCACCACAGAGGGGGCAGCATTAATTATATATATAAACTGACTAGTCTGATGAAAATGTTTTACATCATGATTGTGGTGATAGGTCACAAGTGTTCATCAAATTTTGCCAAAATTCATCAAATTGTACCCTTAAATTTTGTGAATTTTATTATATGTAAATTACATCTCAATAAAGCTGACCCCTTCAAAAGTAGAATGTCACTCAAAGGATTAAGGATGTGTGTGTGTGTGCATGTGTGTGTGTAAGAAAGAAAGAGAGAGAAAGAGACAGAGACAGATAGACAGACAGACAGACAGGAAAGCACCCCACCCGATCCTCTTTGTGAGCTTTTATATAATTTATATAATATATAAATTTATATAATTTATATAATAAATGATCTCTCTGGATGTCCCTAAGTCTCCATTATACTAAATTTTTTCAAACTAGGATGCTTTTCTATTTTTAATTGTTGAGTTATTAAAATGCTTCCAAAGCAGACTGGTGCGGTGGTTAAGAAACAGGCTCTGATATCAGAAAGGCCCTTGTCTAATTCCACCGACTACCACCATCGCCACAACCAATCCTCTCCTAGAAGGGAAATCAGGTTATTCTCTCTATGCTTAGGTTCCCTCACTGGCAAAATGAGAATAATATTACTTATCTTCTGGGATGGTCGTGAGAATTAAATGAGATGATACATATAACACAGTTGACCATAGCAATGGCCAACAGTGTGTTTATGAAATTACTATAAGTAAGTGCTTATGAATTACTTCTGTTATAATTTAAATGTCTGCTGGAAAATGTTGGGAGTCATGGAAAAATAAAAGCTTTGTGCTGTGTTAAAACCAGGAAGGTATCTACGTCTAGGCTCAATATTTACAGATTCAACTCTGGTATTAGGGGATTGAGAAGAACTCTCCCACAACAAAACTGGATCTTACATAATACAAATTTTAGTGAGTTGTTGAGCTAGCAGAAAGTAAGGGAAATCTCCAAAGCTGGGGGTAGGGGCAGAAGTTGGCATGGGAGATTGAAAAAGGGTTTGAGCAGAAAGCAAAGCACCAAATGATGAGAAGGTGATCATTCCAAAAAGACAGGTTTCCTGAGGACAGGTGTCCAATTGGCTTTACATGTGAAGACTGGTTCTTGACCTGTTGCCAGGGTTGGGAGGCTGAACCTTGGACTCCAGGATTAATGTGGGGAACCTGGAAGGCATCTGGCTCCCCATAGATAGAAACATAAATCTTCTAGAGGAAAGCAGCCTCAATTCAGGACCCCAGATCTTCACAGATTAGGCCAACAAGATGTGAGTTTCAATCAAAGATCACCCATGCGTAAGAAAACAAACCACTATGAGTGAGTCCACATGAACAATAGACAATAAATTTAAATTCCCAGAACTTTCATATATTAGAATTACTGAACACAAAATACATAACACTTAATACATAATGAGCACTCAACAAGAGGCTGTCAAAATTTACCAAATAGATTCTAAAAATCAAATGGAATTTATAGAAATAAAAAAATATAAAATCATGAATATAAAAATTCAATGTGTGAGTTAAATAACAAATTAACTACAGTTGAATAAAGAATTAGTGAACTGAAAACACATCTGAAGAAATCTATGCCAATCTCTACCAAAATATAGAAGAAAGAATCACAGACACAGAGAAAATAGAGAGGTTAAGGGATTTTGAGGATAATAGTAAAAGTTCTAACATGTATCTAAACAGAGTCCCAGGAGGAGAGAACAGTCATAATAAAGACAAGACAATATTTGAAGAGATGATGGCTGACATTTTTTCAGAATTTATGAACGACATGAATCCCTAGATTCATGAAGCCCATTCTATCAAGCAAGATAAATAAAAAGAAATCTGCCTCTAGATAAAATGAGGTGAACTTGAAGAACCTCAAAGACCAAGGGAGTATATTGGAAACAGTCAGAAATAAGGAAAAGATTGTCACAAAGAATAACTGAAAGACCAATAGCAGATACTGGCCGGGCGCGGTGGCTCCTACCTGTAATCCCAGCACTTTGGGAGGCCAAGGCAGGTGGATCACAAGGTCAAGAGATTGAGACCATCCTGGCCAACATGGTGAAACCCCATCTCTACTAAAAAGAAAAAAAAAAAAAAATATATATATATATATATATATATATATATGTACAAAAATTAGCTGGACATGGTGGCACATGCCTGTAGTCCCAACTACTTGGGAGGCTGAGAGAGGAGAATCGCTTGAACCCAGGAGGCGGAGGTTGCCGTGAGCTGAGATTGTGCCAATGCACTCCAGCCTGGGTGACAGTGTGAGATTCCATCACAAAAAAAAAAAGAAAAAAAAAGATAATGGTATAAAAGACCAATAGCAGACGCCTCAACAGCAATTGTGGAAGCTAAAAGACAGTGGAATGACATCTTCAAAGTGCTAAGAAAAAAAAAAAAAACTACAAAGTTAAAATGGTGAATCCAGCGGTATTATCTTTCAAATACAAAGTCAAAACAAATAATATTTTCAGATAAATAGAAATTGAAAGAGTTTACTGTCAACACCACTGACACTTAAGGAATTTTCCAAAAAATTACTTCAGAAGAAGGAAATGAACCTAGAAAGAAAGTCTGGGAAAGGAATAAGCAAAGCAAATGGTAGACATTTGAACCTTAATTCAAATTAGTAAATCTAATACAGAATTACTGAATTAAATGATGATATTGATGTCTAATTTGTGACAGCTTAATAACAAAAAACAAGCTAAAAGAAAAGAGAATAGCACACCCATAAATTAGAAGAGGGACAGTTCTTATCTGTCAATTGCAGGTTTAAGATATTGTTTGTAGGTTTTGTTAAATATACATGGTAAAATTGTAAGGGTAATCATAAAGAATGAAAACAGAGAGTACAATTTCCACAGCAGGTAGAGAACAAAATCACATAGGAGACAAGAGTACAAAAAGCTTCATCAAGTAATAAATAAAATCCACTAGACCTTTAATTGTGAAATCTTTGTAGAGTCTTCTGGTATAAAAATTGGGCTGGGGAGGAGTCGGTACTGTCAGTTCCACAGTAATAATTAGGCCTGGGCAGAAGATGGAGGAGGCATCGTAGAAGATGCTGGAGATTGCTGGCAGTAGAGGAGAAAGACAGAAAAACTTTTAGAGCAGATATGTCAAAAGGTGAAGGGGCTGTGTCAGCCACAATGACATAGACTGGGCTCTCTCCCTGCCTGGGGCAGAGGCAGGAGGCAGAGCCACTCCAGCTGATAAATAAATGGCTAACATGCTGAGGGCAAATAGGGTGCTGATGCTGATGCTCATCGGATTGGGCATGTGTGCTGTGTCTCACAGGGGCCTTGATCCTGGCCCCAGCCTTGGCCAGAGCAGTTTAAGGGAAGCAGGCAGGAAGAGAAGGTGGGAGAAGAACAATGGGACATCTCCCTGGGCGGCACCCAGGACAGCTACCACCCCCTGGCACATCCTACTTAACCTGGAAGGAGGCTGAGGCTGAAGCCAGAAGACATATGTGTTGGCACAGATCTTCAAGGAAAGACCCAGCCACACCACAGAGCTGAAAATGGGAGGGTAACACTGGATAACATGGGCGCCTGCTACATGGGAATATGTGCCCAAATACAAGTGCATCTGTGATTTAATCACTGCCCCTTTCCTTCTCATAGAAATATTAAGGGACCTACTTCTGACCATTACATGCCCGAGAGTTCCCTTCTGCCACTTAAAAGTGTTAAAATATTAAACAGGAAAACCCATAAATCAAAAGGTTTGGAGAAATATACCACAGATTTGAAGGAACCAACAAATGCATAATAGTAATAATAGCTAAGGCACATATGCTGTTTACCATGTGGCAGACACTATTCTAAGTGCTCGATGTAATAATCTCATTTAATCTTCATGTGCCCAAGATCCCACAGCTAATAAGAGGTAGAGCTGGGATTCAAATGTAGTCACTCTGGTTCCAGAGGCTTTACTCTTAATTACCATGCTGCTTCTGAGTTGTTGGAAGATATTTTGCCTGGAGAAGTTCGAACTCGAGGTTGATATTACAGATTGCAATTGCACGTTTGCATTCCCCTAAAATTCAAATGTTGAGGTGCTAATCCCCTGTGTGATGGCATTTGGAGAAGGGGCCTTTGGGAGGTAATTAGATCTTGCAGGTGAATCCCTCTAATGGGATTAGTGTCCTTATAAGAAGAGACACCAGAGAGATGATCTCTCTCTCTGTCTCTCTCTCTCTCTCTCTCTCTCTCTCTCTCAGCCATGTGAACACACAGTGAGAAGCCAGCTTTCTGCAAACCAGAAAGAGGGCCCGCACTAAAAACCACACCTAGATCTCAGACTTCCAGTCTCCTGAACTGTGAGAAATAAATTTTTGTTATTTAAGCCATGCAGTCTATGGTATTTTTCATAGGCTTGTCTTCAGATATTTGAAGGGCTGTGTATGCAAGAAGTGTTAAACTTATTCTATAAAGACCAAAGGGATTAGAACTAGAAAGTTATTCTTTCCAGCCAACTTTGTAATTGGTAAAAGTTCCTAAAGAAGAAATGGGTTTCCTCAGAGGGTGCTAAGTTCTGTGTGCCTGGATATTAGATGCACCTGGTGTTAGTAATATGGAGAGAATGTAATCATTGAATGAGACTCTATAAAATTTCTTCCAACTCTTGAGAGTCTATAGAATCATTAAAGTCACTGCAAAAGAGCTCGGATTCAATGAACTGGATGTTGAGGATTCTTAACTTCCACAGAAGCTACACCCTCTCCACTTACTTTGCTCCAGGACATCTCGGAGCCATGATTTGCGTATTTTAAGACTCTACACGCCTAGATACTCTTCCTTCAGAGGTCAGCTTAGGCACTGCATCCTGCAAGATGTGTCTCCCACCCCATTCTTGACACCAGTTTAGGTGCCCGCATCACCCCATCTTTCCCTGACCCTGCCACTTCTCATACTACACCGAATATTCTGTTTTGTCATCAATCACCCCTGTATTGGTGTCTTAGGGCTGCAGTAACAAGTTACCACAAATGGGATGACTTACAGCAACAGAAATGTATCATCTCATAGATAGCTCTAGAGGCTAGAAGTCCAAAATCAAGGTGTCAGCAGGGCCATGCTCCCTCTGGAGCCTCTGGGGAGAATCCTTCCTTGCCTCTTCCTAGCTGGCAGTTGTCACTGGTGATCCTCGATGTTCCTTGGCTTGAGGTTGTATCACTCAAACTGCTGCCTTTGTCTTCACATGACCTTGTCCCATCTGCATCTGTGTCTTTGTGCGTCCCTCTCCTCTTCCTATTAGGACATCAGTCACATGAGATTTAGGACCCACCCTAATTTAATATGACCTCATCTTAATTTAAGTAGTTACATCTTTAACAGCCCTATTAGCAAATACCGTCACATTCACAGGTATCAGGGATTAAGGTATCAATATAACTTTGGGTGGCTTATGCCTGAAATTCCAGCAATTTGGGAGGCCGAAACAGGTAGATCACCTGAGGTCAGGAGTTCGAGACCAGCCTGGCCAACACAGTGAAACCCATCTCTACTAAAAATGCAAAAAGTAGCCAGGTGTGGTGGTGCGTGCCTGTAATCCCAGCTACTCAGGAGACTGAGGCAGGAGAATCACTTGAATCCGGGAGGTGGAAGTTGCAGTGAGCCGAGATCGTGCCATTGCACTATAGCCTGGGTGAGAGAGTGAGACTCCATCTCAAAAAAAAAAAAAAAAAATATATATATATATATATATATATCTTTTGGAGGGGGCACATAATGCAACCCACCACATTCCCCAACCTCTCCCTGCTCTCTAGCCTGTGGGTTCTTTGAAGATTGTGTCTTCATTCCACATATTTTTCTTACGTCTATTATGAACTACACCCTGTTCTAGGCACTGAGGGCACATCACAGTCAAGGTCCCTACAGTTGGTGGAGCTTCTTCCTCCACATGGATTCAGACAGTAAACATTGAAGTGGCCCTTCAGTGCTGAAGCCAAACACTAAGTGCATGTATGCACATACACACATACAGTAGGCGCCCCTTAGCCATGGTTTCCCTTTCTGAGGTTTCAGCTACTCATGGTTAACTGCAGTCTGAACATACTAAATGCGAAATTCCAGAAATAAACAATTTCTAGATCTTAAATGGCATGCCTTTCTCAGTGGTGTGATGAAATTTCATTCAGTCCCACTCTGTGCTGCCCAGGACTTGAATCTTACCTTTGTCCAGCCAATCCACACTGTCTACACCACCTGCCCGTTAGTGTCTCAGTAGCCGACTCAGTGATTGGATCACCTGTCTCTGTATGGCAGTGCTTGTGTTCAAGTCACCCTTATTGTATTTCACAATGGCCCGAAAGCACAAGAGTAGTGACACTGGCAATTTAGATATGCCAAAGAGAAGCCGGAATGTGCTTCCTTTAAATGAAAAAGTAAACGTTCTCAACTTAATAAGGAAAGAAAAAAAATGTATGCTGAGGTCAGACATTGGTATGGTAAGAACAAATCTTTTGTCTGTGAAATTGTGAAGAAGGCGAAAGAAATTCATGCGAGTTTTGCTGTTGCACCTCGAACTGCAAAACTGTGGCCACAATGCATGATAAATTCTTAGCTAAGATGGAAAAGGCATTGAGTTTGTGGGTGGAGGACATGATGGCAATCAGGTGTGGTGCTATCCTCAGTTTTAGGAACCCACTGGGGAGTCTTGGAACATATCCCTCGTGGGTAAGGGGAGGCTACTGGATATGCGTATATATAGTCACTTAATATATATTGGATGAGGGAATGTTAACTGGAACAGTAGAAGATGAAGGATAAATTACTACATTTCATCCAGCCAGTGCTTTCTGGCATGTTTATCAAAATGTAAAAGTGTGGTTGCTCTTTGTCCCTTGTAAAACTTTGTTCTATGGTACTTGAATTCTTATTCTCAGTTGACCTGAGGGTCAACCCAACTCCCCAGATAATACTTCTGAATATCATAAAACCAAGCTTATAAGGTGTATTCCTAATTTTTATTAAATTCAAACTTACAACTAAAGAAAACACTTGAATTCTGTTTACCTTCCAGGGCAGCGTCAGTTCCTCTCAGTCTCCATTTGTGCAGATGCCAGGTGAGTACTTTAATTCAATAAGCAATTATTCCCTTTTGAATTTAAATCAAGCATCTGGGCTTCCATTCTTTCATAACGACCTTACAACACTTCCAAAACTCTGCTCCTTTAAAATAGTTTTGTCTAAAATACAAAATCAGCGAAGGACAGAACTCATGCAGTAATTTCTGAATTTAAAATTCATTTTGTCTTGAAAGCAGCCCTTTTATCCCAAGCTTTTGGGGCAAAGGCAATATAAATTATGCCCTTGATACAGTTTTAAATTGTCTAAAGTTCTGACACCATGATCTGATAGATGAGGCATCTGCTTTCAAACAGAAAGGGGAAAGCCGTCTGCGAGCAGAGGGAGTCAGGCATTTGGTTCAGTATTTTGAATTCATTTCAATGCCTATGTCTCATTAAATACTCCTGTGGGGATGTAAAAGGGGAATTCCTAATAATACTGTTGGACATTCTTGTATAAACACACACCACACAGGCAAAGACAATCTCATTTAGTTCAACTCAGACGCGGCACATTCCCTAATAGTTTTATCACCTTCAGAGCTGGATAAGGGAAAGGAATAAGAGCAATCGAGGATCCCGAATATTTAAATGTCTGTATGTTGTTTCCCAATCATATATAGTGCCATTGAAATTTGGTGGCATCTCCTGCCTTCTACAGAAAAAAAAAAGAAAAATTTCCATAGCTTCTCTTTATCTAGAAATTATCCTTTCTCTTTGTACAGAGAAAATCCATGCTAAGAGAGCAGAGGCTTTTTTCTTCGTGGTTGTTTTGATTTGGAAATTGGGAGTATAGATGAGAGCCTGGAAACCTTGTTTTCATATTCTCAACCTTAACCGCTCTCATAAATATAATTTCATTGTATGAAACAGAACCTTATTTATTTATATTAAGGTTCAGCTGCACAGATTTTTTCCCAAGGAAGTATGCTTATAATGAAAACCCTAACTTCAGCTTTCAAATGCATGAGCAGGTTAGAAGTTATAGAATGTAAGATGAAAGTGAAGTGAGTGGAGTCGTGCCACAGGTTTTGATGGGGAATTTTGATTTCTTCTTCTGGATGAATAAATTCACATGCCATTCTTGAACACAATGTTATACTACTAGGTTTAAAGAAAATGTATAAGGCATGAGATCTGCCCCCTTGGGCTCGCAGGTTGACTGGAAAGATCATTGTGACTCAGGTGAAAGAGGAATGAGCATAATATAAAGTGCCACATCCTGTGGAACGGGCTGGAATTCTGTGTCTATAGAATCAGAAGCTCAGAAGTGGTCTGCTGCTGTGGTTGGGGTAAGGTAAGGAAGACAGGCACTTATATCTTCTCCCCAGTTCAGCCTTTTTGTGACCTATGACCTAAGGGTGTTGGTGTTAGCATTAGATCACACCCAAGGCCAGCTGGAACAATTAAACCATCAGTTTTATAGACCTCAAGTCTATGCCCTCAAACATGTTCTGAATGATCAGTGTTTTCTGCTACAACTGAGCTACGGGGTCAGAAAGTGTTGAGCAAACACACCTTTTTCCTTGGAAACCATTTCACTGCTGGGCTTACCTTAAATGAAGCTCTTATCAGTTTCTGTCCCTCCCTCTCTCCACCAAGGAAAACTTTTTACTTTTTTTTTTTTTTTTTTTGAGACGGACTCTTGCTCTGGGCGAGATCTCAGCTCACTGCAACCTCCACCTCCCGGGTTCAAGTAATTCTCCTGCCTCAGCCTCCTGAGTAACTGGGACTACAGCAGCTGTGATTACAGGCATGGTGGCCCAGCTGATTTTTGTATTGTTTTTAGTAGAGATGGGTTTTCACCATGTTGGCCAGGATGGTCTCAATCTCTTGACCTCGTGATCCGCCAGCCTGGGCCTCCCAAAGTGCTGGGATTACAGGTGTGAGCCACCGAGCCTGCACCACCAAGGGAAACTTTATGTAGCCGGCACTGTCTTCCTAAACGTGCTGGGCCCTGGTGAGTTGAGTGAAGGAGTCCATGAGGCCACAAGAGGGCAGCAAATAACATAAAACTCATCAAAACCCTAAAACTACAGGCCTCTAAAATTGGCTTCTGTGTGGCCATCTAATCCTAAAGAAAGTCATTTATTGATGTCTGCCAGGCGTGCGACCCAGTGTAAGGTCAATGTGTGAAGAATTAGAAGGCAGAGTACAGCCTGCCTCTTTGAGGTGGGGTTATATGTGTTACCTTATCCAGACATAGCGATCTCAGATAACAGGCCAGGAGCACCTCTTGTTAACAGTTCTATGTATATGGAGAGGTAGCTCCGATGTTGTGAAAAAGATGCTTCCTTGGTTAAAATATGAATGCCAAGAGATTATTTCATTTATGTCTTCCTAGCACAGCGCCGGTCACCGGGAAGGTACTCAGTAAATGTGAATGAATGAACAGACACGGTACTGTCTAAAATGAACTCACCCCTAAAGGCGACAATGTTTTCAAACGTTAGTTATTTGGGCTAATGCAGGAATATTTCACGCTTTTCAAGACATTTCTCTATTTCCATGTTAGCGTTGGAGTCAGGCACGCGTTAGTAACATCGTTTCCCAGGCAGAGACTCAGCTGCAACCGAGGCCTTGACCGCCCTGGGAGGAATTTTCTGCCCATGTGTTTTTCATTTGGCAACAGGTTCGCCGGTCACGTCAGGTTACTACGGTGTCAGAAGATCTTTCTTATCTGACTCAGACTTCCACAACAGTAAACAGTTTTCAAATGACGTCTACACCTCCAGCGTGGGGAAGCCGTTTCCCTGTGAGTCCTCCGCAGGGCAGAGCCATGCGGCTCTCCTGGAGCCCTACTTCCCCCAGGAGCCCTACGGAGACTACCGGCCTCCGGCGCTGACGCCCAACGCGGGCTCTCTGTTCAGCGCCTCGCCCCTACCGCCGCTCCTGCCACCGCCCTTCCCCGGAGACCCAGCTCACTTCCTATTTGTGAGTATGCAGAGACCTCGTGTGAGGGAGTAAAAGAGGGGCGAGGCTCGCCCTCTGGCCAGCCGCTGTGCTTGGCATCCGGGTTGAAGCCAGGTCTGGCTCACCCTGTAGACTCCAGAGGCTGCTTTGCAGCTGCCTAGAGATGCCAGGACACCCTCCGAGGGAGCCTTGTTCAAGGATCCCTGTTAGCCATGACAGCCAGGAGCGTCTACGCAGGGCTTGGAACCGGGAGGAATGTGCAGCAGGATTTATATCCATTTTGTTAATGCTCTACTGATATTGCCTGATGTTCCCCCACCCTGTTAGTGCCAGTCGTCATCATTCCTGCAGCCCCTAAGGAAGGAACACTGAAGCTGCATCTCAGACATGCTAGGCAGTAATGAGATGGATCATAATCTCCCAAGGAGGGTACATAGGGCTCCTCTTTCTTTCCAAGTCCCCTGCCTCCCCTTCCCCACATTTTTAGCCTAAAAATCCTTGTTCTCTCTCAATCCTTCCAAACAGGTGAGTTCATAAAGATCTGAAGATTGCTAATGCTCATAGAGAATAGTAAAGGTTTCTACCACAAAGTAATGAAGCTCTAAAGACAGGAGTTTAGACAAAAGGGAGAGGATGAGAATTCACATTATTAAGTATACTCTATGCCAGGAAATGTGATGTGTTCATTCAATACTTGCAACAACTCAGGATATATTTATGAAAGTCCCATTTTACAGATGAGCAATGTCGGGCTCAGAGTCAGGAGGAGCCACGAATGAATCCAAATCTTTCTAGCTCCAAACTTACGGGATTCCTACCTCTTTCCTCCTGCTTTAATGAGGACAGAGTGGGCTTCTCAGTCCCCTCAAAAATTCACCATGGAGTTGAAGGCCTACTCCGAGGAGTGGGCCAAGCGCTGACCTTCCCCACTGTGTAAATGGCATTCTAGGACCCAGACTAATGGGAGACTCAAAAAGAATCCAAGACAGAGTGCATTGCACACAGTAAAATGTTGCATACATGTGCATTTTATTAGTCTCACATTTCACTCATTTAATGTTGTCTTCTGGGAAAAGGAATCTCAATATCTATAGCAAATCTAATTCTAGAGTAGGAAGGGAGGAAAACTTTCACTGCTGGTGTCAAAAGCCGGAGAGAAGAGCAGCCTGAGAGCCAGGCTTCAGGCAGCAGAGAGAGGGGACGAAGGCTGCCCTGAAGCCACAGTCTGGCAGCACACAATGTATCATCAGAGTGTCACCTAGTGAATAACCTCCGTGGCCTTTCCATTCTCCTCAGAGGGACTCATGGGAGCAGACGTTGCCTGACGGTCTCAGCCAGCCTGACCCTGTGTCTGCCGATGCCCTGCTGACCTTGCCACCCAGCACGAGTTGCCTCTCCCAGCTTGAGTCCGGGAGCATCGCCCAGCACAGGGGCTCAAGCTGGGGGTCATCCCTGGCTGGGGCTCAGTCATACTCGCTGCATGCTCTGGAAGATCTGCACCACACTCCGGGGTACCCTACCCCGCCTCCTTACCCCTTCACCCCTTTCATGACGGTGTCAAATGACCTACCGCCCAAGGTGGGGCCACTCTCCCCAGATGAGGAAGCAGACACCGGTTCCCTCCATGACCCTTCCCCTTGGGTGAAAGAAGATGGGAGTATTGCCTGGGGGTCATATGAATGCCGCAGAGCTTATTGAGGGGAGGGCCAAATGACTTCTGGGTTTTTCTTTAACTTGAGGTGTATTCCAAAGATTGTTTTAGGTGTGTCAGCCCATTCAGGACTGGATTTTCAGAATAAGCCTCAATGCTGCTCTTTGTTAGTGGACGAGGGCATTTATTTGTAATCCTCTCCACTGTAACCCCACTGAAATAAAACAGAATGTTAATTAAATGTGTCAGAGACCGTATTCTAGTAAGATAACCTTACAATGTGGTCTTTTTGGAACTGTTGTAACCCATTACGTTCTGAATCTTCTGTTATCTTTGAAGTATCATTTTTGGCACTGATTTTTCTTAAATTACATTAAAAAGTTTATGCAGATCATAAAAGATACTGATTTTCCTGTCAGATGTTTCTTAGTTTTAAACTATGTGTATTCTGCAGTAAAAGACACTGGATAGGATATAATATAGATATGACCACATAAAACTCATTTTATAGCATGTGACTTGAAAGAGTGAAGTGTTTCATATACATATATTTATGGCTTATTATAGTGACTTGTAAAACCCCAGTTAAAAAAAAGGTACAATCTATAAATATGTTATTGTCCATAAAATAGGATGAGATCAGGAAACTATGGCTTTGTACATAACAAAGTTATTTTTTGACTCTATCCTAAAGCCCAGAATGTCCCCAAATTAGTTCAATCCAAAAAAGTCCAAAAATTTTCTTTGATCAGTGATGGCCTTAATTAAACCAGACATTGTCTCTCTGATGGAATAAACCTACAGTTATCAGCATGAATGAGTAAAATAGGCATTCTGTAATCAAATGGAAATTTTTTTTTTTTTTGAGACAGGGTCTCACTCTATCACCCAGGCTGGAGTATAGTGGTGTAATCATGGCTCACTGCAGCCTCAATCTCCTGGGCTCAAGGAATCCTCCTACTTCTGCCTCCCAAGTAGCTGGGACCCAGGTGTATGCCACCATGCCCAGCTAGTGTTTTTATTTTTTACTTTTTTTTTAAAGTTTTTGTAGAGACAATGTCTTACTATTTGCCCAGGCTGGTCTTGAATTATTGACCTCAATCTATCCATCCACCATGGCCTTCCAAAGTGTTAGGATTACAGGCGTGAGCCACCACACCCAACCAAATTCATACCCTTTAAAGAAAATACAGAAAATAGGACTAAGCTGTTGGCAAGAAACAGACCACAAAACACCAAGAAGCAAAAGGACTTTGGAGAAGGACATATTGCCATGTGTGAGCCGATGGCTTGACAAACAGCACCTCCTATTTGGTGGCTTACTAGTCGGAAAAGTGCAGCTCTTACTATGTGTCAATGAAGATATTGACATCTGAAGCATGAATCTGTCCACATTGGATTGGTGTGGGTTCCTTTGCTAATTGGGTTCCCAGCATAATTCCAGCATGCCTATCTGCGGCCAAGCTCATCATACATGCCTGGTATACACTGAGACTTTGCAGATGCATGAGTGGAGGCCCCCGGGTTGTACCTGCACCCTTCTTCTTAGCTTCCTACCACCTGTCTTTCTGCACTTCATTCTCACATCTTTTCCACCCTCTGGTCCCTCCTGATCCAATGCCATTTCTCTCCATCTTCTGGAGGCCAAGGCCTTCATTTTCCCTCTAGTTGCCCAAAGACCCTCAACACAATCTCCATCACATCCTCTGTGACTGTCCCATACTCTACCTCAGCAAGGTAGAAGCCCAGAAATTCCAACAAGGGGATTAATTCACACTTACAAGCAAATAATTGATATTCCTTTTTTTTCCAGGCCTTCAAGGTATTTTCTGGTTAAGCAAACTCACTTCTAGTTTATGGAGTGCCACCAGAAATGCTTGGGTAGTGAGCTTTCGTTCACCTCATCCTTTCGGCTCCCTCCAGGCAGAGCATTCTTCAGGGAGTAGATCAAGAGTGAACGCGTGGGGCTCTCTGCTCCTGGGCAGCACTGCCAGGCCCCCTGCCCCACTTCCTCCCCCTCCACCAGCTCCTTTGGGCAGCCTGAACTTTGCTTTGCTTAGTGCTTGCTCTTCAGTGAAAAGTGGCAACATTCACAGTGCAAGAAAGGAGCTGTTCTTTCCTAAATCCAGCATGACTTGCAACCTCAGTCTTGGTTCCCAATATGGCTGGTAGAACCATCTGTCATTCAGCAGTTACTCATACCTGAAGAGCAGGCCTGTGCATCAGAAAGAAGAGATCTGGCCCTCTCTGCAGATATAGAGGTCTTCACAAGGGTCTCAGGGTCATTTTCCTAGATTGGTGTTGTAAAGTTTAAAATGATTTGTCCTCTACTGCTTACCATTTTACTGGGTATCAGTAACACAGTAGTGGCTGTGTAAATCATGAATATGTGTCCACATAACTTTAACTTTCATGTGATTATGACTCTGAATTTTTGTTTGTTTGTTTTTTGTTTTTTTAATTATTATTATACTTTAAGTTCTAGGGTACATGTGCACAACGTGCAGGTTTGTTACATATGTATACATGTGCCATGTTGGTGTGCTGTACCCATTAACTCATCATTTACATTAGGTATATCTCCTAATGCTATCCCTCCCCGCCCCACCCCATGACAGGCCCCGGTGTGTTATGTCCCCCTTCCTGTGTCCAAGTGTTCCCATTGTTCAATTCCCACCTATGAGTGAGAACATGCGGTGTTTGGTTTTTTGTCTTTGCAATAGTTTGCTGAGAATGATGGTTTCCAGCTTCATCCATGTCCCTACAAAGGACATGAACTCATCCTTTTGTATGGCTGCATAGTATTCCATGGTGTATATGTGCCACATTTTCTTAATCCAGTCTATCATTGTTGGACATTTGGGTTTGTTCCAAGTCTTTGCTATTGTGAGTAGTGCCACAATAAACATACTTGTGCATGTGTCTTTATAGCAGCATGATTTATAATCCTTTGGGTGTATACCCAGTAATGGGATGGCTGGGTCAAATGGTATTTCTAGTTCTAGATCCTTGAGGAATCGCCACACTGTCTTCCACAATGGTTGAACCAGTTTACAGTTCCACCAATAGTGTAAAAGTGTTCCCATTTCTCCACATCCTCTCCAGCACCTGTTGTTTCCTGACTTTTTAATGATTGCCATTCTAACTGGTGTGAGATGGTATCCCATTGTGGTTTTGATTTGCATTTCTCTGATGGCCAGTGATGATGAGCATTTTTTCATGTGTCTGTTGGCTGCATAAATGTCTTCTTTTGAGAGGTGACACTGAATATTATGCATGTTCACGTGTTCCTTCATCTCCTAACAACTTGAAGATGCACTGGCTCTCAGACAAAGAGAGCTCAACAACCAGACCTTGGAACAGAGGTAAATACAGGGAGCACGACAATGTTTACATTCTTCTTAAAGCATCCTATCCCTTTCATAGCATTTGACTAAATTAACTTATAAAAAAGAGACACACTCAGGCCCACATATGCCTGCTAGTGTCCACTTCAGTTATCTAGTCTAAAAGGGGTTTGGGGAGTAGGGCTGGTGCTAATAATTCCAAATAATAAGTGATCTTCAAGAATTCTGTTTAGTTTGGGCTGGGCGCAGTGGCTCACGCTTGTAATCCCAGCACTTTGGGAGGCCGAGGAGGGTGGATCACAAGGTCAGGAGATCGAGACCATCCTGGCTAACATGGTGAAACCCCGTCTCTACTAAAAAATACAAAAAATTAGCTGGGCATGGTGGCAGGCGCCTGTAGTCCCAGCTACTTGGGAGGCTGAGGCAGGAGAATTGCTTGAACCTGGGAGGCGGAGGTTGCAGTGACCGAGATCGCGCCACTGCACTCCAGCCTAGCGACAGAGCGAAACTCTGTCTCAAAAAACAAAAAGAATTCTGTTTAGTTTGACAATGTGTCTCTGTTTTACATATATTTTAATTTGATTCTGTTTTATTGTTCAGGGAATACTTTGTTAAAAGGTGAAATCAAACTACAAAATTATGACAGGAAAATTAATTCTATTTCCTTATCCAACCCCATTTTTCTTTCAATTCCTCTCTGTTTTCTTTCCTTTCTTTTTTTTTTTTTTTGAGACAGTCACCCAGGCTGGAGGAGGGTGGAGGGCAGTGACACAATCTCGGCTCACTGCAACCTCCGCCTCCCAGGTCCGAGCAATTCTCCTTCTTCAGCCACCTGAATAGCTGGGATTATAGGCATGCACCACCACACCCAGCTAATTTTTGTATTTTTAGTAGAGATGGGGTTTCACCATGTTGGCCAGGCTGGTCTGGAACTCCTGGCCTCAAGTGACCCACCTATGTTGGTCTCCCAAAGTGCTGGGATTACAGGCGTGAGCCACCGCGCCCAGCCAATTTTCTACAACACGTGGGGACTAATCGCACCTTTTCATAACAATGTACCACGCCAACATACAAAAATAGGTGCATTCTTCTCTCCCTCACCTTCCTTAAACCTGCTATTCACTGACTTACAACTTTCCTGAGAAAGTCAGAGAAAATTAAAGAGCTCTGTTTCAACACTCCATCTCTTTCAGGTCTTGTAAGGACACAGGATATATTTAAGACTTAAAGTAATCAGAGATGGTATGTCAAGTTCAAGCCACTAAAGAAAGCTGACTAGATGATAATGCCAAAAAGAAATTGAGCACAATTTGCCCATGCAAAAGCTGCAATATAGACAATCATGCCATGAAACACATGCAGTATGTAGTTGAAGGCATTTGCATTCCTCTTACAATATTACACAAACCCCAAAAAAAGGAGAGAAGAAAACTACATCTTTACCTCATTTATTTAATAAATGATTTCAAATGATCATTATGACTTGCTATAGCTCAGTTAATAATACAATTTCATGGTACTATTGGGTAGGAGGAGAAGACAGAAGCACTCTAAAAGAAATTGCATAAAGGGAAAATAATTACTAATGCCAATAGTAAAACATACATTGACATACATACATACATATATACATACGTACACACATGTATAAAAGTATTATAGTATCTTTGTGATCAGTTTTTCGATATTTAATGTAAATATCTAAATAGTGTAGTCACAAGGAATAAAACATCAGTTATATTTAAAGTACCAAAATAATGATTGATGTCTAAGGTTTAAGTCACATTACATTATAGTGATTCTACCAACCACACACCAAAATTATACTCTTTACTTAAGGCTCCATCACTGGGTTCTGTCTACAGTATCCTCTCTATGCAAAACAATATTACACTGTTCATCTCACACACCATAGACTCTAGAGAGGTTAAGTGCAAAATCACACACTCTAGACAAAGTGGTTCTCCAGCTAAAGAGACTCATGGGGAGGACTCATGAGTGGCTCACCTCTGTGTCCCAGCACCTGGCTCGAGGCCCAGAACACTGTAGATGCTCAGTAAATTTTTGTTAGATTGAAGTAAAATTATACCATAAAGATGAGTAACTTTTTAGCCCTTGGTTCTATGGGTGACAGCTCTCTGAAACCAGTATCTGAGAGGATTCTCACCATGTTTAGTATCTAACATTAGCCATACTCTCTCCAAATTCAGACAGTAGGTGGATATTGGGCTTTAGTGGTAATATATTTAAGATGACTGGTTTAGTCTTTTTAGATACCTTTATGAAATAAAATTACTGAACCTTTGAAATAGCACAGAAAAATGTTGATATATTCATTTAGTATGTACATGTACTATGATCTGTTGCTAAGAAATCTTATAAATAAAAGTTATTTAATGTTTGATCATTATCTCTGGTGTGACTAAAACAAGTATGATAAATCAGGAACAAGAATCCCCAAAGGTCAAGCTAAATAAACATTAAAATATTCTATAGTTATTTGCAAATGATGGCATTATATTATATTTGATTTTTGATATGGAAGTATCCTCTGACCAGGTGTGGCAGTTCACGCCGCCTGTAATCCCAGCACTTTGGGAGGCCGAAGCGGAAGGATTGCTCAAGCCCAGGAGGTCAAGGCTGCAGTGAACCATCATTGCACCACTGCACTCCAGCCTGGGAGACAGAATGAGACCCTGTCTCAAAAAAGAAAAAAAAAGTATCCTCTAATTATAATCTCTGATAAATAACATACGTGCATTTGTAATATGCAATGTCATTGTTAGTACAATTAAAAAAAAGAACAGTAAAAAATGTTAGAAGTTCCAAGAGGAATGAAATGTGGACCAAACATACAGTATCTAGGAATTAGCTCTTTTGGATTAGGAAAATTGATAGATATACCTGCTAAACTTCCCCCTAAGAAAATATCTTAACAGGAATAAGCATGGGCAAGGACTTCATGTCTAAAACACCAAAAGCAATGGCAACAAAAGCCAAAATTGACAAATGGGATCTAATTAAACTAAAGAGCTTCTACACAGCAAAAGAAACTACCATCAGAGTGAACAGGTAACCTACAGAATGGGAGAACATTTTTGCAATCTACTCATCTGACAAAGGGATAATATCCAGAATCTACAAAGAACTCAAACAAATTTACAAGAAAAAAAAACAAAACAACCCCATCAACAAGTGGGCAAAGGATATGAACAGACACTTCTCGAAAGAAGACATTTATGCAGCCAACAGACACATGAAAAAATGCTCATCATCACTGGCCATCAGAGAAAAGCAAATCAAAACCACAATAAGATACCATCTCACACCAGTTAGAATGGCAATCATTAAAAAGTCAGGAAACAACAGGTGCTGGAGAGGATGTGGAGAAATAAGAACACTTTTACACTGTTAGTGGGACTGTAAACTAGTTCAACCATTGTGGAAGACAGTGTGGCGATTCCTCAGGGATCTAGAACTAGAAACACCATTTGACCCAGCCATCCCATTACTGGGTATATACCCAAGGATTATAAATCATGCTGCTATAAAGACACATGCACATATATGTTTATTGAGGCACTATTCACAATAGCAAAGACTTGGAACCAACCCAAATGTCCAATAATGATAGACTGGATTAAGAAAATGTGGCACATATACACCATGGAATACTATGCAGCCATAAAAAAGGATGAGTTCATGTCCTTTGCAGGGACATGGATGAAGCTGGACACCATCTTTCTCAGCAAACTATTGCAAGGACAAAAAACCAAACACCGCATGTTCTCACTCATAGGTGGGAATTGAACAATGAGAACACTTGGACACAGAGTGGGGAACATCACACACCGGGACCTGTCATGGGGTGGGTGGAGGGGGGAGGGATAGCATTAGGATATATACCTAATGTAAATGACGAGTTAATGGGTGCAGCACACCAACATGGTGCATGTATACATATGTAACAAACCTGCACATTGTGCACATGTACCCTAGAACTTAAAGCATAATAATAAAAAAAAGAAAATATCTTAACAGGAATAATCCAAAAGTTTTAATGGTTTTAATAAGTTAATTTAGTCATAAATGAGAGATCACTCAACTGTTTTATTTCTTAAGCTTGGTAATACAGTCATAGATTTTCATCATGGTATTCTTTATATGTTTTTGTATGCCTTAAATGTTGCACAATAAAAACGTTTTAAGTAATAGAAGAGGAACTCTTCAAGCAGTGTACGGTGGTGTTTTTCTTAAAGGATGAATTATCAAATGCTTGCTCCCCATGGAAGCCTCTTAAGGAAAAGTTAAAACTTTGAATATGTCTTATGGGAAGAGACTGACGTAGCACAAATCATTAAAAAACCTTCACCTAATTGTCTTCCTGGTCATTTTCATATGGACCAAATGTTCACTCTAGGGCCCAAAAAACATTTGTTTCCTGCATGTATTCAATCTTCTGGAACTTGATATTTCCCACGAGGTTTGGTAACAGTGTCCCAAAGTCAAGGTGACAAAAGAACTTTGCATTAATAAAGACAATTTCGAGCTGTAGTCAAATTTGGAGGGAATAAACTACCCCTTTTCCTTATACTGAAAGTCTTTTAATATGCCTGTGCCTTAGTTGAATAAAATCTCCTACGTGGGGGGGAGAAAACAATGCTCTGCAGTGTCATTTGCATACAAGACTGCCAAAATTTTTCAGTCAAAATATTCGTTTAAAACTTTAAAAAGAAATCTATTCCATTTCCATCACTTTGGGTATGGACTGGGTATAAGAAGGTTAAGGTCAAATACAGGATTTCTGAGGTCAATGGCAAGGATAGCCAGAGATCTGAAAAACAGTGATATATGAAGAACTAAAGAAACTGGATGAGGAGTCTCAAAAGGAGAAGGCTTGGGGTGAAGATGGGATGGGCATAACTTCTTCAGAGTTAGTACTGGACCTGGTCAGAGTAGCTAATCAGTATATGATTGTTGAATGAATGAATAAACCAATTAATGAACTAAACAAACTCACAATAGAAAAGCAGTAGTACAGAAGTAGGAGAAGAGAGTAATTGATAGCAGAAATCAAGGTTTACTTATTTTTGTACTCCTGGTACTTGATACCATGCCTAGTGCATAGTTGGTGCCCAATTAATACATGATTGGATTATAGCATAATCACTGATCACTACATTTAAAGCAGTCCAATAGTGGAACAGGCTGCCTCACAAATAGTGAGCTCTCGTTTCCTCTACACAGATTCTACTATGGGCCAGGATCTCAGCCAAGCAGTGGAGCCAGAGGCTGGACAGACACAAGCAGAGATTTTGGAAAAAGACTGAGTCCCTCTCAGCACTTCAAAGATCCCTTCCAACACCCAAACATCAAAAGCCATGTTATATTGCCAAGCAAGGGTGCCTATGAACGCCTGTTGAAACCCCACAACAATTTTTTCAGCCATTTATTAAAACCCCAAAGAGACTATCAGGACTTCAGGGCAAACATCCTAGAGATAGCAATGCCCCCAGCAAGAAGAAAAGAGTTCTCAGTCTGAGAGGCACAAACTGTAATCAGTGTAATTAACAGCTTACCCTCACCTCTAGCCAGGCGTTTCTTCAAGATTCTAGTGTTTCCAGTCCTTACAGAACATTCTCAAGTCAGCAGGCTACACTGTCTTAGTGTCCTTGTACAAACTGATGGTAAAACAGATAGCACCCCAAAATATTTCCACATGCACAAACAACCTTGAAACGTGTGTTCGCATATCTTACAAGCAGGTATTTTTCCAATGCCACTCACAGCCTATTAGTGGGTCATTAAATTAACTCAGTGACTCCCAACCAACATATATTTCCCATAAATAGAATGAAATGGAAAAGGTGGACTAGAATAGAAAATATCAGAGTGCCTGACATATGTAGGTATATCTTGTTTCATGAAAAGTTTGTTTTAGAAATATAAATGTTGTTATAGATACATGTGAACATGTAAAATGGATTTCTTATTGTAGGTTAAAGTCCAAAAAGTTTAAAAGCTTCTTGTAGAAAAGATCAGGAAGACAACATCAGTAGTTAAGAGCAAAGGCCGGGCATGGTGGCTCATGCCTATAATCCCAGTACTTTGGGAGGCCGAGGCAGGCAGATCACAAGGTCAAGAGATTGAGACCATCCTGGCCAACACGGTGAAACCTCCTCTCTACTAAAAACACAAAAATTAGCTGGGCGTGGTGGTGCATGCCTGTAGTCCCAGCTACTCAGGAGGCTAAGGCAGGGGAATCACTTGAACCCAGGAGGCAGAGATTGCAGTGAGCTGAGATCATGCCACTGCACTCCAGCCCGGTGACAGAGTAAGATTCCATCTCAAAAAAAAAAAAAGCCAGGGCTTTGGAGTTAGGCCTAACAAAGTCTGAATCCTAATTCTGCTACTGATATACTCAGTGATCTTGGCATGCCACTTATTCCTCTGAGCCTGTTTCCTCACCTGTGGAATGTGAATGCTATACAATATAGCACCTGATGTCCAGTAAACAATAATGAGTCTCCTATGAAGTCTTCTCTGAGTCTCCTATGAAGAACAGCCAATGCTGTGGGTACCTGGGGTCTCAGGGTTGCTCTGGGCCTGATCATCCACTCAGATCTGTAAGGAGGATTTGCAGGATCCATTTAGAAAGATCCTCCCTTACTTCCACAAGCATGGCCTTTGGCTCTTAAATACCTGTGCTGGGGTTTTGTAATTATAGAAACAACAGGAACCAAAACTCATTAATGTTGAGCTACAAACCAGAGGGAAGCTTCTTTCTCAAAACAGGGCTCAGGCCTAGAAAAATCTAGTTTTCTGAAATCGCTAGCCAGCAACAGCACTGAGATGGCCATCCCAGAAACAAGGCCAACACAGAAGCACCCATAAAGGCTGCTGGAGGTTGGGACAAAGAGATCCTTGCTGTCCTTACAGACCCCCTGACTTCCAAGGAGCTCCCCTCTCACCCAGCCTGGCCTGCCTTCTCCACAGGGTAGCTGATCGTCAGCATCATCTTCAATGGTGTTGTCAAGAGCACTCAGTGCTCCTGCCATCCCTGTCCATCTCCACATGAAAGGAGAGGTTAGCACTCCAGCCTGGGCGACTGAGCAAGACTCCATCTCAAAAAAAAAAAAAAAAAAAATAGAAAGGAGAGGTTAGGAAGGAGATGAAGCCTGAAAGCACTGGGAGGACACCCCAGCATAGGGGAACACAGAGACACGTGAAGCCAGGGAGAAAACCAGTAGTACAGATAAGAAATGGAAGAAAGCAATGACAGGAAGAGAGACAAAGAAACACAGAAAGAAATAAACAAAAATGCAACAAAGAAGGTTTTTAAAAGCAAATCAAAAAATAAGAGTATAACAAAAAGGAGGAGAGCAGCGAAGAAAAGAAGTAATGGAAGACGCTATGAGGACAAGAGACCATCCCTAGATTCCAAGCTGCTTGGTTCACTGTTCCTTCAGAGGGGGCAAGGCCTAGGCACAGCGAGGAAGAAGGCATGCAGGGAGGGGAGGTGCCATCTCCACCCCCATTGTCCTTCCCCTCCTCAGGTCTGGTCCATCAGGGAAACCTAGGACACAGGCTCAGGGGCATTTGTAGAAAGAAGTTCCAGAAGCTGTCAGATTTCAATACATCCATCCTGCCCTCCACTGCCAGGTGCCACCTCAGGTGTTCCCAGGCCTGCTCCTCTCCCCCAGAGATGTGGCTTCAGCTGCCAAGCAATTCCTATCAGTCTTGTCATTCTCAGTTGCCCTTTCCCTAAGCTCTGTGTGTTTCCCTCTGTATTTGACACATTTGGGGGCACCCCAATCTTTTTCTTGAGGCCTCTGGGGCTAAACTACACTTTTTGCATTTCTGAGAACTCAGAGAATAAACAGCAGAGGCCTAAAACCATGGACTGGTCTTGAATCCTGGAAATATCTTGGTTATTTGCAAAAGGAACCTCACCATGCCTCTCTCTTCTCTTGCTGTCCCCTTCTGTGGAGGGGGCGGGTGGCTATGAGAGGACTTGGCCTGGCACTCTCTCCCTCTGTGGACCATTCCTGTCTCCTCACCTTCCAAATCACATGGAAGAGGCACAGTAAGTACTCACAGAAGATGACCCAGTAGAATCCCAAGTCATTAGTGAGGGGCTTGGGCCTGGACCAAGGGGGAAGCCTGATCCCAAGTCCCTCCCCCTTCTCACCCCAATGGGAGAAGGCTTGAACCTAAGTCCACATCCTTTCAGTTAAAATGAGCAGGAGCCAAACTTGTCATTGTTTCCTAACATGTGCTCCTACAGCAAAAAGGCAGGGGTGGCTCTAGAAGGCGAAAAAGCAAAGAGGGCACTTCGCAGTGCGGTGGTGAAACCCAGAGTCAGAAAGTCTCCAGAGGATGAGGCTCCTGGCATCCCCAGCTCTGTGGGGAGGAGGAAAGGGTCTTAATGGGCAGTCATTCTGAGCAGAAACCCCAGTGTCGGGCCCAGGAAGAGCGGGATGAAAGGGGGAGGGAAGCCCGCTGGTAGCCAGGCGGAGCCAGAAAAATAGGAGGTGCAGAGCGAAGGCCTCTGCTAGGCCGCTGGCCTGCCACCTGGGCCCAGAGCGACTTCTTGCTGTGCCACACCCACTAGCTGCCATGTTCATTCCTCAAAACCTGAGATTTCCCCTCAAAACACAGATGGGGGATGCGGGAATCAGTCTGGCCAGCCAGTCTGGCTCCGGTGTTCATGGCCAGGGCAGCCTAAGTCACTCATGGCTTCTTAGCTGCCCTGAAGGCTGAAATACAGAGCATCTTTGAGGACATCTGCTCTATCTGTGGGAAGGAGGACAAAATGCTCAAACTATAATAAAAGCAAGGGCCAGGACCCAAAGGGGTCTCACTCCCTGTTTCTCTGGACTCTCTGTGGGGTGCCTGTGTGCAGGATTTCTGCAGAAGATAGTCCATTTTGTTAAGCCTTTGAATATTCAAATTGAAAGTATCGCGCAATCATTGATTGTCAAATCATGGGTTTCTAGAGGTTTTAAATACTTGGCATGAGGGGGAAAAAACTCAAACCTATACCCGAAGGTATAAAACATTAATTCTGTTTGTCTCCTGTTCCAGGGACCTGGGTGCAGCCGGATGCTTTGTGAAATTTTAAAAATGTTGCATCTCTGCTTCTCTCCCTGCCCCAGGAGCCCTCCCAGGCGCTGAGTCCCTGCTGCTGCAGCATCCAGCCACCGACCCAGCTCCTGCTGACCACGATGTCGGGTAACTCGGCTGCTTCTCCTAGGGTCGGGTCAGGCGGGCCAGGGGCATTTCAATCCGGGTGTGTTTCCACGGCTTTTCCTGCATAGAACAGAGAGGCACAAAGTCAAGGCATGCGAGTAAGGGCCGGGGATCCGGAGAGGACGCGAGCCACGCTGTGGCCGCTCCCACTCAGCGCCTGTCCCGGAGGGCAGAGGCCCAGAGGCCGAGTTGGCCGCTCCGGACGTCCGCGTACCCCAGGCCCCCGCCCGCCCTCCCACGTATCCACTGTTGTGTCCTGAGACACGCGGTGCGGACCCTGCGCGCCCAGAAGCTGCTACGGGGGGAGCTAGAGGCTCACAGTGAGCCTGGGACGGGGGCAGAGCGCACCGACTGCACTGAGCCGAGCTGTGGCGGTCCCTGCGCGGACCCCGAGGGGCGCCCGCTGCCCGCGGAGTCCGGAGCCGATCGGGGAACGGGGTGGTGGGGCTGCGGTAGGCTGGAGCGCGGAGAGGGCGCGGCGCCTGGGCCCTGCGGGCGGGGCACGGGATTCCCTGGGTCCGGGCTAGGAAGAGCGCAATCTCCTTTCCTGGGGAGACCCTAACTCCTGGAACCCGGCTTGAGGGGGATCCCTGCTGTCCAGCTGCGGTCCCCGCAGTGACCAGGCGAGGCGCTGGCATCCTGGCACTATCTCCAGGCGTCCAGGCTGAACGCGCGGTCACCCTCGGCCGCCGCACCCAGCGCACTTCCCGGCGCGATTCCTG
Organism: Homo sapiens; assembly: GCF_000001405.40. Taxonomy (NCBI): domain Eukaryota; kingdom Metazoa; phylum Chordata; class Mammalia; order Primates; family Hominidae; genus Homo; species Homo sapiens. The sequence continues at coordinate 111,299,329 of NC_000011.10, forward strand.
GACGCACACTGCAGGGTAGTGGTCAGGGCCGGAGCCGCCCCGGACTCCTGCGGCCACCTCCACCTTGAAAGCTCGCCCGGCTCGGCTTGGCCTAACAGCCAGTCCCCAACCTACTCACTGCGGCTTTTCGGGGCCCGGGGCTGAGGCTGCCCCTGCTCCCAGCGCTCAGGGGTCCCTCCCAGCGAACCCCTCTTGAGCGCGCCCGCCACCTCCCGCGAGCCGGGGCAGTCCGACCGGGCCCCGCCAGCCCCGGGGCGGCCCCTACCGAAGGGCGGCCTCCCGGCGGAGTGCAGGGTCATCGGGAGCCCCGGACGGCTTTCCCCAGCTCGCGCTGCGCGGACTCGCCCCGGAGCCTCAGTGCGCCTCGGAGAAACGCCTGCCCCAGAAAGGGAGGGGGTAGGGAGAGAGGGGAAGAAGGGGAGAGTAGGAGCGGGGGCGAAGGAGGGAGGAGGGCAAGATGGAGCGCGGAAAAGGCGGAGAAAAGGGACGAGGGAGAGCGGGCAGAAGGCAAAGACAGAAGGGAGCGAGGGAGGGAGTTCCTCGGGCCTGGCCCCTTTACTAGGTCAGTCTGGCAGGTACCTCGCCGGCCCAGGACGGGGCTGGCCAAACCTCACCGCTTGCTCCCGGGCTGGCTTCCAGACCAAGGGCACGCAGAGGTCGGAGCCTGCCCAGAAGCCACACCTGGCCAGGCGGAGAAGGAAGGGACTCGGGACTTCCATGCTAGTGGGAACATCACAGTGGGGTGGGCTACGTCAGCCGCCATAATCAGAGAAAGCCCCCTGCCCCAGGCCTGGCCCCTCCCCAGGTCCATAATACCCTCTCTCTCGGCTGTCTGGGTCTGAAAGCCAAGGTTCCCCCGACCTAATCAGAGTGGTGGGCTCCGCTGCACTGGTCTCCATATTCCAGAGCAGAAAAACCCGTTTGCTATTGGCCTAGGACTGAGGCCCAGCCAGGGGTGGATGGCCCCACAAATTTCCACGGATTCTTTTCCTACTGGGGCTCTGAAACCTGCTCAGCTACTCTTCATTCTTTCAAGTTTGAAATGTTTGGGTTTTTACCATCCTTTGACATTTTTTGTGTGTGTTCTCCGAACTTAGAAACTTGGCTTTGGGTGCCATAGCCTATAAAAGGGGCCCCCACTCTGCACCCTGGCACCCAGACCTTGGACTCGACCACTGACTCAGTTGCCTTTCTCCAGAAAAACCGAAGGTGTATCAAGGTGTCCGAGTGAAGATCACAGTGAAGGAGCTGCTGCAGCAAAGACGGGCACACCAGGCGGCCTCCGGGGGAACCGTAAGCATAAGCCCTTCCCTCATTCCCCAGCCCATGCCAGGCCTCTTTCAAAGCTGTGTCTGCAAGGTGTGGAGGCCACTCAAGGCCCCACGCACTCACCATTCCCAGACCTGGCCTTCCTCTGCTGTTCCTATGACTTCTGTACCCAGCTGCATCCCAATCGGGAAGCTACAGAGGACAGCTGGGGCATGTTGTGGGGCTCAGGATTTGGGGGAGCCCATCCATCCCCCATGGGTGAAAGTAAAGTATAAAAAGTGCGTTGGTCCTCTGCAGGGGGAGGAGCGGCCAGCAGGTAAGTATACATCGTTTTGTTAGGAAGACAGTGGATATATGTACAGCCCTTGCAGACCCATAGAAAATCTCTCCCAGAAATTCACCTCATTTTAGGGGCCCCTTCCAGGATAGCATCTGTGTGGAACATCCTCCCTTCCCTCCTCATTCTTCTGGAACTCACCCTCTGAGATCATTTATCTGTAAATCATCAGTTACCTAAAGTATCTAGCAGAAAAGGGCCCTGTCTCTGCAGAAGAGACAGCTGGAGTACAGGACCACTTCCCTAAAATGTATCAACACCTTAAGCAGTTTCAGGTTATTACAAAATTGAACTGAGCAGTCATAAGGGTATACCCTGACACTTTATACACCTTCCTACGGTAAGTACTGCCAAAGGCACTCAGGGCAGCAACAGAACCAAATAAACTAGGTGGGGTTATTGCCCAAGAGAGGGCAGCTCATCCCTAAAAAGCCTCAATCATACAATTGCTTGGGGGTTGGTTTGGGTGTGAACATAGGATCTGACAGCTGGGGCTCATATTGCCTCTGTTAGGATTGGTCCTTCTCCAGCCCATTGGCATCTGCCCCACAACAGTTTTTGTGCCTGATGCTGTTCATGTGCAATGTGTGACTTCATGAAATAGGCCTTTGACAGCGGGACTTCTTGAAATGGGAGGGGGCAAATGATGTAGGGGAGGTAAACACAGGTTCCAGAACCAGATGGACTGGGCTCAGATCTCAGTTCCTCCATGGTGTGTATCCTCAAGCAAATTACCCAATTCCTCTTGCCTCTGTTTATTCGTCTTCAAATTGGGGATGATAGGATTTTGTGAGGGTTAATCGAGTTATTGCATACAAAGCCGTTAGAAGAATGCTTTCCACATAGTGAGTGCTCAATAAATGTTAGTTGTCATTATTTGAGAAATAATAATATTATCTGGGGAAAGCAACTAATATTCCAACCAAGGATTGAAAGCCAGCTATTTGGTAATGTTTGTTCACACCCTTTGCTCAGAGTTTAGAGTTCAGATGCGAGCCAGCTGCAATTTGGCATATACAGCACATGCAGCTGGAAAAGTAAGGACCTCCATGTGCAGAATTTCAGGTAACGCATTAACACTCCCTTACATTTCTAGAGGACTTCACAGTGGTTCTTCTTTTAAAGCACTTTTGCACAGCCACTATTTCATTTAGTTTTTATAACAACCAGCGGAGGTAAGTAGATCAGAGATCTGTACCTCGATTACAGGCAAAATTCAAAACCTTGAAGTTGCTCATGGCAACGCTAAAAGTAGGACTAAGGTCTTTTTCTTAGTGTAATATAAAAACCCTTCTGTTGGCTCTTTATGCTCTAAATTCATCATTCTGCAGATCTGACGATACTAAGCAGGAGTCTGATAGCCTCAACCCCTTCAGTTCAGAGATGGTTATATAATTAACAAAACCAGGTACAAGGGAACTGGAAAATGCTTCTGGAGAAAAACATCATCAAGACTTTCATAATAAAATGTAACGTTTCCTTAAGGAGCTTTGGTACTTGCTACAGTTCTGCTCAGCTGCACCTGGAGAGCCCCATGTGAGTGTGGCACTTCTGTTGCTGCTGGGCCCTTACAGATGGGTGTGGCCACTGTTCCCTTCTTAGCTCGCTACAGGAGCTAATGTGAGGGTAACACACTTCACTTGTGTATCTGACCAGTTTCTGTTCCCCGGAGTAGTTTGACTTATTTAAATTTTTCTGAATTCCCTCCTGAGAAATAAAGCAGGACTTCTGAACCAGTGTCTTATAGGAACAGGCAGAGTAAAGCCTGCTCTACTTTGCTTCCCTTAAGACTGCATCAGCCTATGCCCTCGCAAGCAAGCAGGTTTAACACGCATATAATTTAATTACAAAAGCCAGACGTAAAATCCCTCACTGGAAGCCATCGGATGGATCTGGGATTCTAAAGAAGCTGTGAGAGCGTACTTAGTAGGCAAGGGTAGCAGACACCAGGGGATGATGTTGCCTGCTTCTTAGTGTAGACCTTTCTGGTATAACAGAGATGATCCCCAGTTTGTTCATTTGTTGAAGGATGCCTCTGGGAAACTTTAAGCCAAGGAGAGGGTTAATTATATCAAATACTACAAAGTGGCAAGAAATCTATCTTAATTTGTTATAAAGTCAGTGTAGTATCCACAATTTAAAATTTTAAGAAGGCAATCACGAATGGAAGTTATAGGTTGAGACAGACATTCAGTAAAGAATTCAAATATTCTTCAAGCAGTGCCGGAAGAAACTGTGTGTATGCCGGATTGGAACACTCGATTTTAAAAAACTTATTTCAGCCAGATCAATTTGCAAACATGCGCATGCACGCACACACACAGACACACACACACTTGCCTTTGGGGTAAAAGGAAACTTGAGTTAGTCGTTATCAAAAGATATCATTTACCTTTCTTTTTTTAAATCATTAATTTTTTAAACAGCCTTGATGTGTTTTTATAAATTGTAGACTGTGAATTTTTGTGCTGTTTGAAATCTAAGAGAGAGTTGCCTTTCTTTGTATTCTTGGAGCAAAGTAGAAAGTGAACCCATGACTAGAAAGATAATATCAAGTAGGATATTGTAAACACACCTCAGGGAGATAACATGGGGTGGAGGCAGACAAACAGGCCAATCCGGGGGAGGAATGGAGTTAAGGAAAGCTCTACAATGAGGCAGATTTTTTAATACCCACTCCTTCCAAGTCCTTCAGCTCAAGCTGCAGCCAAATATTTGCATAAAGAGCTGGTAAAGGATTCCAGCTTCCTGGTTCATGACATTACAGCATGGATCGTTTTCAAAATTAATACTGCCTCCTGTTTCAGCAGTGGCTGCCTGCACAGCTCTCCCTGTGGCTCAGAGTATGGGAGTGAGTATGCCCTGTAACCCAAAAGAGGTGTGGTGAGCTCGGCTTCCCAGCACAGAATCACAGAGCAATACGGGTACCTTTAAACTTTAAAGCCACACCTGAAATTTAAAAAAAAAAAAAAAATCCTAAATTACTCAGTATAATTATTAATTCAACTGAAAAATGCAGGCTGCTTTACTTTGAATAGTTAAAAAGAGCAGTCTCATAAACTTTTAAGTATTTAAATACAGTAGTTTAAATAAAAGCAACTTTTATAGATAGTAGTACAAAACATACAAAGTACTGGAATAATTCCCGACCATTAACTAGAATGAAAGTAGGTTCCAACTCACCAACCACAGCTTTAAGAAAATATTTTCTATTTTAATATTTCATGTATACTAAGAACATGTGAATATTTTTAGCTACTCAGAATTAACAAAATTAAGAATTGTGTTCTTTGGGGAAACGACTCCCTAAGGCTAAGTAGCCAGATGGTATATGAAATTTTTGAGAAAAATAATTGACTAAGCCATAGATAGTTGAGATTAAATAAATGTTAGTCCTTAATAATTTTAAATCGAATAGTTTAATAGGAAGCCTTTTGCTGCATTTTCTCAAACTGTTACATTTTTACCACATAAAATTATTTACATTAATTTTTTACTAAAAATTAATCACTTTTAAAATTTAAGTAGAAGAATCTGATATTAGGAAAAAAACTCCCCAAGCAAGCAAACATAAATATTGGATCTAGATAAAACATAATATTGGTTGTATTTAAGAAGTCTGTTTTATGATTCGATTTCAGGTTTTCATTGTTCCAATGCAATTTTCCAGATTGAATCTTAAAAGGATTATAAACGTCAAAAGGCATTTTAAATTCTACACGGACTTAATACACCTACCGCAATTCTATGCACCTGTCTTTCAAATTCTATAAAATATTTGTTGACACTTTCCCTTTCACTTGTTTTTTACAATATATTTTGTACAAAAATTTGTCAAACATTGAAAAAAAAAAAGAAAGCAACTTTTTCTGAGAAGGAAGAATCTGGCTTACCTTATAGCAGAAAGAAACATAGTCCTCATCAAAATGTCTTAGCTTTCCCTTCAGAGCATTTCTTTCAGCCTGCTTCACGGTGATATTCTTGCTTTGACAGCGGTCCGGAGGCAGCAGTGTCCACCTTTCAGACCCAGTTGCACCATCTTCTGCAGGTCAGTACAGCCAGCATTAACAGTTCCCTCAAACACTCTTTCAAAAGTCCATCTCAAAAGTCTTTCAGTCTTGATTCAGGGGTTAAGATAGGCACCACCATTTAATTGGAATCCAACCAATCAGAAGGTGAAAAAGGCATAGTCACTCCACATGCAAGCCCAGCAAGAAAACAAGCATAAATGTTGTCTTCATTTCTGAATTCTCTACTCTCTGCTATATTGTCTCAAGAGTTTGTTCTTCACATTTATTCCAGTTCCTCATCGCCAAGTAACTAAACTGAACTACAAAATCAGAATTGTTCTCAGGAACTTATCTTTTTTTAGTGCACTGTTAGATGGAATACAGAACATCCCAAGACACTCAAATAATGCCTTTGCTCTGTTCCTTTAGTTTCCAGCCGACAGGGGCTTCCCTCCCCTTCTCTGTTCCCAGAAAGCAGTTCAAACAAGTGTAGGTTTTCTCAGCCCAATAAGAATAACTCGATTACATAAACACTCCTACCTCTGCTACTCAACAGCTAAGAGTTTAAGGAGGTCGTATATAAGGAAACCTCTGCCTATGGCCTCTCCCCACTAAATGTGTCACCGTAGCTTCACCTTAAAGGAACTTGAGACCTCAAGAAGAACACAGTGTCCTTTAGTCCCTTTGATGAGCACACTCTAATCCTCTCTTCTTCCAGCATTTACAGATAATTATCACAAATTGGGCCTATTAATAATAAAATGGAAAAGGAGTAATGTTTACTGATTATCTTTGTTTGATGTTTAACAACTTACTTTGATCACATCATGATGTTAACATGTTCACTGAGAAAACATTTTTGCTTTTTGTACTTCCGAGCCAATAGTGTTAATTGGTACTCTATGTTCCTGGTTTCCATGATTATCATTTGCATTCTCATTTAAATCACTTCTCAAAATTCTCTCCTCCAAACTTAAGTTACTGAGTAAGAGTGAAAAGTTCAAAAAAGCAATCACCATAAGTCAAAAGAATTATTTCCCGTAGCATCAGAAGTTTTCTCAAAGCCTCAACAACTTTGTCAGTTACTTCTGAGAGGTTTACGTGAACTGCCGGTAGGGGCTGGATGTCCATGGTTTTACAGCCCAAGAAAGGGGAAGTTTGAGCCATTATTTGACTGTGACACTTGGACACAAATTGGGTCACCATCCTTTTATTTTTGCCCTAACCAGTTTTACAGCCAGTTTCCACATTATTAACCATGTTCATTTCCCTGGAGCTTGAATTAGCTAGGACAACTAAAGAGTCAAAATTGCATTCCCGTTTACTTTTCTGGATTTGTTAAGCCCCCTTTCCCCCTAGACATAGTAAATATTCAGAGTATAGATCTCCATTCAAATCTGTGTTTTGCAATTTTTATGCAAAAACCTGCCTTTTTCCTTTCTCCTCTAGGACTGTATTTTGAGCCTGAACCAATTTCTTCCACGCCCAATTATTTGCAACGGGGAGAATTTTCCAGTTGTGTTTCATGTGAAGAAAACTCAAGCTGCCTCGACCAGATCTTTGATTCCTACCTTCAGACAGAGATGCACCCGGAGCCTTTGCTCAATTCCACACAAAGTGCTCCACACCATTTCCCAGACAGCTTCCAGGCCACCCCTTTCTGCTTTAACCAGAGCCTGGTAATTTTTCTCAGTTCTTTATATACCTGATTGTGTCTAACTATGGGGTAATAGTGCTTTGTGAGTTTGCACCATCCCGTGGGAAATCATACAAAAACTATCAGCAAGGAAATCATCCAAGGAAACAAGCAGAGAAGAATTTAAAAGTCAATGTATAGAAGTAGCCACACACTGCAGGGCATAAACCTTTGGATACACACGTAATTTAGATTTCCCAAGATTTAGATTTTTCGGCCACCAAGTAAGTTGGTGGGTAGCAATAAAAAGAGGTTCCTGGCAATATTCATTTAATGTTTTTTAAACTGTAAAGTCAAGAGACCTACTAATTGGAAGTCAGTGGTTTAAACAATGGCTCTTGGATTTTTTGATGGAATTTTGAGTTCTTGGAAATGGAATTAAGGCTGTGTATATATGGTAACAAACTTCATTTCATTAGGGGGAGGTTTTGCTTTGTTTTGTCATTGAACTGGCTCTACTAACTGATAGTTTGAGTCTGCTATAAGCACAATAACTCATTTGGGTCTGAGATGGTTAGTAAAAATGAAGCCGTAATCTTTGAAAAAAATTAAATTGGTTGTTCTCGGTGGATCTCAAATGTTTGAAAATGTGTTATCCTTCAAAATGAAGTAAGGTTTCTATTAGTGGAAACTAGTTATTTCAGTTGTCTTTTAGAGACTCACAGGTTTGTTTTGTAAACCTTAAATTGTAAAGTTTTCTTTTTTAAGGAATGTAAATACTTTTTGCCTTTGGATTGTCAAAAGTCTGTGTGGGCATCAGACTAAATTTTAGAGCGGATGGGAAATTAACTCTGCAGAATATGCACATTGTCACGGGGAAAATATGGGGCCCCAGTGACCCAGTTCCTTCCCAGCCTCCAAGTTAGGTTTTCTCAGTAACAATTGTAGACTTGCTTAAGAGAAAACAGACAGTAGCTCTCACTCCAGGGAACAAGACTTTAGTGGCGAGACAGGTAGTGACACATCTTGGCATATGCCAGGGATACTCCAAGATCCTTGAAGATCCAAGTTATGCCTTTGCATGATCACCTGATTCTTCATGGTGAGGGTGTGGAGAAACATCCAGGGTGCCACCTACAGCTTAGATTGTGGCATACAGCAGGATTTGATATGCAGGTGACTTGAAGCACAATGGGATTTTGTGGTTTCAGAACGAGCACCCTCTAAAGTAGGATTATAACAAAGGAAGCCAGTGAAGCAAGGCAATTTATTGTTTGGAAAGAAATAGGTAACTATAGATTGTGGTGTCATGAAATCATGTAGTCAGCAAATAAAATTACTTCTGCAGACTTGGGTTGGGTGTTGTTTCGTTTGATTTGGTTTTTTACCCCTCATTTTCTCACTCTGCATTGGTAAACCCACACTGTTCAGTTCTTTGATCCTGTCTAAGTTATTAAGCTCTTTGTTTCTTGGTTGTCATTTCTCTAGATCCCAGGATCACCTTCAAATTCCTCCATTCTCTCTGGCTCCTTAGACTACAGTTACTCGCCAGTGCAGCTGCCTTCATATGCTCCAGAGAATTACAATTCCCCTGCTTCTCTGGACACCAGAACCTGTGGCTACCCCCCAGAAGACCATTCCTACCAACACTTGTCCTCACACGCCCAGTACAGCTGCTTCTCCTCGGCCACCACCTCCATCTGCTACTGCGCATCGTGTGAGGCAGAGGACTTGGATGCTCTCCAGGCAGCAGAGTACTTCTACCCGAGCACAGACTGTGTGGACTTTGCCCCCTCAGCAGCCGCCACCAGTGATTTCTATAAGAGGGAAACAAACTGTGACATCTGCTATAGTTAATAGAAATTACAGTAATTCAGAACATGGCATGGGTATATCTATTTTTCTACCACGTCTAGATGACACTGCAAAATATGCAACTTGGTAACACAATATCCCAAGCACAGTTTACATGTCACTATTTCCAATTTTCTGATGCTAAGCATTCATATGAAGTCCTCAGACCCGGTCACAGCGCCACTCCTACTTTGTATGCTCATAGTTTAAATTTTTGTAGGAAACTTTCAATTGTTTTACTTTTTGTATAACGAACAAATGCTGTCTCCTTTTTTACTAATAAATAATTTTGTATTACTAACTGTTGGATTTTTTTTAATTTCCAGTAGTCATTTTTAATTGATTTGAACATTATCCATTAATTCTGGAAATTGCTAATTACTCTCAAGTGGTTTAATCTTATGGATTCATGAATTTAAAATTATTTTTATTTGGGCCAGGCGAAGTGGCTCACACCTGTAATCCCAACACTTTGAGAGGCTAAAGCGGGAGGGTCACCTGAGATGAGGAGTTTGAGACCAGCCTAGCAACATGGAGAAATCGTGTCTCTACTAAAAATACAAAAAAAAAAAAAAAAAAAAAAAAAAAAATAGCCAGGTGTGGTGGTGCATTCCCGTAATCCCAGCTACTCAGGAGGCTGAAACAGGAGAATCACTTGAACCCAGGAGGCGGAGGTTGCAGTGAGCCGAGATCGCACCACTTCACTCCAGACTGGGCGACAAAGCAAGACTCCATATATATATATATATATTCATTTAAAATGCAGTGAGACACCTTGGCTTCCATGGGATGGAGGGTAGGCACAGCTAGGATGTTGGAAAAGGGAAACCCTGCCTCACCTCCAGATGAGGGGGTACATCTTAGAGCAACATCACGAAAATGCATTTATGAACCATTAGTTTCTCTTATCTAACATTAGTCAATGAAGTGTTAGGACGACCAAAAAGCTCATGTTGCCTGCAGCTATGTTAGCCTGTAGATCATTCTTTTTCCTTTCCAAAGCATTGCTTTGGAAACTTTCTGAGCAAATAGTTGATCTTTTCCTTGAGAGCTGCCATACAGTTAATGCAGCCCAAAGTTTAGAAGTCATTATTTTCTATTTCTGAATTTTTGGCTTTAGGTTCTTAAATATACATCACTTTTGTTTACACGTTGATTTATAGTATTGACTATGTTGTTTACACTTGAATTTTAGAGTTTGCTTCCTCTGATTAATCTATTTGAAGAAGCCCAGCTGTCTTTCAAGGTAAAGAGGAGTTATTTAATCTACCTATGTGGGACTAGACTGTTGAATCTTGTTTGCTGAAGGCATTAAGGCACAGGACTTAATCTCTGAAGTGAAGTCTGAAGAGCCTTTGCCACATCTCAAGTGCCAGTACAATGGCAGCAATACTGGTACCTTCAGCATTGGCCACAGGTACCATTTTCTGAGCACGTCCTATGTGCCAGAATTATGTAAGAGTATTCTCACTCGTTATCTGATTTAATCTTCACAATACTGACAGCAAAATGAGGAGTCTGAGGCTCTGGGAAGTTAGTTCACCTGTCCAGTGTCACCCAGCCTGTAGGCACCCAAGCTTGGGTCAGAAAGATAGCAAAGCCCTGTTCCTTCCTCTCCAGGGCTGGGAAGTTTGAGCCACCATTCGTGAAAGACCATTCAGGAACCCATGGCATCATTAAATGCCAACTTCCTCATATACACAAAGGTGTGTCCCAAAAACAATTCAGTCAGACCTCGCCAAAAGGGCCGGATTGTCCATAGGACACAGAGATGCCAGGCACAAGAGCTACCAGATTATAGGTCCTATACTCTGGGGACTCAGGAAGAAACTGACTCACCACCACTTCAGTGTGTTTCTTCCTACCAGGAAACAAATATGCTTTGGAAATGTCACCATCTGACCACCCTCCCTGGGGACTCAACTAAGGCTTGGGCAAATAGAACAAGTTGCAGCCTGCCCCATGGGATAATCGTGCCAGGGAAACAGAACAATTGCTGCCTTTCTGAGATGCCAGTAAAACTAGATTTTTAATGGCTTGAAACTAGCCTCTTGTCAGCAAGTATCTATTCACACAGACCAAAGACCCTTCATACTGTTCACCCACCACCTCACCCCCAGCAAGTGTTCCCAAGATATAGAGAGCAGAGAATCCAAAGCTGTCTAGTGGTTGGCACCAATATACCCCTTTTCTAGATGCCATTCTTTTTTTATTCCCCATGTCAGTCCTGTGGCACCTGAATCAATTCTCTTGCAGCTTAAACAGAGAGCATTTTTCTACCTCCTTAGGACTTACTCTTTCCTCGCACGCTCCTAGTTTTTCCCTAAATCTAGTGCAGAAAAGGATTCATAGAGGAATGTGAGACAAGGGTGAGCACAGCTCCTGTGCATCACGATGTGTAACTCCACCTTAAAACCGTCATTAAGAACTTGCTAGAAATTTGGGCCAATGGGTAACCTGGTGCATTCCTAAGTGGGTGGACACTGCCCACTCAGTCTCTCAGGTGCTGCAGCTCACACAGAACACCTCAGGAGCCCTGTAGCCTCAGGCAGCACATCCATCAGCAGCACGTCTCATCAATATATACTGTGGCATCTGGTAAAACCCGGGTGCTTACACCTCTGTGTGAGAAAGAGCAATTCAATAAATCCAGGGTGGGGCCCAGGCATCTGCATGTTCTAAATGTACCTAAGTTGATACTTTCTGTTTTTTGTTTATCGTGTGTAAATGTATGTGTGTGTGCGTGTGTGTGTGTGTGTGTGTGTATGATGGAGTCTCACTCAGTCACCCAGGCTGGAGTGCAGTGGCCCAGTCTCAGCTCATTGCAACCTCCACCTCCTGGGTTGAAGCAATTCTCCTGCCTCAGCCTCCCCAGTAACTGGGATTACAGGTGCATGCCACCACGCCTGGCTAATGTTTGTATTTTTAGTAGAGGCGGGGTTTCACCATGTTGGCCAGGCTGGTCTCGAACTCCCGACCTCAGATGATCCACCTGCCTCGGCCTCCCAAAGTGCTGGGATTACAGGCATGAGCCACCACGCCCGGCCTAAATATACCTAAGTTGATTCTGATAGAGATGATCTTCTGTTTACACTTGAAAAACACTGACATAGTCAATGTCCAGATTGTTTACTTGAAGAACCAGCAGCACAATAATAATAGCTTTACATGGATTAAGCTTTTTCTATGGTCCGGTGCTGTGCAGATTATCTCACTTAATCCTCAAAAAAAAATCACACAAAATATGTGTTATTGTCGTCCTCATTTTTATAGATGATGAAGCTGAAGTTTGGAGAGATATGATAACTTGCTCAATATCACAGCACTGATATACCAGGAAAAGAGTTCTCTAACACAGGTGATCCGATGTTACTGCCTGAATTTCCAATGGCCTCAGTATACTTTCCATGCATTATACACGGAAGAATAATCTTCTCTGGAATTTTATCTTTTGCCTTAAATGTCACAGGTATATCTACAACCAGTTCCTCATACCACAAATGCATTTGATAACATTATAAATGGAAGTTTACATGAAGGAATATATTTTGTTATTCAGAACCATTATGGAAATCAATAATCCACAAAATGTGAATTTAGTGCTTGCCATATGCAAGACTGATTACATGTTACATGCCTTCAAAATGCAAAGGCAAAGGTTAAAAGGGGATGTGATTTTAAAAATTTAAAATTATGAGGATTTCAGGCAGGATGGGCATGGACAGATTTTAAAATTCTTAGAAAAGTTTAGTTAGGAGTCAACTCTTGAAGCTCGAGAGAGAGGAGACAAAGCTGAAGGTAGTAAACATTTGGAAACTATTATCTCAAGAAATTTCCAGAGCATGACATCTTGGCAGCTGGCCTAAACCAGCAGGTGAACACTTGGGAGCAAGGTATAGACAGATAAGGATAACTGAAATGATGGAGTCAGGGAGGGGAGGCTACCTATGGATAAAAAATGCTTTTAAAAATCACTCTTTACTCTAGAAAGATGAAGACTGAAAAGGGTTAGGATCAAAGCTAGTGAAATTGTGAATAATTAGGTGAAAGTAAACATGAACTTACCATTCTTTCCAAATCCTCGCAACCTACGTAACTAACCCCATAGCAACTCACTGGTGAGGCTTTTCTGAGAAGCCCCCCTCATGGCTCCCTCCTCCTCCTACAAGTGACAGTATGGAGATGCCCTGCTAATAGCATTATTTGGTCAATGGGGTATCTCAGAGCCCTGGGGGCTAGATTTCGGGGTGGCCAGAGGGTGGCCATCCAGGGCCAGGTGGCTCTGTGCTTTAAGGCAGAGTAATTGACCTCATTTTTTATGCTTCTATAGGCCTCTGGGAAAGATGTAGAGGCTGGAAGATGAACAAACCTGAGACAACACAGCTTTGCAGGTAATAAAGCACCAAACTCAGTGAATACAGGAACCTGTGTCCATTAGGTCATACTTCAGAAAAGTTTCTTTTGCTTAATATGGATAGAGAACATACAGTTGTTATTTGAGAAATATGGAAGCATGTGTGTGTGTATGTGTGCGTGTGTGATCTTTTTCATTCTTTTTCAGACAAACAAATGCTGAGAGAATTCACCACTACCAAGCCAGCACTACAAGAACTGCCAAAAGGAGTTCTAAATCTTGAAACAAATCCTGGAAACACACCAAAACAGAACATCTTTAAAGCATAAATCTCACAGGACCTATAAAACAAAAATACAATTAAAAAAATCAAGGTATACAGGCAACAAAATCACAATAAATGGAATGGTACTTCACATCTCAATACTAACATTGAATGTAAATGGCTTAAATGCTCCACTTAAAAGATACAGAATCACAGAATGGATAAGAATTCACCAACCAACTATCTGCTGCCTTCAAGAGACTCACCTAACACATAAGAACTCACATAAACTTAAGGAAAAGGGGCGGAAAAAACATTCCATGCAAATGGACACCAAAAGTGAGCAGCAGTAGCTATTCTTAAAACAGACAAAACAAATTTTAAAGCAACAGTAGTTAAAAAAAAAGACCAAGAGGGACATTATATAACGAAAACAGATCTTGTCCAACAGGAAAATATCACAATCCTAAATATATATACACCTAATACTGGAGCTCCCAAATGTATAAAACAATTACTAATAGACCTAAGAAATGAGATAGACAGCAACACAATAATAGTGGCACTTCAATACTCCACTTACAGCACTAGGCAGGTCATTAAGACAGAAAGTCAACAAGGAAAAAATGGATTTAAACTATACCCTGAAAAAATGGACTTAACAGACATTTACAGAACATTCTACCCAACAACTGCATAATATACATTCTATTCAACAGTGAGTAGAACTTTCTCCAAGATAGACCATATGATAGGCCACAAAACAAGCCTCAATAAATTTTTTTCTTTTTTAATTTTTTTATTATACTTTAAGTTCTAGGGTACATGTGCACAACGTGCAGGTTTGTTACATGTGTATACATGTGCCATGTTGGTGTGCTGCACCCATTAACTTGTCATTTACATTAGGTATATCTCCTAATGCTATCCTTCCCCCCTCCCCCCACCCCACAACAGGCCCTGGTGTGTGATGTTCCCCTTCCTGTGTCCAAGTGTTCTCATTGTTCAATTCCCACCTATAAGTGAGAACATGCGGTGTTTGGTTTTTTGTCCTTGCGATAGTTTGCTGAGAATAATGGTTTTCAGCTTCATCCATGTCCCTACAAAGGACATGAACTCATCCTTTTTTATGGCTGCATAGTATTCCATGGTGTATATGTGCCACATTTTCTTAATCCAGTCCATCATTGTTGGACATTTGGGTTGGTTCCAAGTCCTTGCTATTGTGAGTAGTGCCGCAATAAATTTAAGAAAGTTTAAATTATATCAAGGATTCTCTCAGACCACAGTGGAATAAAACTGGAAAGCAACTTCAAAAAGAACCTTCAAAACCATGCAAATGCATGGAAATTAAACAACCTGATCCTGAATGATTATTAGGTCAAAAATGAAATCGAGATGGAAATTTAAAAATTCTTTGAACTAAACAACAATAGTGACAAAACCTATCAAAACCTCTGGGATACAGCAAAGGCAGTGCTAAGAGGAAAGTTCATAACCCTAAACACCTAAATCAAAAAGTCTGAGAGAGCACAAAAAATCTAAGGTCACACCTCAAGGAACTAGAGAAACAAGAACAAATCAAACCCAAACCCAGCAGAAGAAAGAAGATAACCAAGATCAGAGCAGAACTAAACGAAATTGAAACAAAAAAAAATACAAAAGATAAATGAAACAAAAAGCTGGTTCTTTGAAAAGACAAAATTAATAGATCATTAGCAAGATTAACCAAGAAAAGAAGAGAGAAAATCCAAATAAGTTCAATTAGAAACGAAGCAGGAAATATTACAACCGACACCACAGAAATACAAAACATCATTCAAGGCTACTATGAACACCTTCATGCACATAAACTAGAAAACCTAGAGGAGATGGATAAATTCCTGGAAATATACAACCTTCCTAGCTTAAATCAGGAAGAATAAGATACCTTGAGCAGACCAATAGCAAGCAGCGAGACTGAAACGGAAATTTAAAAATTACCAACAAAAAAATGTCCAGGACCAGAAGGATTCACAGCAGAATTCTACCAGACATTCAAAGAAGAATTGGGAGCAATCCTATTGACACTATTCCACAAGATAGAGAAAGAGGGAACCTTCCCTAAATCATTCTGTGAAACCAGTATTGCCCTAATACCAAAACCAGCAAAGGACATAACCATAAAAGAAAACTACAGACCAATATCCCTGATGAACACAGATGCTAAAATCTTTAACTAAATACTAGCTAACCGAATCTAACTACGTATTGAAAAGATAATCCACCATGATCAAGTGGGTTTCATACCAGGGATGCAGGGATGGTTTCAACATATGCAAGTCAAAAAATGTGATACACCATATAAACAGAATCAAAAACAAAATCACACGATTATCTCAATAGATGCAGAAAAAGCATTTGACAAAATCCACCATTGTTTTATGACTAAAACTCTCAGCAAAATCGGCATACAAGGGATATACCTCAATGTAATAAAAGCCATCTATGACAAACCCACAGCCAACATAATACTGCATGGGGAAAACTTGAAAGCATTCCCTCTGAGAACTGGAACAAGACAAGGATGCCCACTCTCATCACTCCTTTTCAACATAGTGCTGGAAGTCCTGGCCAGAGCAATCAGACAAGAGAAAGAAATAAATGGCATCCAAATCAGTGAAGAGGAAGTCAAACTGTTGCCGTTTGTTGGTGATATGATTGTTTACTTAGAAAACCCTAAAGACTCCTCCAGAAAGCTCCTAGAACTGATAAAAGAATTCAGCAAAGTTTCTGAATACAAAATTAATGTATACAAATCAGTAGCTCTTCTATACACCAACAGCGACCAAGCTGAGAAACAAATCAAGAACTCAATACCTTTTACAATAGCTGCAAAAATAAAATAAAATACTTAGGAATATACCTAACCAAGGAGGTGAAAGACCTCTGCAAGGAAAACTACAAAACTCTATGGAAATAAATCATAGATGACACAAACAAATGGAAACATCTCATGCTCATGGATGGGTAGAATCAATATTGTGAAAATGATCATACTGCAAAAGCAATCTACAAATTCAATGCAATTCCCATGAAAATAACATCACCATTCTTCACAGACTTAGAAAAAACAACCCCAAAATTCCTATGGAACCAAAAAAAGAGCCCACATAGCCAAAGTAAGACTAAGCAAAAAGAACAAATCTGGAATCATCACATTAACTGATTTCAAACTATACTATGAGGCCATAGTCACCAAAACAGCATGGTACTGGTATAAAAATAGGCACATAGACCAATGAAACAGAATAGAGAACCCAGAAATAAACCCAAATACTGCCAACTGATCTTCAACGAGGCAAACAAAAACATAAAGTGGAGAAAGGACATCCTATTCAACAAATTGTTCTGGGATAATTGGCAAGCCACATGTAGGTGACTAAAACTGGTTCCTCATCTCTCACCTTTTACAAAAGTCAACTCTAGATTGATCAAGGACTTAAATCCAAGACCTGAAATGATAAAAATTCCAGAAGATAACATTGGAAAGCCCCTTCTAGACATTGGCTTGAGAATAGACAATTATCAAAAGAAGATATACAAATGGCCAACAAACATAAGAAAATATGCTCAACATCACTAATGATCAGGGAAATGCAAATCAAAACCACAATGTGATACCACCTTACTCCTGCAAGAATGGTCATAATCAAAAAATCAAAAAAAATAGATGTTGGCACGGATGTGGTGAACAAGGAACACTTACATGCTGCTGATGGGAATGTAAACTAGTATAACCACTATGGAAAACAGTGTGGAGATTCCTTAAAGAACTAAAAGTAGAACTATCATTTTATCCAGCAATCCCACCTCTGGGTATCTACCAAGAGAAAAAGAACTCATTATACAAAAAAGATACTTGCATACAAAATGTTTACAGCAGCACAAATCTCAATTGCAAAAATGTGGAACCAACCCAAATGCCCATCAATCAACAAGTGGATAAAGAAACTGTGGTATATATATATATATATATATATATATATATATATATATATATACCACATCATATATATATATGATGAAATAATACTCAGCCATAAAAAGTAATGAACTAATGGCATTCTCAGCGACCTGGATGAGATTGGAGGCTACTATTCTAAGTGAAGTAACTCAGGAATGGAAAACCAAACAGAGTATGTTCTCACTCATAAGTGGGAGCTAAGCTATGAGGATGCAAAGTCATAAGAGTAACACAATGGACTTTGAGGACTCGGGGAAAGGATGGGAAGAGGGTGAGGTATAAAAGACTACAAATTGGGTGCAGTGTATACTGCTCGGGTGATAGGTACGCCAAAATCTCACAAATCACCCCTGAAGAACTTATACATGTAACCAAACACCACCTGTTCCCCAATAACCTATGGAAACAAAAAAAAATTTTTAAAAGAAAATAAAAGTTTATTTTGCTTAATATGGATAGAGAACATACAATTGTTATTTGAGAAATATGAAACAGAGAGAGAGAGTGTGTGTTTGTGTGTGTGTGTGTGTGTGTTCCACTAGTTACCACCTGGATAATCAGGAAGAAAGAGGAGACATCGGCCCCCTAACCTGTCACAATTGGACCTGGAATGCTAAAGCGGACCTGGAATGCTAAAGCTTACCTGGGACAGTCCTAGTGAAGCCACCACTTTCCCTCCTCCATTGTGTAATTCTTGGTTGATTATCTCAGATTTTGAGAGTATTTCCTCTGTGGGTTACTGAAGTTCTAGGATTATCCTGATGAAAGAAAAGGGGTGAATCCTGGAAAGGGATCAATTTGGGGATAGACATCACTTTCCCTAAAGGGGGATGGGGTAAAGAATTTCACTATTGCTGTACAAAGAAAGGAGTTCTCTGAAAGGAGGACTCATCAGAGGACATGGAACTGAATGAGGAATTGGAGTGCATCCTCAAATGGGCTCCCTGTGATTCTGGTATACCATAAGGCTTTCAGTGAAAGTATAGAGAATAAAGTGAAGAAACTGCAAAGGGCAGCATGGCCTGCCCAGTTCCTCCCTCTCTGCTGAGAATCATGTGGAGCTGGTAGCATCTTATTGCAGGGAGTTGCAATCAAGGGATCATAGGAAGTGATTGTCAGCCAGTGAGGGGTGGGTGGCTCATGGAGAAGGTCAGAGTCATGGCAAAGGGCATCCGTTGAGAAGATGCAGCTCCAGGACACAGGTAGAGGACAACAACGCTTGGGAGTGAAAGAGGCTAGAGCTTGGGTCACTCAAAGAAGGAGTAACTTTAGGACAAATTCAAGAAAGTTTTTATACAGCAGGTAATAAACTTAACATCTTACCCCTGCACACTGAACATGTAAATAGTTTCAAGAAGGGTTTAGATAAATTTAAGTGATAATATTTTAGGGCTGGAAAGGGATCTGGAGATCACCTACTTCAGTAGTTCTCAACCATGGCTGCACATTGCAATCACCTGAGGAGGTTTTAAAAAACATTGACGTCCAAGTCCCAGACTAATGAATCACAACCTTTGGGGTGGAACTTGGGCATTAGGATTTTTTTTAACTTTTTATTTTAAAATTGTAGGAAGTTGCAAAAATCATACATACAGTCTCATGTACCCTTCACCTAACTTCCCCCAGTGGTGATTATCATCTTAAATATAAATAAGACGATATCAAATTCAGGAAGTTGACATTGGTACAATGCTATTAACTAGACTACAGATTATTCGTCTTTCACCATTTTTTACATGCATGCATTTATGTGTTGTAAGGGTATGTGTCTCTATGCAATAAAAATTAGTATTTTTCACAAACTCTCCAGAAGATCCTAATTCACAGTAAAGGTTGAGAACTAGGGATCTAGTCCAGCCAATCCTCAGTTCACAGGTGAGGAAACTGAGTCCAGAATGGCAAAGTGACCTGCCCAAGCACACAATCATCTTTTGGAGGGAAGGCAGTGGACTTTCTTAGTCCAGTGTTCTTTGCTATGCATTAAGTTACCTCTGCTCCTTTATGGGTTACAGGTCACTAATGTGCTACTTAAGAAGAGCTGATTTCTTGGGGGCAGGGTCAGGAGGTAGAAGGGCAGTGTGCCAATTTTTTAGGTTGCCTTAATTAAAAGACAAACACAAAAACACAACTTTTGGTAGTTCTTCTAACGTTATAAGGTTATTGAATGACATTTCTAAAATAAATTCATAAAAAACATGGGCCCTGGTCAATAGTAAGCACCCTCCTTCCCAACTCCCACAACAATATTCATTAGTATTATTAGAGAATTCTGGCCTAGAGGGATCACGGGTTGGGCATCCTGTCGAAATTATTTTATTCTTTGGCTTTCTCCCACTGTGGCTCCTTTTATTTGCTCCACGTTGCAAAGGGACTTCTAGCAGCTGAGGTCAGCCTCCTGATCGTCACTCCACAGAATGAGGAGCCACGGTCAAGCTTGTTAATATGACCTCCTGCCATGCTGGTCCTGGGAATATTCCTCCCTCTCCACTGGCAGCATGCAGCCAGGCAAGTGCGAGAACTGACTTACTCTCTGTGGGACTTAATGTCTTCATCTGATATGCTTTCCTGGCCTGAACAAGACACAGAAATGTTTCTTCCTTCTACAACAGCCCTCTGTTGAAAGCAGCACATCCAGGGAAGTATGTCAAAGGACTCAATGGCTCCAGCCCAAGCTCTTCTCAGCCTAAATACTTCACCTGTCTCTAGAAATCCTTCTGTCAGAGGTGTTTGAACCAGAGCAACTCCATCTTGAATAGGAGCTAGGTAAAATAAGGCTGAGACCTACTGGGCTGCATTCCCAGCCGGTCAGGCATTCTAAGTCACAGGATGAGATAGGAGGTCAGCACAAGATACAGGTCATAAAGACCTTGCTGATAAAACAGCTTGCAGTAAAGAAGCCAGCCAACTAACATGGTGAAACCCCATGTCTACTAAAAACACACACACAAAAAAAAAATTTTGCCGGACGTGGTGGCAGGCACTTGTGGTCCCATCTACTTGGGAGGCTGAGGCAGGAGAATGCCGTGAACCCGTGAGCCGAGATCCCGCCACTGCACTCCAGCCTGGGCAAGAGAGCGAAGACTCCATCTCCAAGAAAAAAAAAAAGGAAAGAAACCGGCCAAAATCCACTAAAACCAAGAGAATGACCTCTGGTCATCCTCACTGCTACACTCCCACCAGTGCCATGACAGTTTACAAATGCCATGACAACGTCAGGAAGTTACCCTATATGGTCTAAAAAGGGGAGGCATGAATAATCCACCCCTTGTTTAGCATATCATCAAGAAATAACCATATAAATGGGCAACCAATAGCCCTCGGGGCTGCTCTGTCTATGGAGTAGCCATTCTTTTATTCGAATACTTTACTCTCCTAACAAACTTGCTTTCATTTTACTCTACAGACTCACCCTGAATTCTTTCTTGCACTTGCTCTAAGAACCCTCTCTTGGGGTCTGGATCCGGACCGCTTTCTGCTAACACTTCTACATACCACGTTTATTTGAGACAGAAAAATACAGCAAGGACATCCATCTAAACTTTGTCTGGAGTCTGGGCCCAGGGGAGCTGCAGTACATGGAGGGTCTCTGGAAGTGGGTATGGCAGATTAGCGCCTAAGCTCAACTGGCTTTCCTCCTCTGCCTCTGTTCCTGGGACTTGCTCACGGCTCACAAGGTAGCTTCCCACTGTCAGTCCATCAGCAACAGCCAGTTAGAGTCGATTGGGTGTGAGAAGCGAGACTATTCATAAGCAGCCTGTCCCCTGTGCCACTGGCTTATTAAGCAGAGCTAGGCATAGACAGCTGGGAACTCTGGGCAGCTCCTTTAAATTTCTCTTTGAAGAATGTTAAGTATTCACCAGCAGTGAAGGTTACAAAGGCTGAAGTTTTCTCTCCACCCCCAGCATTTCCCAGGGGAGTAAAAGGAAGGATCAAAGCTACAATGGGCTTGGCTGCCCTTCTCCAGGAATGGCCAGAGGACAACTTCTGCTTGGTGAGCAGCCATTTATGCCACCCCGGTGCTGGCAGGTCACCTCTCCTGGGCTGGGGAGCAGGAGTTCAATGATTAACTAGAGGAGGCCATCTCTGGAGGACAGAAAGAGTCTTCTGATCTGGTTAGCCATGCAGACCTGAGCCTGGATTTTCCTTCCCACTCCACTTCAAGAGAGGGGTGGGTTCATTTCCACAGTTCTCCTTCCTGCAGCAGGAAGGGAGAGTAGAAACCCAACTTCCCAGACACCAACTCCATTTCCACACAAAGCAGTAGAGCCCAGACCTAAGGGTTCTGGAGCCACACAGACCTGGTTTGAGTCCTGGTTCCATCACTTATCTGTTCTGGGACATTGGGCAAGTGCCTTAACCTTCCCGGGCTACAACTTAGTGGCGGAAATCAGTGGAGTAAAACCTCATTCAGAAAATTTTTTCAAAACTGATGTCATCCTGGGAACAACTTGCAGAATGCTATTTTTCTTGCACTGAGCAAAAAGAGGTTAGTTACACTAGGTGTCATCCCGGGGAATCAGGTCTCATCACAGGGCCCACACCATCTGAGACCTTTTCAGATCCTCTAAGATGCTGAGACAAGAAGCCATCTGGTCTTGGAGGGAATGGAGATGGTAAGAGCATTGTCAATGACATGGAAGTCTGAGAAGTGTCCTATTCATGCCTTTGGAAAAGACTTCTCTGCCTGTCTGGTTTTTATGCTCTCCCCACACTTTAGGAGAAAATAATGGTTTTGCTGACTTCATCTGGTCACCTCTGCAAATGCCCCCAACCCCTGTTATTTTGTGTCTGCTGTGTACCAGATTCTCTGCTAGACTGCCTACATGCACTATCTCATTTCATCTCCATAACCAAACCAATGGAGTAGGTATTATTATCCCATTTTATACATGAGAAAACTAAGATTCAGATAGATTGAGTCAACTGCCCAAGGCAGTAAGTTAGAGCACCATAATTCAAACCTAACTCCGTGTAATTCCACAGCCTATTCCATAGCCTGTGTTTTCTTCCCCTAGGAAAGTTCCTGGATACTTCTGGAACAGAATTCTCCTGGGGTGAGTGGTTCACACAACTGACCCACTTCATCCCCACTCAGCAAAATGAGAGCGCCGTTGACTGACAACAAAATGCTGAACTGGAAACCTCCGCAGTAAAACGTGATGCAGAACAGAGAAAGAACTAAGATGTTCTGCACAGACGGTATCATGCCCTCTATGAGGAAACTACTCGAGCATATCTGTGTTTCAAATGATGTCTTTGAACTATTTATGTTAAATGCCCCCCCAAAAAAATGGAAAGGCTTCTTCGTAGAGGAAAGAGCTTGAAGTTGCTAGGCTGTTCTGCCTTCAACAGGCATTTATTGTGCAGCTACAAAATGCTGCACCAAGCACTGGGCAGTGGAAAGGTGATTCAGACACAGTTCCTTTGACAAAACCTCAAAATCCCATGTGAAGTTCTCTTTTATAAAGTAAATCAGAAAAGATTCAAAAGTTGAGGTACCAAAAAAAAATAATATAAATGCAAGTAGTAAAGCGCTATTGACTGTAAATAGAAGCACTTAATAAGTGGTTGTTGTTTCTGTTCTTCTCTCTAATAAGTGTATACAGGTGGCTAAATGCTTTTGTTGAGCTATGAGTACCTCATTCTGTGGAGTGACTCAGAAAGTCTCTAGGTGTTAGACTGGAAACAGGTGATGTTCAGTGCACGCAATGCTTGAAGTGTTCCCAGGTATTTAGTTTCAGGTAAATTTTACTGTTTAAAAAAATTGTTTTTACTTGCTATTAAGTGTGTTGACCTTGGATAATTTACTTAACCTCTCTATGCCTTGCTTCCTTTTCTGCAAAATGAGAGTAAGAAAAGTGCTTACCTCATTGGCTTTTTGTGAAATTCAATGAGTTAACACGTGGGAGAAAAGATGTTTTTAAATAATCAATTCTTAGCAGTTGGTCATTGTTATGAGTTACATCATGCGTAGTTAAATATTTTTTAAAAAATTAAAATTTATTTTCCTATAGGAAAAAGGAGGGACTGAATTGTGAATCCATTTTCTCTGCTTTCAGTTATTTCTACTCCTGAGAAAAACCCTAAGCACTTAGGGTCTAGAACCACATCCCGAGACGGTGAGCTCTTCCCACATTTTCACATGTGCCTGAATCATTTGTAGGTCTCGTTCAAGCAGAGAATCTCCGGGATTCTCACTCGGGAGGTCTGGGGTCGGGCCTGAGTCCTTGCATTTCTAACAAACTCCCAGTTGATGCTGGTGCCACTGGTTCTGAATTAAGATGCTTGTTTACCTAGTGACAGCAACAAAAATTGTAGCAATGGTATCCAGAAATAAACAGCATACTTTTATAGGGCTAGTCAAATGAACCCAAACATACAAAATAAAGGCAAACCTCACAATCTTCTTGCAATGATTTATTACTCTGAGAGCTCATTTTAGGTGAGATTGTCTCCCTCCGGAGCCTGATTCCTAAAAGCTTTCTATGACTTTGAAATTATCGTTTTCCTTTTGGAGGTAGCACAATATAAGAGCTAAGAAGAGAATGAGAACTGGAGTCCCTCCCAGGTTTGCCCCTCTAGGTATGTAAGCTAAGGTAAACTACTTAGCCTTTCTTAAGCCTCAGTTTTCTCATTACAAATGGGCATATACGGAACATTGGCTTGCCTCCTACAGTTGTTTGAGGACTCAATGAAAATGTACGTGAAGCTGGTTGCGGTGAGCTGAGATTGTGCCACTGCACTCCAGCCTTGTGACACAGCGAGACTCCGTCTCAAAAAAATAAATAAATAAATAAATAAAAATAAAAGACTGGTTGCGGTTGCTCATGCCTGTAATTCCAGCACTTTGGGAGGCTGAGGTGGGCGGATCACAAGGTCAAGAAATCAAGACCATCTTGGCTAACATGGTGAAACCACATCTCTACTAAAACTACAAAAATTAGCTGGGCATGGTAGCACATGCCTGTAGTCCCAGCTACTCGGGAGGGCTGAGGCAGGAGAATCGCTTGAACCAGGGAGGCAGAGGGTGCAGTGAGCCGAAATCATGCCACTGCACTCCAGCCTTGTGACAGAGTGAGACTCCATCTCAAAAAAAAAAAAAAAAAAAAGAAAAAGAAAAAAGAAAATGTACGTGAAGCAGTTATCCTGGTGCCGGTGCCTGGTACGTATCAAGGGCACCAGAACATTAGCTATTTAACCTTAAGGTTTCAAATCCACCCTTCTCTGGAGACTTCTTGTTCCCTACTCTCATGCATCTCTGCATCATGGTCATAACCCATAGCAACGAAAAGCCAAGGTTTCACTCTTTGAAATCTGGATAATGGTATTTGTCTGCAATAATATCCTAGGAGTAGAGCTAGAGAATTTGTTTTGGGTTTTGTTTGTTTTTGTTCATTTTTCAGACACGGTGAGTCAGAAACGTAAGGCTCAGAGATATTTTTAGTTTTTCCAGCCACTAAGAATTCTTGTTGCCTGCAGGGAAATAAAGAAATGCAGAGAAGGGGGAGTGCTAGACTTGCCTGCTTGCTATCCAAAACCACTTCTTTCCTTTGAAAAAGGGTCTGTGCAGCCAAAACAAGCAGCGCTAACGCTGGGCTGAGAGTAGGCACCAGCCATCCAGGAAAGAGACAAGGCAACCATCAGCTACAAAAGCTGCTTCAACAGCAGACAGCTCAAAGAATCAAAAAATGCATCCCAGGAGGGCTGGGTGAGGAAAGACAGTGATCTTGCCTTGGTATTTGCAGCAAAGTCACAGACCAGGAAGGTCAAATCCTCGCTGAGAACCATGTGGACAAATGTCCAGGACATGGTCGCTGGCCTCAGGGAGCCCACAATTTTATTGAAGAAGCAAGATTGTCAGAAGTAAGGACCAAAACTCGTGTATACAGAGAAAGGAGAAAGATTGAGAGGAAAGAAGAGGAGAATCAAGGAGGCAGAGATTAAAAGAAGGAAGGGATAGAAAAGAAAAGAAAAAGAAAGAGGGAAGGAGAGAAGGGGAAAAGTACGGACTCCGTTTCGTGACTACATCACAAGCATTGATGAAAAGAAGAGAAATCTGTGAAAACGAGAAAGCAGGCACTGTATGTTGCATCCTGACACACAGTGAGTTGTTACACTTTAAAAGCCACAAAGAAGAGACGCTCACCCAGAGACAGACTTGATGGATTTGGCAGCTTATCATACTGGGAAGGGCAGAATTGGGTTATGCTATGTTTTCAATGGGTCCCCTCCAAAAGTCAGCCAATGTGATAGTATTAAGAGATGAGGCCTTTAAGAGGTGATTAGGCCATGAGAGCTCCTTCCTCGGGCTTGGAATTAAGTGTCCTTATACAGAGGTTTGGCACAAGGAGTTGGCCCCCACTTGCCCTTCCGTGTTCAGCCATGAGGACACAGTGTTCCTTCTCTCTGGAGGATGCAGCGTGAGGGCGCCATCTTGGAAGCACAGAGCAGCCATCACCAGACACCAAACCTGCTGGTGCCTTGATCTTCCCAGCCTCCAGAACTGTGAGAAATTTCTGTTCTTTACAAATTGCCTAGTCTCGGGAATTCTGTTATAGCAGAACAAAAGGACTAAGATAAGTTACCTTTTCTTAAAGGAAAACTTTGATAAATATTCTTTGTCCTCTATTCCTTTCACCTATACCCCATGAAGCTGGGAGGATAAGGGGAGTAAGAGGAGGAGCTGAAACTAAGAGGTCAGCAGACCCTAAGCCCTAGTCGGAAGCCTCCAAAACTGTCAATCAAACCACTGTGTCTCCAGCCCTGGGCCTGACTCAGGAAACCATCACCTGCCTCTTCTCCAGCCTCTTCTCTCCATCCTTGCTTGTGAAGTAGTCATGGAATACTCTCCATACTCTTTTTCCCCCCTTTCCTTCCCTCTTTTTCTTTTGTTTTTTCTCCCTTCCTTCCTTTATCCTCCTCTGCCTCCTTGATTTTCCTCTTCATCTTTCTTCTCAACCTTTCTCCTTTCTTTTTATACCCTAGTTTTATTCCTTACCTCTGACAATCTTGCTTCTTTGACAAAACATTAAACTGAGATCTCAGACTGGCATGCAACCTGATTAGTAGAAACTTGCTCTTCCTGGCCTAGTGCAGTTCATCATGCAGCCTCTCTTCCTCTTCCCCTGGCACCTCACAGCAGTCAGCATCCACGTGCTCCTGCTAACAAGTGCAAGGCCAAATGAAGAAAACACTAAGAATGCATTCACAAAAGTGACAGCATCTCCTCTAGCCACTTTGAATTTTCCCCTCATTTACTGAGGAAAATAAAATTCCTATTTGATCTACAGGTCTGCCACCTCTAAGGAGTCGTTCCATTTTCTGAAACCCAGAATTAACCAGAACTACAATCCCCACTGTCACCCAATTTTGTGTTGTGTTCAGAGATGTTGGCTGGTCAGCCAGGTTTTTGAGAATAAAGCTGACTTCAGGTTGAAATAGTCAAAATCAAAACCTTGGGCCCTTTGGACAATTCCCTAGGGACTCTTCATAAAGCCCAATAAAGGTCTCCATAGAAACACCTTGCAGCCCATTTATGAGCTTTTTTAGCAATAGCTGTCCAGAAAACTTTTACACCCCCCTGAAATAGTCAATCTACCCCATCTGCTCCATGACAACAGAAAAATGGTGCCTCATATCACTAGCCAGCATCTCGTAACACATCAGGGTTTTGGCCTGAGATTGTTCTCTGAGATACACTATGCAAATATCCAGCTGGTATCACCAGACAACAGGAATTTAGTTGGGAAAGGCACAAGGATTGGGAAGTCTGAGGACGGGCTCAAGGTCTCCAACTGGACAGCCAGCTCAGGACTCCTTTGTCAGGGTCCCTGGGGACCTGGCTGAGGTTTTCAACAGGTAGGGCTTGATCCTAGTGCAACACCTTGTTCTTACCCTGGGTCTCTTAGATGAGTGATCTTGGCCAAATCACTTAAGTGATCTCAGATTGTTTGCTCATCATGATAATAATCGTAATATTGCCAACCTCACACGGCTGTTGCGAGTGCCCAGAGAAAGAAAAGGTAAAGGAATGTGGCCCTCCTCACATGAGAAAGGAGACTAACAGAAATTAAGGAGCTTGCCCAAGTTCACACAGGAGGCAAGCTGTGGTTTAAATCTAAGTGTATCTGACACATATTGTGTTCTGTTTCTACTAAGCTCTAGATATAAGATAAAAAATATTATGCTTATTTGCATATTGTTATGCATAATGTCCAAATGTATGCTTCATTTGCACATATGATTGCTACTGTCTCTCATCTGGGATGTAGTTCCCAGCTGGGTAATACATTTGAGCTAAACTCTCCTCAAGCCCAGCTTCAGCCCAGCAGAGAATTTTTAGGGGCGAAGTCTCATCACAACACATAGCCCTTCTGAGCAATCAGGTGAAGCATAGAGTTCCAAAAAGCCCAAACTTCACTCAAATTTCCTCTCGTAGCTCAGGATGGGAAGCTGGGGCTCTTCCAAGGGTAAGCAAGCCAGGTATCATGGCAGCTTCACACCACATTTTTGTATTCATTCTTGACCACTCCCCACCATCCCCAACCCTGCTGCCTGTGCCCTTTTCTAAAGCTCAAGACTCTCAATATTCCAGAAACAGCTAATACCATTAAAAATAGTAATTAATTTTGTGGAACACCTACCAAGGTAAGTCAGCCTCTTTATGATATTTAATATTCAACATGAAACTAAAAGTAGGGGTTTTTTAACCATTCCCATTTTATGGTCAAGGAAATGGAGGCCTGGAGAGATGAGGTGGCCCACCCAGGGTCATACAACTAAGAAAGGTAGAACAGGATTCAAATCTAGGTCCTCTTACACCAGACCCAGTGCCTGTCCCAGGGTGCCGTCAGTCCCATTGCTGCTGGAGGGCAGCATGAGTAGCACACCATCCTGCCAGCCGCCCTCTAGCCAGGGCAGACTCTCAAAATGCAAAACTTGCCAGACAGGCAGGAATGCAAATGCACACACAGCCTGAAGTAGATCTGCCCTGACAGAAGTCACCCAGGTGGCCACTTGGCCATGGAATGTGCCCAGCTTGATAAGAAGGCAAATGCCTGGCGTCTTGCAGGGCCAGGGTGCATATCAGGTTTCATTTCTGGGCTGTGGCAAGACAGAAGCCGTATGTGGTCTTTGCCTGCCAGGACTGGCTGGCCCTGATGCCCACGGCCTGCCAGGCATGACAAGCCCAGCAGTCTTCCCTAACGGGGCCTTCTCTTGCCCCAAGCAACAGTCCTAATGTCTTCCAAGTTGGGCACAGTTCCACAGCCCCATAAAGCTGCAAGCCAAGGAATGCAGCTCCCTTTTACTTCTGCCTTTCTGAACTCTACCCTTCTTTCAAGGTCAGCTCAAGCCTGCCCCCCACATTACAGGTTAGGTTCAAATGCCAATTCTAGCTGTATGGCCTTGGATGACTCATTTAACATCTCTTAGCGCCCTTTTGTGAATAAAATGGGCGTAAAAATGTCCACTCCCCAGGGCTATGGTAAGGATTGAGAGGCCCAGTGAAACTTCGCACATAGTATATGCACAGTAAATGGTAGGCAGCCCCCACTTCTCATAGTGACCTCTCTTCCCTGCATTTCAGTTTCTCTTATCACCCGCCTAATTCAACTTAGCATTTTATTAAACACTGACTCACATCTGTTTAGCTCATCATTTTCCATTCATGTGTAAGTCTCGTCTTTCTCTGATCTTCTTAGAACCAAGAACCAGGCTGTTCTTTCTCTCATTTCGCCATGGACCACTAAGCACAGTTTGGAATCGTCACATGACTTATCAGTTGCTGCTGGTGGGTTGGAGCTCCTAAGTATATTGATAATACAGATTGAATATCCTTAATCCAAAAATCCAAAATCCAAAGTTCTCCAAAATCTGAAACGTTTTTAAGCACCAACATGATAATCAAAGAAAATGCTCATTATCACATTTCAAATTTCAGATTTTTGGATTAGGGATGCTCAAAAGGTAAGTATAATGCAAATGCTCCAAAATCTGAAAAAATCTGAAATTTAGAACATGGCTTATCCCAGGTATTTTGGATAAAGGATATTCAACATGTACTACTAAACATTCTGTAAGAGTTTTTAAGTGTTATATTGCTGTTCTGTGTGATTTACATAATTATGTTTTTAATCCTGGCAAAGTGAAATAGGTGCTGTTTTTATATCCATCCTAGAAGTAACCAAGTCTTAGGGTGGTGAATTAAAGTGTCCCTAGTCACAAGGACTGAAAATGGAAAAAGTCCGAATTTAAATCCACATTACTTCAACTCTAAAGATCATGCTTTTAACCATTATCTTAATCCCAGTAATGTAGTCAGGGCCATTCCCCTATTGGAACAGAGCGTCCCACAAAAAAAGAAAAGCACACAAAAAGTTAGAGAAAAAAAGGAAAGTTAGACAAGGAAACACCAAAACAAGCCCCAGGGAAGGCCCAGAGTTGGCTGGCAGCTTCGTCTTTGATCTAAGACTGACCCAACCATCACCCAAGCAACAGCCCCCGGTTTATTCCTGCTAAACACACTCACAGAAAACATGTCATATTCAAAAGCAGGAAAATAAAATTTCTTCTTAGAGTGTTCTTAAATGTTACCCTCTTCAACACCACAGCCTAGAAAGACCACCAGATGAGAGAGACCTAAATGATTTCTATAGGAAAAAAAATCAACTTGCTTCTGAGTTATCTGCTTCATGGCAGGAACTACCAAGAAAGTGCTGGCTTCAGAGTGCTAATTCCACCTGTCTGTTACACCTCAAATTAAAACCATTTGCATATTGCTAGAGGGCTTTGAGATTTAGAAATCATGTGCCGTAACTTGAAAGCCAAAAAAAATCTATCAAAGCAAGCCAGGACTCGTTCCCAGGAGATATAACTGAAATTTACAAGAATCTACCCCAGTGGTTCTGGGTACTTTCCTAGCAGAGACTGTTGCTGCCTTCTGGGTCTCAGCCCAGTCTGGCCTCTCCTCTCAAGGCTACTTGGAAGGGGAACCTGGCTAGGCTTCGTCAGTCACTCCAGCTCCAAGCATGGGGCCAGCTCCAGGGTGCTTTGGGTCCTTCCTGATGCTTTTAGACTCAAGGAAGACAAAGTAGATGATCAGAGAAGGTGGCCTCAGAACCAATGTCTTAATCAGACAAGGAGCAATTCCAAAGAGAGGTAAAAAAAGAAGAGGAGCTCCTGTTCTATGCCAAGCCTTTTGACAAATGTGGGCACCTTTAACTGAACCACCCACAAGCTCTGAGACCAGTATTATTATCCTCATTTTACAGATGAAGAAACTGAGGTGTAGAGAGGTAAAGTGATTTGACCAGGGTCATCAGGTTAGTAAATGGAGTCAGGGTTTGAGCCCAGGTTGACTGGGCCAGAGTTCACTTCATGACACTTGGCTGCTTTCCCTCAGTACATCACATTCAGGCCTGAGCAGAAGCATTGCCTGCAAAGACCTCAGCCTGGCAGCTCAATTGCTTTATCCAGGGTCTGAGGACAGATGAGACCATAACTGGGGCAGAGGACCAGGTCTGAAGGCCTCAGGGATCACCGTCTTCCATGCCCTTATGATGATGCCTGGTATCTGCCAGCCCAGACAGGGGCTGGGCATATTCCAAGGTCACAGTCCAGGACAAAGTGCACACTTAGAAAGGCCTCTGAAGCCACCTGTCCCCTGGCTCCCTGCAGGCTGCAGGAACCTGAACTTGAAAGGTCAGCCCTGGGCCCTGTTATCTCTCTCCAGGCTCCTAAGCCTGTTTAGGTCTTGGCCCCTGTCTGGTCTGGAGACAACACAGAGGAATGCAGGTGGCCGCCCAGCTTCCCCACCACCACCACCAGCCTTCCCCATCACAAACACATACAGCACAGGCTCCTTTACTAAAAATCCATCCCTCTGTGGTAGGGAGAGATCTGAGTCTATTAAGTAATAGTAACCAGGACTCTCCATGGCCATGTGCCTCCATTTTAAAAACAGAAGAGAGCAGGCAGAAGGGAATGAACCAGTGTTGTCAACTTTTTCCCAGGCACCAGTCGTGAATATTTTATCCTTCCCAAGGACTCAGTAAAATATAGGTATGGTCATAGTAGCCCCATTTTACAAAGGCTGTTCACTATAGTGGTTCAGGGCATAGGCTCTGAAGAAAAGATTACTCGGGTTCAAATTTTGGCACCTCTTCTTACTGCTATGTGCCTTTGAGCAAGGAACTTCACCCCTATGTGCCTCAGTTTCCACACTCATCAGATCTTCCCTGACCCCTCCTCCTGCCCCTCCCTCCCCCTCACCTCTGCTCTCTTTCTCTCCCTCTCCCTCTTCTTCTCCCTTCCCTCCTCTTTCTATGGCCCCATGCTTAGGCCTGCCTCCTGGGACAAGTCTCCAAAGCACTCTGCCATCAAAACTTACCTTTCTTGGTGTCCCGTTCTCTTACTGCCATTCTTAGAATTCCCATCTTACAGACCCCTTGTCAGGAAAGCAGACCTGATGAGCTCCAAGAAGCCAAGAAGAGGCTGTTTTGCTTCCCCTCCTGGGTAACTTTTGCGCTGGGTTTCAGCAGGGTTTACAAGCTGGAGGAAGAGGGATTAGGCCGTGGGCAATCCTTTGACACAGTGGAGTTGGGCATGGAGAGGGATGGAAGTGGGGAGATTGTGGTTTTAAGAAGCCGTGGACAAGGCTCACCATGAACATTTCCAAGAAGCAGGCCTGGAAGACAGGGGCCCCATTGCTTCCTCTTAAGCCAAAGATTGCCAACAGTGCCCTCATCTACCAGGCCCAGGAGAAGACCACGACTCCTCAGGAGAGATGGGCTCAGCCCTGGTACTTGGGGACTATAAATGCTCTCAGGATTACCTTTGCTTGGATTTTCACAAGGGCCTTTGCCTCCCCGGCCAACCTCTGTCCCACAATCAGAGTTGGCACTTGGAGCAGGGCATCCTTCACAGGTCTGTCTGGTACTTGTTGCTTCCCATTATGGTCAGGGAGGGGCCCTCTCCTGCTAAGAGACCATGGGTTAATTCTGGAGTCTTATATATCAGTCTCTTAACCTTCCCAACAAAACTGCCTGAGCCACAGAGAAACATGGACACTTGCCCAAGGCTGTGCTGCAAATAGATTTGAACTCAGATTCACCTCCAGGAACCATCATCCACTTCTATTAATTATGAGCAGTAAATTAGATAGTAACAAAGTAATGCAGCTGAAATGTAATTAGCCCATTGTCTGGAACACTTTCAGTGCTCCATAAGCATTAGCTTTTCTTATAGATATAATTATCATCCAGTTTTTACAAAGTACTGAGACTTTGAGAGCTTCCGCAATTTTCTCAAGATTACTCATACCAAGTCAAAGTCAGAGCCAAGATGACTATGCCATGCTGATAGCAGGAAAATAAACGTACCAGATGAAAGCATTATTCCTTTCCTGGCATTGCCTTAATGGCCTAAAACCCTGTGCATTTGCCACACAGAATGTTAAAGGGGTTCGGGTTTAAAAGTTAGAGTAGTTCAAAGGCAAAAACATAAAAAGAATTTCTTGTGAATTTATAATTTTCATAAAAAGGTAATGAATATCCATGCTGTCCATGTATTCTGCCTCCCGTAGGCTGGACTGAAGATAACTCAAGGTCAATGTCATGGCTTGTGGCTTATCGTTCTGCTCTGAATTTGGCTGGGTATCAAAGCCCTGTCATCCAAACCTCCCTCCAGAGGATAACACCTGAGTCTATCCCAGGTGTAGGCTTGCTGTCCCTAAAGATTTTCCAGGGAAGACAGCCCAACCCTTCCCTGTCTTCATTTTCTCCCCGCCTAGCTAATGATTGTTGTTGTCAAGTGCTTTGTATGAACATGGCCATATGCTATAAGCTGCTCAAAAATCATCTCAACTAATCCTCACAATGGCCCTCTGAGTTATTGAGATTGTGGTCTCTATTTTGCAGGTGTAAACACTGAGGCCCATAGAGGTCATCACCTGCCCAACTGGACAGCTGTGAAGCCACAGCTCACACCACTTGCTGCATCCTCCTGCAATTTCAGCACACTTTCTCTTGTGCTGCTCTCCCTGGAAAGACAGTGCTTTTCCCCAACACGTATGTAACAATTCTTACAAAGCTATTGATTAGTGAAGCCACTTTAGAGGATCATTTGTCAATGTCTATAAAAATTAAAAATTTGCATACTCTATCACACAGCAATTCCACCGGCATCGCCCTAGAAAAATACTCACAAAGAACACGGGGAGCTATGTCTAAGGATCTTCAATGAAGTATTGTTATAATGGACATTTAGTTACAACTTAAATGTTCACCAACTGGGTGAACATTTCCACTGACTGGGGAATGACCAGAAACAGAAAACAGAGAACTATGCTGTATAACCATCACATGAAATTCTGGGCAGCGGTAGAAAGGAATGAATGAATCTGCTCATGCTTACATGAAAAGAGACATATTGTGAAGTGAAGGAAGTTTCAGAATGAAGTTTACAAGTATGATTCCACATGTTACAGAACAACAAGAGATGTGGGTGTTTTGTATGCAGACATATACATGTATGTAAACGTATAGGAAAAGGTCTGAAATTACGCAAGCCAAACTGATAACAAAATTACCCATTGAGAAGGGGAAAGTGGTAGAAAAGAGAGAATGCTGATCAAGGGGATTCTAGCCTTATCTGAGCTGTTTGAATTGTTTCACAAGAATAATGTATTCATGTGTTACTTGTGTGCTTATAATAAATCTAAAATAAGTTTGTCCTAATTCTTTACAGTAGAGAAATGGTGGCATTTGGTGATCAAGGATGCAGTGTGGACTCAGACAGGCCTTAGCTTCCATCCCAGCTTGGCTACTCGAGAGCTGTGTGACTGTACATAAGCTACTTAAACTTTCTGTATCTCTTTAGCCTCTTCTATAGAATGAAGTTGATGACAATACCTCAGAAGATGTAGTGAGGAATTAAATGAGGTAATGCCTAAAGCTCTTATCCCTATGCCTAGAGCATAATAAGCAATCGGTCATTATTGGGAGCTTTCATTGCTCCCAAAGTCCTGTGAGGAACTGTGATTTGGGTGACTGTGCTGGAGGAGATCTGTCAGGAAGTACTAAATAGTCCAATCCACCTCCAGGACTTCTATCAGGGGATATCAAGAGCTCATTCCTGCCCAGCACCCTATACACACACCCAAGGGGAGAAATGGGAGGGCAAGTGACATCCAGGAGGAAAGCTGGGTGGGAACCAAGGACGATGTGCTTGTGTGTTGAGGTCAGAGGATGCTATGGAGTAGGCCACAGAAGCCAGGACTCAGCTGCTCAGGGTCCACCATCCTGTCACCAGTGCAGCAGAGCCCAGGAATCCCCTCAGATCTGAGGGCAGATCAGCCCTAGGGAAACCAAATCCCTAGGATGAGTCATTGGGAAATAGAAAGGGGCAAGACCCCGGCTTGGCTGAGCCTGCTGAGCGCTGGCTGAGCAGAGAAGGTAGACAGAGCAGCAGGGGCAATAAGAAAGGGCCTGGGAACATCCAATTCAGAAAACGGGGGTTTTTCCCAAAGAGTAAGGGCTAGAGCTCCCACCTTTGTCCCTTACAGCCAAGCACAGACACAAAGCACCAGCATTGCTGTGAAAGATGCAGGAGCCTGGGAGGTGCTATCCAGCATGGCATATTCATCCAAATTCCTGGGATTGACTGTGGGATAAATAACTATGTCATGTTGCCCTTACAGCACGGGCCAGGGGCCTAACACTTTCCTTGGCACTCCTCCAGAGTCTGCAAACACAGGCCTGAGTGCTGCCTTTACAGAGCCGAATCCTGTGCATCTTGATTAAATATTGACAATAGCTCTACCTGCCTTATCTTGATCCAGTGGAAACCCAGTCCCCGGGGAGCTGTGCAGGGCAGGATTTACCTCCCACACCAGAGCCACAGATGTCCTCCTGAACCAGCTCAGCAAACACACTGCTCTGAGGCACAAAATCCGCATCTGTGCTCCTCAGCAAAATACGTTTTATGACTAGTTAGACCCTAAAATAAAAGTCTTCTTTAGTCATCTGGGTTTGGGTTGGGAGGTGATATTCCTGTGGAACTTAATAAATCAATCATTAACTTTCTGCCAGTGGGCTAACTTGTAAGTGGGAAAGTAGGGACTGGGAGTGGGTAGAAGGCTGGATCATCAGGCTTCCCGGTGTCTGAGGCTGCCGACAAAATCCAAGCCTATCAGCCCAGAGATCAGTGGGGCCAGCCCAGAGGTCAGAGGGAGTCTAAGAGTCCCAGGCCTCTAGCAAAAGACAGGCTTGAAGTGAAGTTACAAAGGGGCAAAGGTTATCCTCAGCTTCCAGCTGGTGCCTTTGGACCTTTCAGTGACATCCAGGACCTGGGCCTCTTCGCTGTGCTTTCCCTGAGAGCATTCCAGATCCCTGAATATTCAAGGGAAAACACAGTGAATGGGTTTAGGATGGTCAAGACTCCTGTCCTCCCTTCCTCTAAAGGGGCAGGATTGGAATAGGAGTTTCTCCCTGGAGATGCGGCGAGGAGTCCCTATATCCTAGGCTGCCTTATTAACAGAGAGCTTCGAGATCTTCTTCACAAAGAGGGCTTCTCATGGTAGAGAGCACTCCAGCTAAGGAGGGGCAAATGTTCAGAAAGGTGATGAGCTTTGGCCCTTTTAACTCCCTCTGCAGGCATAAGCCAAGGTTTCTGCTGCACCTGGCAAAGAAGTGAATCAGATCAGAAGCACAAATGCACGGAACTGAGTTTTCTGCCTGGACAGTGTCCTAAGACTCTCTGGCAAGATCTCTGGTTTAACGACTTCCTGTACTTTCTTCATCATTTCGCCAGACAGCAGATCTCCTGAGGGCATGGGGATCCCTATGTAAGTGGAAACCCTGATCACCCCCAGTGGAATTCCAGAGTTTAGAAAGGTGGCGGCCACATCTCCCTAGAACACAGTAGACAGTTTTCTGTTCAGGGGAGAGCACATTGGCATCAAATCCCGCAGGCTTCATAGAGAAATCCCTAAGAAAGCAGGTTTTCCTCCTCATTGTCATCACAGCCACCCATCATGCAAAACATCAGGTCCTAGGCTGAGTGCTTTGCATGCACGTTCCCATTTAATCTTCATCATAATCTCTTAAGGACCCATCTTATAAATGGGGAAACTGGGGCAGACGGGTACCAAGCAACTTGTCCTTGGTCACAGATCTACTAAGTGATAGAACCAGACTTTGAAGCTAGATCTGTCTGACCTCATAGGTCATGCTCACCATAACCAGTCACAGACTCCGAGCCAGAACGCTGAGGTTGCTATAGGAGGGAATAACTTAATATCTGCTAAATACTTTCAACAGTGCTTAACACATAGTAAGCCCTATATAAGTGCTTATTAAATAATTAGAGGCTTTGTAGGACAACAGAAGTTGACTTTGCACACCTGTGTGGCTGGGATAAACCCTATGAAAATGAATACAATGGGGCAAGACTGAAGAGCCCCTCAGCCCTTTGTGCCTTACTCCTGACCTTACTCCTAACCCTATCTGTTGAGAAGGTGGTGATAGTCACCTCTAGCATAATTCTCACCCCAACATAGGAAGTTCTGTATGGACTTTTGCTGTCTGTCCCCTGGGCTGGAGGATCTGCAAGAGCTCCCAAGAGTGATCTGCAAGGGCTCCCAGGAGTGGCCCAGCCAAACCCCTTAGTCTCAGAGGCTAACACAGCTGGAGCTCATTTGCATTGGAATTGCAGGGCACTGCATCATCCAGGAGATAAGTCTGCATTATGCAAGTTACTTGTGCCAATTCTCCAGAAATTACTGAGCCACAGGGGGATTGCCTAACTGCTTAACCCTTTCCATCCAACTATAGAGCAAAAATAGACACCACTGGTCAATGCAAAGAGTCTTCCCCAGACGTGACAACTTGATGAGCAGAGAATGACCACTCAGGACTGGTGTGACCAGTGCACACCTCTCCCAGCAGGTTTGTTCTTGCCCCACAGGGTCTAAAACCCAGCCCCTCCCTATACACACCTTCTAAAGGGGAGTGAGTTGCCTCCTGGGGATGCTCAAGGTTCACTGGAAGGGGAAGGATTTCTTCAACAGGCTTTGGGAGTTCAGAGTCATTTACTCTGGCCATATTGGGTTGGCGGGTAGCTCTCAGATAAAGTGGTATTTGAACTGGTCATTAGATGTGAGTCAATGAGGAGAAAAAGGGCATGTCAAAAACATAGGAGCAGAAGATCACAGCTTATCTTAGGAACAGCAGATTGCAGAAGCGTAGATTATAGCATTGGACTAGGTGGCAAATGAAAGCAAAATACAATTTTGTTAGATAAATCACCATAATGAAGCTAAGAATATCTAATAAAATCACAAGTGCATGCCTATGAGTTATGAAACTCACCATTTGAACAAAAAACAAACAAATTAATTAAAAACTACTGTTCATATTTTCTAGACAGAATATCTTCTAGTGGGCATTGGAGATTTAAAAACAAGAGGTGAGGTTGC
The DNA here is from genome assembly GCF_000001405.40 of Homo sapiens. Classification (NCBI taxonomy): domain Eukaryota; kingdom Metazoa; phylum Chordata; class Mammalia; order Primates; family Hominidae; genus Homo; species Homo sapiens. The sequence continues at coordinate 111,337,536 of NC_000011.10, forward strand.
CACAAATACAAACTCATAATGGGTATTTGCATAGCTGAGCTCCTGGGTCCAGCTGGAACAGCCAAGCCTGGGGGAACCCACAGCCTGGCCACTTAGGACATAGATTGCCAGATGAGTAGCAAGGAAGGGCTCCTGCAAGGAAAGTCAGTTTCTCCATCTGACTGGCACCTCAAGACATCAACTTCTCTTGTGGCTCCCCTAAGAAGGAGTCATGGAATCTTAGGGTAGGTAGCCCAGCAGACATCATCTTATCCTGCTCTCTGCCTCTAGGCAAAACTATAATACATACAACATAATGAAGGTAATTGGATGATGGTCATTATGTGTGTATGTTGTGACAGTGACATTTACAGCCCAGCACCTCCTTTGACACTGACAGAACTTGCTGATTCCATTCACTCCAGTACTACTGACAATGCCTCACCAACTTTATAACCAAAAGTTTCTTCTTTACAGCCAATCTTTTTTTTTCTTTTGAAACAGGGTCTTGCATTGTCAATAAAGCTGAAGTGCAATGGGATGAACACAGCTCATTGCAGCCTCGACTTCCCAGGCTCAAGCGATCCTCCCACCTCAGCTCACCAAGTAGCTGGGAAAACAGGCGCATGCCGCCAACATGCCCAGCTAATTTTTTTTATTTTTGTAGAGACAGGGTTTTGCCATGTTGCCCAGGTTGGTCTTGAACTCCTGGGCTCAAGCGATCTGCCCACCTCTGTCTCCCAAAGTGCTGTGATTACAGGCATGAGCCACTGTGCCTGGCCTTTACAGCCAATCTTGAGCCCTGGAGTGGAACTATGAACACTGTGTCTTTAGAAGACACCTTCTCCACATACACTTCCTACCTTTGCCCTCACCTATCCTGTGATTTGCTACACAGGATCTCTCCAATTCTCCTTCCACTTAATCTATAGAGAATGGCATAGCATAATGGTAAAGAGTCCAGGCATCAGGGTAAAACTGAGACCAGGCTGGTGCTCACTCACCACTGTGATCTTGGGACAGTCAATTAATTCCTGTGGACTCAGTTTTATCTCTGTAAAATGGAGATAACAATATTATTTATCTGTAAGATTGCTGAGAATATCAAAGGAGAGCATAGAAGCCAATTGCTTCATAAATACTGTACCATATAAACATAAAATATTACAGTATTATTTCTACTTACAAAAGTAACAGAAGTGCCACTGGGCAAACAGTAAGCATAAGGAGACTAAAGTGTCTATATTTATATCAAGTAAAGTAGATTTCAAAACAATCAGTTTCAGCAGAGATAAAAAGGGATCTTTTACAATGATAAGACAGCCTACTCATGAGAAATGCATAATAATAATAAATGTGTATATCTCAAATAACAGAGATTCAAAATGCATGAATCAAAAGTCAACAGAATTAAATAGAGAAATAAATTTAGAATAATAATTAGAGATTTTAACACTTTTATAAAAAATAATCAATAAATACATAGAAGACCTGAACAACACTATCACCTTGACTAAATTAATGTTTGTTAGTTAATTGTTATTAAGCACATTACACCCAACCATTACAGAATTTACTTTTTTTCAAGAGAACTTGGTATATTCCCCAATAAATACTAAATGTTTGTTCATAAAACAAGTCTCAGTACATTTAAAAAGATTGAAATCTTACAGAGTATATTTTCTCACAATGGAATTAAATTGCAAAGAAGTAATAATGGATCTAGAAAAATGCCAAAATACTTGTAAATTAAACAGAATATATCTAAATAAATCATGGGCCACACAAGAAAGCATAAAGAAAATTAGAAAATATTTCTAATTGAATCATAATGAAAATAAAAAATATTAAAACTTTTAAATGCAGCTAAGGTAGTGTTAAAGGAAATTTATAGATTTAAATATGTATATTAGGAAAGAAAAACGATACTAAAAGAAAAATTAATGACTTCAGGCTATATCTTTAAAATATAGATCAATAATTCTCAGCCAGAAATTACTTTGTTCCCCAATAACTAAAGACATTTTTGTCTTCACAACTCAGTGGGGAAGAGCTATTGGCATCTCACGAGTAGAGGCCAGGGTTGATGCTGAACACCCTACAATATGTAGGATAGTTCCTCACAACAAAGAATTGTCCAATCAAAAATGTCAATAGTGCCAAGGTTGAGAAACACTGATCTAGTTAAAGAAGAGTGAAGTAAAACCAAATTAAGTAGAAGGAAGAAATAATAAAAGATAAGAGTAGAAATCAATGAAATACAACATTGAAAAACAATAGACAACATCTGCAAAGAAAACATTTACAAAGCTGAAGCTGATTCTTTGGAAAAATCAAGAAAGATCAAGAAAATTAATAAACCCTAGCTAGATAAGTTGAGGAAAAAAAAGAGAGGGAGCTCAAGTTGCCAGTATCAGGAATGAAAGAGGAGACATCACTACAGATTCTACAGTCATTAAAAGAAAAACAATAACATAGTATTAACAACTTTATGCCAATAAATTTGACAACTTTGATGAAATGAACAAAGTCTTTGAAAAATAAAAATTACCACAAATGACACAGGTTTTTCAGAAATCTAAGTAGTCATTTATTTATTAAAGAAATTGAACTTGTCATCAAAAACATTTCCACAAAGAAAACTCTAGGCCCAGATTATTTCACTGGTGAATTATATCAACATTTCAGGGAAAAAGTAACACCAATCTTTTATGAACTATTGCAGAAAACAGAAAAAGAATGCTTCTTAATTCAGTTTATGCAGCTATACAAAAATCTGATAAAGACATTATGAGAAAAAAATTACAGACAAATAGTCCTCATGAATGTAGACAAAAAATCTTTACCAGAAAAATAATATGTTTTGGCTAAGTCAGATTTATCCCAGGAATGAAAGGTTAATTTAACTTTCAAAATAATCTATCAAAGTAATTCACTATATTAATGGTGAATGAGGGAGAAAATCAGCATGATCATCCCAATGGATCAAAAAAGTCATATGACAAATTCAGCGCCACTTGTGATTTTCTTTTCTGCAAATTGGAAATAAAAGTGTACCTTTCAAGCTGATGAAGTGAAGAGTGCCCATAAAAAAATCTACAACTAATATCACACATAATGGTGAAATACTGAGTGATTTCTCTCTAAGATTGGGAACAAAGCAACAATGCTGTCTCTCACTGCTTCTATTCATCATTGTACTGGAGATTGGAGCCAATGAAATAAAATTTTTTTAAAAAAGAATACCAATTGGAAGGAAAAAAAAGAAGGGAAATCTCAGTTGAGACATAAAATGTTTACATATAAAAACCTAAGGAATAAAAAAAGAGCGGCCAGGTGCGGTGGCTCACTCCTGAAATCCCAGTACTTTGGGAGGCCAAGGCGGGTAGATCACCTGAGGTCAAGAGTTCAAGGCCAGCCTGACCCACATGGAGAAACCCCATCTCTACTACAAATATAAAATTAGCCTGGCATGGTGGCACATGCCTGTAATCCCAGCTTCTTGGGGGCTGAGGAAGGAGGATTGCTTGAACCTGGGAGGCGAAGGTTGTGGTGAGCTGAGATCGTGCCCTTGCACTCCAGCCTGGGGGACAAGAGTGAGATTTCGTCTCAAAAATAAAATAAAATAAAGTAAAATAAATAGCTACTAGAACCAACAAGTGAGCTTAGTAAGATTGCAGGATACAAGGTCAATCCACAAAAATTAATGATATTTGTATCTACTAGTAGCAATCAGAAAATGAAATTTTTAAAAATTCTTTTTACAGAAACATAAAATACTTAGGAATAAATTTTAAAAACATGTGTATGACTTGTGCACTGAAGACTACAAAACCTTGCTGAGAAAAATTTTGAAAGATCTAAATCTGTGAAGAGACATACCTTGTTTATGGGTTGGAGGATACAACATTTTAAGATGTCAGTTATCTAAAATTGATCTAAAGATTTATTACAATCCCAATTATAATTTCAACAGGTTTTCTTTGTAGGAATTGACAATCTGATTCTAAAATTTATATGAAAATACAGAGAATCTAAAATGTTTAAAGTAATCTTGAAAAGAAAACAAAGAGAACTTGTTTGATTTTAAAACTTATTTTAAAGCTATATTCATTAGTATGGTACTGGTGTAGGATAGATAAATAAATCAATAGATCAGAAAAGAGTCTAGAAATAGAATCACACATATAATTTAATTTTCAACAAAAGCATCAGAGCAATCTAATAAAGAAAGAAAAGAGTTTTCAACAAAAATGTGCTAGACAACGAAATATCCTTAGCCTTGACTCCTGCCTCATACCACACACACATACATACACACACACACAAAATGAATTATAAATTTAAAAGTAAAACATAAAACTATCAATCTTCTAGAAGAAAATAAGCTATCTTCACTATTTGAGGGGCAGGCAAAGATTTCTTACATAGGAAACAGAAATACATACCCATTAAAATGATAAATTGTACTGCATTGAGTTTTAAAACTTCACAAAATACACCAGTAGAAAAATGAATAGGCAGGCTGCAGCCTGGGAAAAAATATTCACAGAACGCATATCTGATGAAGGAATTGTATTCAGAATAGATAAAGGACTATAATTCAATAATAAAAAGAAAAGTTGCCCTATTAAAATGTGGTCAAAAGATTTAAACAGACACTTCACAATGGAAGATAAATAAACATCAAATACATATATGACAAAATGTCTTTCATTAGTCATCAAAGAAATGCAAATTATAAACCAGGTGAAATACCCCAAATGTTGTTGAAGGTGTGGAATAACCAGAATTCTCATTTGTTGGTGGTGAGAGTATAAAATGGCACAACCACTTTGGAAAAAAGTCTGGCAGTTATCTTGTAAAACTAAACATATATCTACTATACAAGCCAGTGATTTCATTCTTAAGTATTTATCCAGAAGAAATAAAAAACATCTGGCCAAATATGAAAAAAAAATACTTGTTCAAGAATGTTCTTAGCAGCTGTATTCATAATAGCCAAAAACTGGAAACAGCCCAGGTGTCGATCAATAGGAGAATAAATAATCAGAGTGTGGTAGATTCATGCAATGGAATACTATTCAGCAGAAAAGGAACTGCCTATACGTGCAACAATATATGGATGAATATAGAAAAACATTATGCTAAGTGAAAGAAGAGCTACACAAAGAGCGCATGCTGTGTAATTCCATTCACCCTTATTCTACAAGCAACGCTCATCTATGGTGAAAAGAAATTGGTGGTTGCCTCTAAGGAGATAGAGGTGGAGACTGATTGATAAGGAGCACGAGGAAACTTGGGGATTAATAGTATTGTTTTGTATATTAATAGAGATTTGGGTTACACAGCATTACATATTTTCCAAAACTCACTGAATGATGTCCTTAAGATTTGTTTTTTTTGCTCTATGTAAATTTGACCTCACAATAAAAAAAGAAAGAACCTCAAGTTAATATCAGTTTAATATATACATCCTAAAGTCTTTAGGGTGAGTGCACTGATGGCTTAGCTTACTTTGAAATGCATCTAACAGAAAAATACAGAGTCAATAGATGGATTGATAGATTTCTGATCATCTAGAGCTAAATGTTCATTGTAGAATCTAGGTGATTACAGGCATTCACTGTACAATTCTTTAAACTTTTCTGCATGTTTGAAATTTTTCATAATAAAATGATTAATAAAAAAAAGTAACGCTGATGTGAAGTATCAAAACTCTCTATGGTAACCTCAGGGCATAAACCTAAGGAATCGAGCCCCAGTAGGTATACCTCTCCCAGCTGCTTACCAGCCCACCTGTGTCTTGAATGGGTTATCCAACACCCAAGCTTCTGATCAACCTGGACTATTGCATTGCATTTTCCCAGCAGAAGAATATGCAGGATTTTCAGTAAGACTGTGTGTACATTCTAATTTTAATAACTGCAGTTACTAGTATGATAAAGCTTCTGACAATCATATAATTTAAGTATATAAAAGGTACTTTTACTTCAGACTAAAAACTGGTGACAAAGGACTGCAATATGGAAGAAAATAATTATTTTCCAGCCAGGAGATTCTATTTCAATATCAGCTATAAGAAAAATAATTTGTATTTAAATTTTGTTTATAAAGTGTTTCTATCATACCTGTGAGCTGTTTTTATTTATTTATTTATTTATTTATTTATTTATTTATTTATTTATTTTCAGACGGAGTCTCGCTCTGTTGTCCAGGCTGGAGTGCAGTGGTGCAATCTCGGCTCACTGCAACCGCCTCCTCACGGGTTCAAGAGATTCTCCTGCCTCAGCCTCCTGAATAGCTGGGACTATAGGTGCCTGCCACCACACCTGGATTGCCTGGCAAATTTTTTTTTTTTTTTGTATATTTAGTAGAGATGGGGTTTCATCATGTTGGCCAGGCTGGTCTTGAACTTGTGTCCTCAGGTGATCCACCCACCTCGGCCTCCCAAAGTGCTGAGATTACAGGCATGAGCCACTGTGCCTGGCCAACTGTTTTTAAATTTTAAAAGTTTAAGATTCAAGGCCTAATCTTCTGCTTATGATATGTCATCAGTGGACATTTCATGTATATAACCATGTAATAATGGAACACAGCAGTGAACGGATGCATAGCAGTCTGAACTCTTCCCTGTGTATTAGCGCTGAGTCACTGCTGGGATCTGGCAGGGCTCCTCAAAATCCCTGAGCCTCACTAGGATCTCCGGCCTGCCTCTTGGTCTTCAAGTACACAGACCAGAAAGTCACTGTTCCTGAGAGGTGAATAGGGCCAAATGATGCAACCCTGAAAAAGCTTTCCTCTAACTTACTTTCCCAAGGCAGAGAGAATTTCTCTAGAAATCAGGTCAGCCATGTTATTTAGGCATTTTTATTGCATCTTTTCCCCAAGGCCCTGGGACTCTGTGTTGGTATATACACAAAGGATTACACTATTTTTGTTTAGTAAGATGGCTTGCTGATTTCAGTTTACAAGGTGAGAACATGGATATGTAAGTCTGAGTCATTTGGAAAAACAAAAGACAATCACTTTTAGAATAAAGAGAAATACCTATTTAGAATTTTCTCTGTAAAAACATCACATTGATCACATCTTTCCATCTTCTGAAAGGCATTTTAAACCAAATCTACAGATTAGAAAATTTTGATAGATAACTTATCAGAACTATATTTTGTGTTGAAACTGACCAAAATGCTTAATACATTTACTTTTAGTCTTTTAAATATTCTGACTTGTGTTAAATATGTCAGGAAACAAAGAAGTAAGGCAACACTCTCTTGACTTGTGAAGTGTCCAAGCTCTGGGCTGGACGTAGTAGTTCCTCACTAAGCATTTGTTGAATCGGTGAATAATATATCCCCAAACAAGGCCTAAAAAAGGAGCATAATGAAAATAAAGCTGCCACAATTGGGCCCCTTGATTTCGTAAAGCACCCAGGCATCATCTTGCATCAAGTACTTTTGCAGACACAATCTCAAAATGTCTCATTCTAAGAAATGGGCAAATGATACTCTCTTTGATTGATGGAGAAAAAGAATCTGAGCCCAAGATGGCATAGCAAACTCAGAATTCTAATTGCAACTTGCAAGATCAGAACACCCAAAAAAAAGCCCCTGCACACAGCCATGCTGCTGCCTCTGCTGACCTATACATTGGTTATAAGTCAACTGAGGGACAAAGTTCAAAAGAGACCACAAAAGTACCAGAAGGTAAGAATTCTGGCTATAATCTGTCTGTATCCATTAAATATGTCTATTTATGTAGATTCATATTTATTCCTCTATCTACTGAGTGTGTATACTGTGGGTTCAAAACAAAATTACTTCATTTGGTAGCAAAAACCATGAGGTTTGGAAATTGATACATAGGCAATCAGCACAGTAAGATGAAAGTTTAGCATGCCATTAGGTTACTAGAGCCTATATATGATTTTGAAGAGAGGCACCACTAACCATCCAGATTCTAGATCACAGGGGCACAGAGCAACCAACACGCTGGCAGAAAATATTGCCCTTCTCTCTGCATATCCACTCTGAATTCAGAACTGGCTAGATGTCCCAAAGCACACACATGAAACTTTCACATCCACTTCTCTCTGTCTCCTCCTCTTGGAGTGAATTCTCCCATTATATAGACCGCTGAGTTACTATGATCTGAGGCACTCCAGCTGGGAACATTCCAACCATCCAGTCTTCTTCATCCATAGTGTCTGCCATGACAGAAAGACACTCAACAAACACTTGATGTATTGATGTGAGCTAAGGCTTGATAAAATAAAAATAGTAGTCATCCAAATGGCCACCAATAATGTCAGTAGCTATGTGGCTACAGGATTAAAAGAACGAACATTGAACATGCTGGATTTGAACACCAGCACTGCCATTTACTGACTATGTAAACTTGGACAAGTGACTTAACCTCTTTAAGTCTGTTTCTTCTTCCTATACTTGGGAATTAAAGTAGTGCATCCCTTATTTGCTTTCTGAGAGGCTTAAGTGAGATCGTGGTAACATCTCCTTAGCAAATGTGAGATGTAAAGCATCTGTGTTTATATCTACCACTCTACTTGTTTTACTATGTTATAACCTTCCATTTGCCCCAATAACTCTGAGTTTCTTGTGATCAAGGATGCACCTGACTTTTCTTTGAATTCCTTAGCAGGTAGCACAGTATGCAGCACATGAATGCTATAGCACATTGTAAAGGAAGCAAGAGTCTCCATTCTCATCTACCAGAAGTTGGTGACAATCTTCTTTAGGCTCCTGAGCCTCAAGTCCTCCAGCTCTTCCAGCTACTGCAGACACCAAAACCTTTCTCCACTGAAATAGGCAGAATCGAAAATAGGAAATAAGGACACTAGTTGTGGAACACTAGTTCTTATAATTAGGAAAAGCAGATTTATCAGTCCTATATGGCTCGTTCTTTAAATTTTGGTTTGGCTTGAATGTCATAAAGCCCTTTGCCCAGGGAGGCGATGAGTAGACTTCAAATAAAGTCTTAAATTTGGGGTTCTACCATAGTTGCTGTCTCCATTATCTTTTCACCTGACCCAGCTTGCCCCATATTTGAATATGTCAATCCACTACTGAGGTTTAAAAGTACACAGGTGAGACAAGGGGCAGATGCCTCCGACATCTTGCTATTTTCTTTATGTTTCATTCTTGTATTTGCTTATGGGTCTACACACATGAAAAGCAAGTCGTCAAGCTGTCAGATAAAAGACATTTACAATCACTTTAGCTGATACCTCCTTGCTGAGTCAGTCTACTCTAAAGACCTCCTATAGTGACTGCTAAGACCACTGGGCTTTCACTCTCTAATGAAGAGAGTAAGAATTACCATAACCCTGCCTGGTTTAGTAAGGGGGAAAAAAAACTTCTAATTGAATAGGACAGCATCCATGCTACATGCCACACACAAGTTGCCTCTGAGAACTCTTTCTTAGCATTCAGACTCAACCACAGTCCCACCCACCACTGGAGGGGAAAGGTAGATGTGTGGTGGTTCTCAGCTTTCACCGCACATTGGAGTCACCTGGAAGAGCTTTAAAAATTCCTGATGCCTGCATCCACTCCCAGCAAGTCCATTTTAATCAGCCAAAGGCACAGTCTGGACACAGGGATTTTTCAAATTCCCAAGTGATTCTAATGTGCAGCCAAGTTTGAGAACTGCTGTTACAGATTTCCACCTAATGGGCGTGGGCGGGGAAAGACAACATCTGGATCTTATGAAAAGTGTGTTTTCTTCCTCTTAAGGTTTTCCCAGATGAGTTAACACTATCATATTAATATGAGTGTCACCTTAGGATAGTTTGGATAAAGAAAACTTTTAATGAGAAGCGGATTTTAGTTGTAGGAGAGCATATAAAGATGGTGTATCTCATGCTACTGCCTGACAAACACCAGGATGGCCCCCTGGCAGAACCATTGATGCCCCTGGACCCAGTCCCATCTTAGAACAAATAATGTCAGGGTTCCTCAGGCCAGAGCCAACTTCTCTCCTGTGGTCTCCAGACGGGATTTGAGTGAGGAATCTATTAAGCAAGAATTGCTTTTATAAGCTCCAAAGAGACCAAAGTAGGACACATGTGTCTTAGGGACCACATGAGGCAATCCATTGGAATGCGAAAAGAAACTTCTAATTTATTTTAAAAAAGAAAAAGAAGTAAAAGAAAAAATAAGCAAAGAAAAAGGAAATTAAGATTTATTTGTATTTGAAAATACATATAAATAATAAACCTGGACATTTGGTCACACCAGTCCACATTAACGTGGACCAGACAATATTAATGTGGACTGGTGTGACCAAAAGTCCAGGCTTGCCCCAGACTGAAGGATATATTAGAACAGGACTTTCAATGTTAAAGCCAAGAAATTCCCAGGCAAACCAAGATGAGTTGGTCACCGTAGTGCTGGTGCTCCCCACGCTTTAGTTATGTGTGACTCATGGTTCTGAGAGTGTCCTGAGGGACAAGAGGAAGTTATGCATGGAAATGGGGGGTAACAGTGATGCCCTCAGTGAATTCACTTCCATCATATTGCAACATATTGAGATTTAAGGATGATATCAGTGTGGTTAATTTTATGGACCCAACATCTCTAAATGTACAGTCTTTATAATGATATGAGACCCTTTTGTGCCATAAAAAGAATCACTGATTATCTCTTGACTAAAGACACCCAACGAACTGTGAAACCTAAAAATGAATCACATATAGATAATTAAATCAATGAATTATAGATAATTAAATTAAGCATATATAATTAAAGCAATGACATATATAATTAAATTAATCGTATATAATTAAAGCAATGAATTATATATAATTAAATTAATCATATAATTAAATTAATGAGTTATATCATTAAATTAAATTAATTATAATTTAGATATTAAATATCTATTTACTTAATACAAATACAAGCACACTAAATTTGCTGATCTTTTTTGGTTGATAAGTTGGTTGTCCAAAATACGTTACCTGCAGATTTTTTTAAGTAGTAAACACAATTTGTACTTAATCCAGCCCATCAAGATCAAGATAACATTAATGCTTTTTGAAATTCATGCAATGAGGGGAACATTTAGCAAGTGAAAATTTAGTAGATGGTTAGGAATGTTTCCATCATGTGATATTGTTGCTAACAACAATATAGGTGTGTGTTACCCATAAAAACTTCCATATCTTCAGCCTTTTTAAAAAATATGTAGAAGCAGAATTTTTTAGGTTGCTGAAAATTTTTCCAAATAAAGAGTTTGAGTGGTTTTAACTCAATGGGTTAAAAAGGCAACTCCTTCAATAAGTGTGTAAGACCAGTTGACATCAGCTAAGGTGGAAATTTGCTGACCAAATTTTAAAATAACACCTTTGCATGACTGATGGAAGACATTTTAAAATAACTTTTGTAATTTATTTAGCATAATCAATGATATACTATTTTTATTTGGATCTAAACATCTTTGTATGGTATCTTTTTCAGCTATGACAAAACACCGAAATCAATTGAAGTTAAACCCAGATCTTCAAATCAGTATGTCACAAAGATGCTCCTTCTAGATGTTATTTACAGTTAATGAGGTCAAATGAATTTTTGTAGTCAATAAATAAAATAGTTAAAATATTTATTTTTATATTTACCTCATCTTTTTAAATTCCTATTATTGTGAATGTTTTATAATACATACAATTAGCTATATGTTTGTGGGATATACAATTTATAAATAACTAAATATACATATATAAGAATGGACACTCATACTGAAAAGAAATCACTGAGCTAGAAAACTATTTCAAAGCAGACATCTATAATAATCCAAGATGCCTGCCTAGCCCAGAGTTGGCACTCAATAAATATGTGTTGATGGCTAACACATTTATGAAAAACATGTTCAACATCACTAATCATTAGAGAAATGCAAATTAAAACCGCAATGAGATATCATTTCACACCTGTCAGAATGGCTATTATCAAAAAGACAAAAGATAGCAAGTGTTGGCAAGGATGTAGAGAAAAGGAAACCCTTGTACACTGTTGGTGGGAATGTAAATTAGTACAGCCATTATGGAAAACTGTACGGATGTTCCTTGAAAAGCTTAAACTAGAATTACCATATGATCCAGCAATCTCACTTCTGGGTACTTACCCAAAAGATTTTAAATCAGTGTGTCAAAAACACATCTGCACTCCAATGTTCATCACAGCACTATTCACAATAATCAAGTTATGAAATCAACCTAAGTGCCCCTCAAGCAATGAATGGATAGAGAAAATGTGGCATATATACATAATGGAATACTATTCAGCCTTTAAAACTAAGGGACTTCTATCACTGGCAACAACATGGATGAATGGTGAACATTATGCTGAGTGAAACAAGCCAGACACAGAAAGACAGATACTGCATGTTTTCCCTTATATGTGGAATCTAAAACAATCAAACACGTAGAAGCAGAGAGTAGAATGGTAGTTATAGAGGCTGGGGTATGGGGGAATGGAGAGATGTTCAAAAGGTACAAAGTCTTAGTTAGAAAGGAGGAATAAGTTTTTTTTTTGAGATCTATTGCACAGCATGTTGAATATAATTAATAATAATGTATTGTACATTTCAAAATTTCTAAGAGAGTAAACTGCAAATGTTCTCTCCACAAAAAATAAGTATTGGAGATAATGTATATGTTAGCTTGATTTAAGTATTTCATATTGTATTCATAAATTATAACATCAATCTGTAAATTGTATCCCATAATATATTGTATTATATTCATACCCCACAAACATATTTAAATTGTCAACTTTCAATAAAATAATTTTTTTTTAAATCTGTGTTGAATGAATGAATGAAACACCTTCCACAGCAGCCACAGCTGTAGAAGAACTGACAAACAGATTAACATCACCAGCTTATGAATATTTCTACTCAAGCTTTCAGAAAAAACATCTGCCAGGCATCATGTCTCTGTCCATCCAATAAAGGAGACTTCATTATAATCAACTTGCAATCATCTATATCAATATTTAGAAGCAGTGGACAGAGAATCCCCCCGGTTAATTCAATTCAACAAGAAATTATTGAGAGAGTCTCATATTTGACACTCAAATGAAGTAAATTAATGCAAAATAAGTTATCTATGGTTTCTGATTTCAAGAAATTTGTGTTTAGCTTTAGAACATGTCTTCAGATTTCCACTTAGAGATGAGTGCAACCTGATGTTCAGAGAATTTGAGCCACTTGGTCATGTGATTTTGTTCTTTTCCAGATGTCTATCTTCTTCATCTCAGCCACATACTTGTCTCCTTGCTAGCCTGTTTTATGCTGGAATTGGACAGCCTCATGGATCAGAATCTTGTAAAGCACTAATCTACATCACACTGGCCATGCTCTTCTTCAAGTTGCAGATCAAGTTTTTCATGCCTCTACCTCAAAAGAGAGTAAGGCAAATGCATTTTTAATAGATCTTCCCTTTCACTTGAGCCTCACTAAAGCTGAAGATAAAACCTCAAACCCTTTCCTTCCATGTCATTTTTCTAGGTTCTGGTTTTCAGGGAGAGTAAGCCAAAAAGACAATGGTGCTGGTAATCTAAAGAAGGCTAAATAACTGGATGTACTCTCTCCTCCAAAATCTGGAAATAAGGCTCATAGCAGAATAGTGTAGATAATTTTAAAACAATTACTCCAACGAAGATTAACAATGTAGGCAGTGAGCTCAGAGGCCTTTAGAAACTCAGAAAATCACCAGGAAAGGGAGACCCCTTCCAAACTGTAACTCACTCCATTGACTGATCTTGGAGGGGACTAATTGGCTTCTGGAATTTCCATTCCGTGGTGATGTCTGGCCCTATGAGATGGCTTCCTTAGGTCATGGTTCCTGCCTGATGTCACATGCTCCTGGATCCTGATTGATGGATTTTCAGAGCCTGCTATGGAAATGCCCGTGGTAGAACTTATCCCTGAACACTCAGCGTCATGAGAAGTTACTCATGATGGCGTGAATAACAGGAAGAGCAATCAAGTTAAAAGATTTCCCTCTCTCCTCAGCTCCCCACTCTCCTGGACAACAAGCCCCCTAGCCACGCGCATGTCCTGCTTGGGAGAACTGGACTGCAGGCACGGTGGGGACTGGTTTTATCTTCTTCTGCAACAGATCAATTTGCAAAGTCAACAAGACTAGTGTTAAGTTCCTTCCTCTAATCACACTGTCTAACATGGGACTGAAAGCTTAGGGGGATCAACTTGATAAGAAATGAAACACTTTGGCACAGAAAAGTCTCTACAAATCTTTATGAAAATGTTTCCATCTTAGCAGAGTAACTCGGGAAGAAACCCAGATGGACTACTACCAAGACATTTGACCTCAAGATAAGAGAAAAAATAGACCATTTATCTTAGCAAACACGTAAAGTACTATATTTCTTTGCTAGTTTTTGCCAACTTTAACTCCTTTACGGAGGTTGCTTCTGCACCCTCTCAAATGGTACGCTGAAAAATCTTGCATAGTGTCTTTTTTTATGGAAAACCAGGGCTTTTAATCAAATAGGACTGAGAGCCCTGCCCACCTACTTACCATCAGTACCGACAAAGATGTAAATGCATCTTCTCAAATGCTGTCTTGAACTTTTAAATCTAAAAAATATCTGAATAAAAACAATTCAAGATTTGTGTACTGGGATTTAAGGCAGGCACAGAGAAATCTGGGTCAAAATTAATCTTAAGCAGAAAAAGAAAATCCAAAACAGACAACTTTCTCCAGAGTTTTTATTTAAAGTGGGCAAAGAAAATATGTCAAAGAAACTGTCATTTCCCAGAAAAGTCATTTCCCAGAAAAGTCCATGACTTCTACATGGATTCTACCAACTGAAATGTCTGCTTAATAGTGACGATGGTGCTATTAGCAGGTGGGTGAGCCAGTTCCCAAGGTACACGTTCACTATCAAGAGCTAAGCACACCTGCTAACAACTCAGTCTCCTACAAACCTGATGTTTCTCCAGCAAAACAAATTAAAATTAAACCTAATGGTACTTCTGGCTGAGGCTCCAGAGGTCCCCAGGAGGGAGGGTGTTTGCGTGGAGGGGGCCTTGGTTCCACAGAATGGTGGCTTATGGACGCTTTTAAGACACTAAAGAAACCCACATGGTAAAAGGCTGGGTGCGGTGGCTCACGCCTGTGATCCCAGCACTCTGAGAGGCTGAGGCGGGCGGATCACAAGGTCAGGAGTTCGAGACCAGCCTGGCCAACATGGTGAAACCCCGTCTCTACTAAAAATACAAAAATTAGCCAGGCATGGTGGCATGCACCTGTAATCCCAGCTACTCGGGAGGCTCAGGCAGGAGAATCACTTGAACTTGGGAGACAGAGGTGCAGTGAGCCAAGATCGCACCATTGTACTCCAGCCTGGGCAATGGAGTGAGACTCCGTCCCAAAAAAAACCAAAAAAAAGAAAGAAAGAGAGAGGAAGGAAGGAAGGAAGGAAGGAAGGAAAGAAGGAAGGAAGGAAGGAAGGAAGGAAGGAAGGAAGGAAGGAAGGAAGGAAGGAAGGAAGGAAAGAAACAAAACCCACATGGTAGCACTAAGCCTAGGCGAGGACCCATCACCTTTAGGCTTAATGGGGTCTTGGCCTCCACAGCACCAGCAGAGGGCCTAGAGGTGAGACAGAAATGGCCGACCAAACACACCCTTCACCCTGTTTACAACAGCCCAACTTCCCTTGCACGTATCCTCAAGGAGAGCAGCAAAACCATCTCTTCAAGCAATGCTTTCCTTTAGTTTATTGTTCTTCTTAATAACCAAGTAATCTGGAGCCAAGTCATTCCTCAGCCTTCCTCCTCCCTGCATCAAACTCAAGCTTCCTCCCACACCCCTCTCTCCAACTAAGATGCACAGCCTGTTCCCATCCCTCCTCTGTCCCTCTCTTCGTCACTGGCCTGTCCCCACCCACCCTGATGTTCTTTTCTCCCTGCCACCCACTTCCCACCCCTTACTACTCTGAGCCCCAGGCCTTGAGATTTTGCTGCCTGGACTGTAAATCTGGCCGAGGCTGAGAAGAGCAAACAAAGGAGCAACTGTGGGAACTGACAGCTCAAGGACTCTGGCATCAGGGTAGGCCCTTGGCTGACTTTCTCAGGAGGTGCTGTCGGGGCTGGTCTTCCCGCCGGCCACCACATACATCTTAAAATTACAGAGGGTGTGAGTGACCCTAAGATGGTTCAGCAGGCACTGGAGGAAGGAGGCCTTTTCCAAGAAATGAAATGTGACAGAAATGAAAGCCCATGGACCACAGACTTGGCAACATTTGACATAAAATGTTATTGCTAAAATCCCTATAATTACCTCCCAAAATGGAACAGAATTGAAAAAAGAAGTAAGAAAGAGAGAAGAAGCGAGGGAGGGAGGGAGGTAAAGAAGGAAAGGGAGAAGGGAAGGAGGGAAGGAAGGGAGGGAGGAAAAGGAAGGAAGGGGTTGGAAAGGGAGAAGGGAAGGAGGGAAGGAAGGGAGGGAGGAAAAGGAAGGAAGGGGTTGGAAAGGAAGAAGGGAGGGAGGGGAAGAATGGAAGGATGGGGGAGAGGGAGGAAGTGAGGGAGGGAGGGGAAGGAAGAAGGGAAGGAAGGTTTACAGGTCTACAATTCTAGCTGTGCGTAGAAAGTGTAGTCATGAAATGACTACTCCAAACAAGCATGAACCTGGGGCTCAATTCCAGGCTCATTTTAAAATCCCAGTTTCAGGGAACAGGACTCAGGTGGGAGCCACGCCTAAAAGCCTTCCACAGAGAGAGTGTGGTTAAGCGCATAGGCGTCGCTATCCTCTTCCTCCAAAAGCAGCTTGTCGATGGTCAACGAGCTGGCGGCTCTTCTGGGGTCTTCCATGTCCTGAAGGACTGGCTCTGGGATAGAGATGGGGAGCTGGACAAACTGGGGCCCAGGTAGGGCTGGGGCCGGAGGCTGGTACTGCAGGGTGGAGGTGGGTAGTGTGGAAAGGGGCTGAGGCCACGGGAAATAGGTGAGGGGTGCCTGGTGCTCTGGGCCCTCCAGCGGGGGCCCCACTGCGGGCGTGGCGGAGCTTCTTGTCTGTGACAGGAAAACACGTGACAGAGGGTTAGCAGCCCCAGGAGACCCATCCACCCATCCTTGCCCTTAGAGGGGTCTCCATCTCCCCCTTCAATTCTGCCCTTTCCTGGTTTCTCACTTCATGGGGCTCCACCTCCTCCTGCTCAAAGTCTTCCCCAAGGGAGGAGCCAGGCTGACTTCAACCGCAGCCCCAATCCTGACCCTTCCTAGCTATATGTCTTTGCTCAGGCCACTTCCTGCTCAGAAGGCTCATTTTTCTCATCTACGAAATAGAATACAAACAGTAATGAACTCATTGGGTTAGGCCAATTAGAGAGGATTTTCCAGGTTTCGTTGAATACAAAATTCATTTCTATTTCAGAGATCTTAAAACATTAAAAATATATGCATCTTAAAATCTGTGAAAATATATGTTAAACCACAGCCTGGAAGCTGTATCTGGAAGGTGGCCACTGTCCTGCCCAGACACAAAGACAGTCCGGGCTCCACACAACAGCTTTGGAGGTCCCCTTGGGCCAACACAGCTCCATCACCTCCCACCCCTCTAGTGGTGGCCAGCATGGGGAGGCCTGGCCATCCCCAGATGGGGGAAGCACTGCTTTGTCAGCAAACTTGGCCTTCCTTCCTGCTGCTGCCTGGTGCCTTCCACATCCTCATCGTCCTCTGTCTCTGAGCTGATCTCCATGGCCATCCCACTTATGGGCACCCCCCATGACCCTCCAAGTGTTAGAGTCCTTCTCCTGAATGCTCTGCGAGTCATACCTCTCACCTGCACGGCGACTGCCCTCACAAACCTCAGATCAGGCCTGCAACAGGGGCGGGACCTGGATTCTTACTTTTCTTTCACACTTGAGGAAAGCAGATAGAAGAGGATGCTCTCTGCATGGATTCATGAGAGGGAGGCCAAAATCTCCCCCTACCATCCCTGTCTCCCCTGTCATATATCCCTCCTACTGTCACTGTGTCTTGACAGCAAACTGTTAGAATCATTTAGGGCAGGGCTTTTCTCAACCTCCTGGGGATCTTGTTAGAACGCAGCTTCTGGCACAGGAAGTCTAGAGTGGGGCCTGGGATTTTGCATGTCTAATCAGATCTCAGGGGGACTCCAATGTGGCCAGTCCAGGGACAAGAGTTTGAGTAGCAAGGCTTTAGGGTGTTTTTGCACAGAATGATAGAGCTGGAAATGGTCTCAGAGGCCTTCCAGCCTCCTGAAATCCGGGCTGAGGTGTACACCCCACCACAGCATAATCACTTCCTCTCCTTTGACTTAAGCCAGTGGTCCCCATCCCAGTGTCCTGAAACCAGACAGAATCCGGGAAAGCCTCATGATTCCCAGCTTTTCAAAAATCCAGATGGAAATTCTACATTTCCCAGTCATAAACCTGTAACTATAGGTTTCTTTGCTCGGGAATACAATTACTTCCACTCAGCACACAGCAGGTCTTATCTCTGCTGATCAGGAGTGTGGACTTACAGCTCTAGCCAGCTTTGATGACTTAATTTACAAAATGGCAAAACAAATAAATCAATTCTTAATGAATACTGTTTGTTTGATATACAGAACCTTTCAAAGCAGAAGGTGGGAATGATGAAAGGGGATAAATAATGAAAGGAATCCTTGGTAATGAAATGGGTGGGAGCCGTGAGTCCTCCACCCACCACCCTCACCCCAGGCCTCTGACATGGAAATGAGTTGCCTGGGAGAGGTGTTGGATTAACTCCTTCTTATCTATCATCATCCAGGCTCCAAAATTGGTTTGCTGGGTAGGCAGGTGGACCTGGGAGGGAAGGGCTTCTGCAGGCCTTTCATAGAAGGTGCTTGGAGGCAGGGGCAGGTGCATCAGGATGACACTGGACCCTGGAGGGAAATGGAAGAGACAAGGTGGACCAAAGCAAGCACCACCATCGAAGGTGGGCTCTGGGACTGCTCAAGGCCCAGCTCTACTTCCCACGGTTTCCCTGGACTGGAGCTGGATACAGCTGTAACCACAGGTCTTTTTGCCCTTGAATACTTGCAAAATTCCCAGTCCTTTAGTCGAACAGGAATCATTAACATAAATCTATTTCCCTTCCTTCCTTCATTCCCGGGGGAAGAGGCTCTTCCTTTCCCATCAAGCCCTTGGTTAATGTTAGCAGATTTTGATATGATGATAACTAACATATATTAGTGGTTTCTGTATGCCAGACACTGTGCTAAGCCCTCCACACTCATTATTTCATTTGATCCTGACAACGACCCTTTTCTTGGTATTCCCATTTTACAGATGAGGACACTGAGGCTCAGAGAGTTTTAAGTCACTAAACCCAGAGTCACATAGCTAGTAAGTGAAGGGACAGGGATTTGAACAAGGCAATCTGACAGTAGAGACAGAACTTTAAAAAATTACCCCACACGTGGGTCTGACACCATCAAAAATATCACCTGTTGTTCAGCCTAGAAATCTTCTGTTAAACCCCATTATTAAGTGAACAATCACTCCCTAAGTTATCTGAATAGAAATGAAAGGCTAGTTCCAACACAAGACCCCATGTAGATCTCGCCTGGTGCCACATTCACTAAAAACTTCAACTCAGAACCAAGACTCACTGCTTGCAGGGAAGCTGGGGAGATTTAGAACAGGGAATCAGAGAAGACCTCCCCAGTCCTGAGGAGCAGAAAGTATGACGAGAGAGGCTGCGAGACATCTTTGTGGAAGTTATCTCAGGAAATGAGAATCAGAGCAGGCCTCCATGGAGACCAAGGCGAGCTCTGATGACCTGATTATCTTGAGAATCAATAGCAAGGAAGATCAGGATCGAGAAGTCAGCTCTGGTTATAAAAGGGTGCACTCAGCATGGGCGGGTGCAGTCCTGCCTTTGTGTGACATACCGTGACATTGGTGATGAGTGGCGGAGAGGCATAGGTCAACACTGAGGAGGGCCCCACCACCGTGTAGCTGGGGCACACGGGCTGCACATACATGTCAGCTGAGTAGGGGCAGCTGACAGCTTCATGGGGCACATACTCGGTGTAAGGTGTCCATGGGGCCAGGGGCTGCAGGGTGGCCGGGGTGGGCTGGGAGAGCCAGCCGGCACACAGGGCAGCCTCCTCTGTCACTGCAGACACAGAACCTTCCATGTCCAGGCAGGAAGGACCTGTGGGAAGAAGGAAATTACAGAACTTCAGATGCCACCCAGATGAGAGGCCTGGGGGCCACCAGGGCTACGGGGCACTCTTACCCACTGTGGTGTAGGTCGCCAGGGGCTGATGGGGCAGCACCACCTAGAGGGGAGAGGAGAAGACCAGGGTCAATGTTTAGCCCTCGTCAACCGGCCCTGTGCAGAGAACTTGCCCAGAGGGCCTCAGGGCAGGAGAATAGAAGATAGGAATCTCTCTGGTTAGAACAAAACATCCCACCCCGTATCCCAACCATCACCACCTACACTTGAGAGATTTGCGTTTCTATTTAGCAGGAAGTCTGTGCGCTCAGGGAGCTGGTGTCTTCTTCTTCTCAGGGGGGGCCCCCAACTCACACCAGGGTATGCAAGTCATTCGCTCACTCAGGCCTTGACAGTAGCTGTGTTCGGTGGGCCAGCTGAGCCGGCCCTGATCCCTCATCCCAGTTGCTCCACCCTAGCTCTATCCCTGGCAGCCTCCACCAAGGGACCTGCGCTCCTTCCTGCCTGATCCTTTTGGTCACCTCCCAAGCCATCTGCCTGCGCGCACACACATTCTCACACAAACACACACACTCTCTCACACACGTACTCTCTCACACACTCTCACACTCTCACACTCACACTCTCACACACTCACACACTCTCTCACACACACTCCCTCACACACATACTCTCTCACACACACGCTCACACTCTCACACTCACTCTCACACACACACACTCTCTCACACACATACATTCTCACACACTGACACATACACATTCTCTCTCACACTATCACACACTCACACACGCCATCACACACAAACACATACACACTCACATGCATACACTCACACACTCACACTCCCTCACACACACATACACTCTCACACACTGACGCAGATACACATTCTCTCTCACACTATCACACTCTCACACACTCTATCACACACAAACACATACACACACGCATACACATACTCACACACACATACACTCTCACACTATCCCTGACACACACATTCTCTTTCACACACACACACTCACACTCTCACACACACAAACTCTCACCGCCGTAGGTGCAGGTGCTGCCCCACTGCTGGCGTGGCCTCGCTTCCTCCTCAGCAGTTCCTTCACTGGCTCCTTCACACGGACGCCCTGGTATGGCCGGGCCGGGGCTGGGGCTTGCTCCGGAGCTGTGGCTGTGAAAAGCAATGTCCCTGGAGCCCATGGTCCTTCTCAGACGAGCCCCCACCCCAAAGTGCTCATTTCCTCATGGATCTGCCTGCTCCCCTAAGTCGTGCTTGAACACGGAGAACCACGTGACACTTCCTAGAATGCCTCTCCAGTATTGTCACTCCTCCTACTCCCAAACCTTCTGTGGGTCCCCTGCACCCAGACAACGAAGGCCCAGCTCCTTGTCCTAGAATTGGACAGTCTTCAGAATGAGATCCGAACCCATTTTTCTCACCACTTTGCACACTCCCTACTACACAAACCCTGTCTCCAACCAGAAGGTCTGTCTGTGTTCTCTACGTGTTCCTGCGTGTCTCACCTCCTCATCTGTGGTTGAGGTTTTCCGTGGTCAGAATTCCCTCTCACTTCTTCCAACCTCTTGATTCTTGCTGACACAAGACAAATGCAACCCTCCTGCCTGACCCCTGCAGCCTGAGTAATTTCCACATTCTACAGCTTCTCAAACATTTCCAGATCTGATTAGTATTCATCATAGGTGGCAGTAGAGGACAGCCATAAGAGCAGGGACTCTGAGCCAGATAGCACAGGCCTCAAATCCTGCCCCTGCCACCACCTTCCTGTGTGATCCTGGGCAAGTTACTAAACCTCTCTGTGCCTCTTAATCTTCAGTTTCTTTATCAAAGGAATATTGAGAGAAGTCACTTGATGTGGGAAATTGGTAGAACAGTATATGCCTCAAATAAATTCAGGTACAGGGTAGGCATTCAAAAAAATTCAGTCTATTATGTAATAGTTATTCTTTTTGATGGAAGTGTCTTATACCCACAACTAGATTATAAACGTCTCAAGGTGAGTTATTGTACCTTATTTCTCTATGTCTTCCCAGTGGCATGCCCATGCGTTTTAAGCTCAGTTGATACTTATTGATTAATCGATTGGGTGATTCTTTAAGACATGCTGCCATTTGTCTTCCCTTCACCTCTCCTACACCTTTAGGATTGAGGCAAGTGGCTCCCAGGTTCTCAGTGACTTTCAGGGCATGGGACAATTACCCAAGGGTGATCCTTGTACCCTGGGGCCAGACAGTGTCCACCTGCTGCTGAGGGAAGGTTTCCTTCCCCTCTTGCCATCAAAGCCAGGAAACCAAAGCATTGACCCAAATAAGAGCCAGTGCATAGGGCCCTTCCTGGCCTGGGAGAGCAACTGAAAAGCAGCCGTGGCTGGGAAGCAACAAGCTGCCCACCTAGACAGCCTGTGGCCTAGGGATCCTGGGCTCTCAGAGAGCAGGCCTGGGTCAGCCAAGAAACACTAGACCTTAGGACTTCCACAGGGAGCCCATTATTATCCACCGATAAGGGCCCCAGGGACCTGGGCTCTGAATCAAAGTCCCGGAAGCCTAGGTATCTGTTAAACCCGGATCTGCAGCACTGCCCTGGTTGAACTTTGCTCAGTAAATACCCAGCTGATAAGGTCCCATGCCTGACTCGGCACCAGACCTCCCTCCAGGCTCCAGCCACGAGCAAGGCCTGGCCTTGAAGCCCAGAAGGCAGAGAGAAGCTTGGGCAGAGGCAACAGGAAGTGGGAAATGAGTCCCAGGGGCAGATGTTGGGGGTCAGGAATCCCAGTATCTCAGGTGGACTTTAGACCCATCCTCCAAGGTCCCTCAGCTGGCCAGGTAGCAAATCAACCAGGAAATGATGCAATATACAGGTACAGGTCCTGCTCCAGGAAAGTCTGATTCTAGGGGGCTGATATAGGCCTAGGAATCTGTATGTATAAAAATCTCTCTTGGGAGGCTGAGGTGAGTGGATCACAAGGTCAGGAGATTAAGACCATCCTGACCAACATGGTGAAAGCCCATATTTACTGAAATACAAAAAATTAGCCAGATGTGGTGGCAGGCACCTGTAATCCCAGTTACTTGGGAGGCTGACTCAGGGGAATGGCTTGAACCTGGGAGGTGGAGGTTGCAGTGAGCTGAGATCACACCATTGCACTCCAGCCTGGCAACAGAGAGAGACTCTGTCTCAAAAAAAAAAAAAAAAAATCTGTCCAGTATTTCTGAAAATATACTGGGATTACAACTGCTGATAATCCATTCCTAATTTAACATAAGAATCTCCCGATAACATCCCAATAGGAGATTCATTATCCTTATTTTAACTTCCCCTGTCTGAACAAGAGATCTCTACTGGTATTCATTCATTTTTTCAAATATTTCTAGTGCCTAGGAGTACAGCACTGCACAGGACCCATGGAGCCCCCGCCCACGTGGATCTTGCAGTCTAACGGGGAAGACAAGCAACAAAAGTTACCAGCAGATGAATGTGTCACAACTTGTGAAATTCAGGCTGCTATAGGAGTGTCTAGCAGGGGAACCAGCCTGGTTCTGTGCCCCGGGGCCACCTGTGCGCCTCCACCTTTGCTCTGAACACCAATGACAGTAGACTTGAGAACCACACATACCTGTATTCAAATCTGGGCTGTCACTTACTGGTGGAAAGTTCTTAGATTTATTTAATGTCTCTGGGCTTCAATTTCCTCATTTGTAAAACGGGAATAATAATTCTTCTCTCACACAGTGGTTGTGAGGATTAACCAAAATAATACATGGGGAGCTCCAAAGGCCATGTCTGGCATAGGGTAGATGCTCAATACATGTGGTTTTAATTATCTTCCTTCTGGCCATTTCCACCTTCCTTTCGGGGGGATATTATCATGTCAGACAGCTCTTCCTCCTACTGAGGCTAACTTATGGTAACACATGCCATATTTCCCTCCATTACCTTCTAATGAAACTCACATTTCTTAGTCCATTTACAGCTGTCTCATCTATAAAGTGAAGATCATAATGGTATGTATGTTGTAGGGTAATTTAAGATTTGCATGTGAAGTGCTTGGAATAGAGTTTGGCACAGAGCATTTAATACATGTGAGCTCCGATTATCATGAGTATTAGTAGTAATATTCCCTTCCGAAATCTGAGGACAGATACCAGGTGTCCCCCTAGGTCTGAAGGGACTTCTCATTCCTTCAGCTATTTCTAAATGACATGGTTTTAGTCTCCCCACCTTCCTTCTGGGTGAGTCACTCTTGCACAAGTTCCATTTGCCACTTTCCCTACTGCTGGGTGGTGCCCAGCGATGACCACAGGCCCCAGGTACAATCTGACGTGTCAGCGAACAGGGCACCTGCCCTGCCACACTCAACTCACTCTTTCTCAGGGTCACCCCATGGCCACGTCAGCATTTTTGGTTTTAATCTTTATGAGTACATAGTCAGTGTATATATTTATGGGGTACACAAGATATTTGGATACGGGCATGCAATGCACACTCATCACATCAGGGTAAATAAAGCACCCATCCCCTCAAGCATTTGTCACCTCTTTGTGTTATAAACAATCCAATTATACTTTTAGTTATTTTTAAGTGTACCATAAATTATTGTTGACTATAGTCACCCTGTTGTGCTGTCAAATACTGGATCATATTCATTCTATCTAACTATATTTTTGTACCCATAAGTCATCCCCACTCCCACTCCCCCTGCTGCCCTTCCCAGCTTCTGGTAGCCATCATTCTACTCTCTATCTCCATGAATTCAATTGTGTGAATTTGTAGTTCCCACATACAAGTGAGAACATGAGAATTGTGTCTTTCTGTGCCTGGCTTATTCCCTTCACATAACGTCCTCCAGTTCCATCCATGCTGTTGCACACGTCAGTTCTGTTCACAACCATATCCTGCAGTTCACACTTGTCTTCAGTTGGGTTCTCAGCTATTCCTTAGGCATAAAGTACAGTCTGAGGCATTGTGTACTCAAGAGAAATTTGGGAAATGGGGTTACTTGGGGGGGTCTGAGCACTGTGGTCACCCTCTTAATTCAGCTGAGGAACAAGAAGGGCTCAATCCCATATGCACATATCTCAGACCATCTCAGAGACAGGTGTATGGCTCAGCCCCCTCTTGTTTGCATGTACACTTCTGAGGAAGGGCTCAGAGGCCTCCTGGTCCCAGTCCCTCCCAGGAAGTGGACACACCACACACTTGGCTGGAAAGGGACCAGCTGGCCACTTCCAGGATCTTGTCAAGAGAGGGCTTCCCGCCTCCTACTGTTTCTAAGTCGATGAACAAAGAGCGCTTGGTGGAGGTGCTGTGGACAGAGAGTATCACCCTCTAATGTCTGGACTTCCTTGGAACTCAGTGTCAACAGGTGTGCCCTGGCACAACAGACCATATGTGGGGCAATCTCTAAGTCCCCACCTCTTCCTATTGACGTTGCAGGACTCCCACAGCTCCCACGGGTCTCCTGACTGCCCGGCACGTGTCCACAGCCAGCTGCCAAGGAATTCTGTAACTGACTCCAGCTGAGCAGGTAAGAAGGAGGGTGCTTCTCATAGTGACTTTGCAAAGTGCTCATGAAATATCAGAATCTGAAGCTTCAAGACGATTCCAAAGGAGCCCAACGGCCAAGTGTTTTTGCAAGTTGAAACTTGCAGTTGGTACCTTTCACACCAACCTATGTGCAGCAACAATAAACATTTTTAATTCCACAGTAAACACTGAGCTCCCTACTGCCACCAGCATGAGAACTGAGCCCACAAATACAAATTTGGGAGAGGAAAAAAGTTTGTCTAAAATCACGGTTGCCTCACCTTGGGGATCCCGGATCCCTGAATTAACTTCAAAACAACTAAACTGGAATACGTAAAAGAAATATTTTTAACTTTTTAAATAATTTCTTAAAATCATAATAAAAAATCCAAAGAAAATAAACCAGGAGATTGAAATAATAAGATATCAGCAGAGAAGATAGAAGCCCAATTTCCCACAGTAGAGTTCTCCAGAGATTTTAATAAGCTCCCGATTAACTTGTAACTCCAAGTAGTTCACCCTCAAAGCCTGAAGCTTTCTCACCATTAATCCTGTGGTCTGAGGGCCTTTTAAGTCTCCCGTAGGTATCCAAGAGTCCATCACGGAGGAAAATCTTTCCACCTTAGCATGAGCCTCTCGGCCCTGATTGGAGATCTCCTTTTTCGGGCTGAGAAGTTCACCATATTGCCTTTCTATACCACTGGAAGTCAAGCCAATGGAGTTTGAGGGGGAAAAAAAATCATTTACAGAAAAACCATTAATTTGGCCCCTATAAGGGCTTCCCTTTTCCAAAATGAGCAATGAAACAAAATCTGTAGGTACAAAAAGTCAGCAGAGACTATTTCAGTTCCCCCTGCCACACACCCAGACATGCTCCACATCACAAAAATAAGAGTCCTGCAGCTGCTGTTCCACTGGAGAGTGCAGAGTATGAAAACTCAAGCAAACTGGTCACCTCAGTCAGCACCCTGGCTGCATGTGGACATTTGTGCCTGCTTTGCACCAAGCTAGGAACATATGGAGTGTACTGATTTAAATAAATATGGTGCTCCAGTTCCTTGATGAAAGTATAATAAAATATCACCCAGGAAACATGCAAAATTGTCAGCACTTGTTTATTTAATGGCACCTTGCAAACCACGTTCACACCACAGTGCAGGAGCTGCTCATCTAAGGAGCTAAGACCCTCCTGATGGCTCTGAGCTAAGCAAACACCTAGGGCCTGGTCAATGGTAACTTCTCTTCTGGGGCAACTTTAAGAAAGCCCATGTCAGAAGCCATTCATTCCCTAAAACAGCCTCCAAGGCACCCTTGAGAGAAGGTCCTTCTCCCAGCCATTGTCCTCTTGTGACGTCCCATGAGCTGCCAGGGCCAGGCACCAGGGTGGATAACAGTTAAGAGAGTTGCTCTAATGGCGAGGTGGGCTGCAGGATAAGCATGCATTTCCGTCCCACCATCTCACCTACTGAGAGTACTCTCCATTCACAACTGACTGGTTGAACCTCAAATCAGCAAGGCAGCACCACAGTGAGGGATGGAGCAGAGGAGAGGAATGTACCTTTCCTTATTTGATCAAGGCTTGAATCTGGAATTGCCCATCTGATCTAGCATAGGAATAACATGGGAATGATCTGTAGTTAGGCAGCTGGAGGAGGCAAATGGATATCCAGTTGTTTGTTCCTTGATTTAAGCAATATCTAATTTTGGCTTTTCAAGACCAAAGACAGCCTTATGAAAAACAGAACTTTTCCTGAGACCATCATGTAAGGACCACTTTCTTGGAGGATGGACTCTTCAGACCCCAGCATTAGTTTTGTATTTGGGGTCAGACCCAACTGCCCAAGTTCCAAGGCTCATGGTGGCCTGGGGTGCAGCCTATGTGAGTGAGGGTAGCCCTAACAATGGATTCATGAGAGACATCACGGCCGGTCAAGAGGAGCTTTCTGGATAATGCTCAGCTTTGCTAACAAATGGCCCTCATGATGCAAGGGATTCCTTTATGAAGGACATTGGAGAAAGGGAGTGGTTGTTAGTATCAAGCCTGAGAAAGAAGTCACTTGGTCAATTTTTTAGGAACTTACCTAAACAACAGGTAAACCTTGTAGCCGTACAAGGCCATTTTGCAAGATAAAAGCCCCTAGCCCAGAAGGACATGTGACACACCGTTAATAGTGACACACTGTTGATCACTCTAAGTAATCAATGGAAATATCTTCTGCTGTTGAATCTTCAAGGAAAAAAAACCCCACTGAGAAGAAATACGATTTTCTCTTTATTTGTAGCAAAACTAATCAAACAATAGGAATTCAAGACTATGGCCAACAAACTTGCCCTGGCTTCTAACTGAAAATGAAGTCACAATAGTCGTTGTCACCTTTCACTTTCGTATAAAGAATTCTTTACATTTTCATAGAAGAATTAGCTGGGTGCGGTGGCAGGAGCCTGTAATCTCAGCTACTCAGGAGGCTGAGGCAGGAGAATCACCTGAACCCAGGAGGCAGAGGTTGCAGTGAGCCAAGATCGCACCATTGCACTCCAGCCTGGGCGACAGGAGCGAAACTCCATCTCAAAAAAAAAAAAAAAAGAATTGTTTACATTTTCATGCAAAGAATTTTGTTTGTACTTGTGGCCCAAGGACTTCTAGAGAACATTAACTCCAGTTGGCTAAAGGATTATTCACATCTTTAACTGGAACACTAATGTGGGTGCTTTTCTTACAGTTACGGTCTGAGTCAAAGTTTTCAAATTTGTTCTTTCCATTCATGGACAATGGCTGATTTTTTTTCCAAACAGGAAGAAAGAAGTTGGGTTTTGGCCAAAGGTTGGACTTGACACACTACAGAAAGGCTTTCCCGCTCATTTACACTATATTTTAGTTGACCTTTGTTGTTGGTGTTTAATGTAGGCCAACAAAGAAATCCCATATGCATGTAAACGCAGACTTTCCATTCACTAACATTTGAACTGAGAGGATCCTGCAGCCAGGAATTATAAACACATCACTCATATATCCTGCAATCTGGATGATACCCAGGACAGAGGAGAAAAAGACAGCAGGGGGAGAAAACTGACGTTAAAGGTGGTTGGAAGACATGAGAGAAAGGGGAACCATGATTGATGTACAATTTGATGTTGCCTGCAAGGCTGCTGGACAGCTGAAGAATAAGTTGTAATATCTTGCTTGGTAGGCTGGGATGTCTGTATCAGATCACAAAGATGGTGGCTGACCTCACGTTCTCTGGTCTGGGTGGAGAAGATAAAGGGACAGTGACATGTGCCCTCCCTGTGTCCTCATTCTAAAAGACTATTCCTTCCCATCAGCCCTGAAGATCTCACTCATCAACCATAGGCAGGTCCCCTGGGAAAGGCTGAACCAGGGTCCACGGTCACTGAGAATTTCCCCAGACCTAGGCAAGCCACCAGGACCTAGAAAGAAGAGCCCTGACAACGAGACCCAGGGGACACTCTTAAAGTATGTTGGAGGTGACAGCAGAGGGTTTTTCAGTCTTAGAGCCACAGAGCCCCAGACAAAAGTGGTCTAGGGGCCAAGTGATTCCTACTTAACAGAGGTCATAGCCAACAGGAAATGGACCCCCAGGGCAGTCACAGGGATCCCTCTAGGTTGTATTAGGCTGAAGTCAAGATCCCACTGACCCACAGAAGACCACCCTTCTCCACCAAGCTCAGACCTGAGCATTTACACCCTAAGGCCTCAGGATTACTTGGATTGTCCCTAAACTTCTGGGTGTCCCGCCCCACAACCGCAGGTAGGGGCAGCCAAAGGCCTTGAGTGCGAGAGGTTTCCACGTGGCAGTGGCCCTCTAACCCTTCCCTCACAGGCAAGACTCCCAGGGATCCTTTCCCCGGCACTCTCCGCACCTTCCACACCACACCTCCCTTCCTCTGAGCCTCCTGCAGATCAGGTCAAGCACAGAAGGCTGTTTGTACCCATTCTCTGCTCCCAGGGACTCAGGTCTGTTGAATGAATGGGTGGTAAAGGTCCATGTGTTTCCTGGTCACATTCTTAACTCTTGGGAGCTCTGAAATCACCACACTCCTATTTGCATGATGTTCCATAGAGATTTTGACACTAATGATTGCAGATAGAGGCTCAGTACAACGTATTCCTCTTCCGCTCCCTTCCTTTACCGAGAAGGAAATTGATGCTCAGAGATATTCAGTGACTTGCCAAACGACTATACTTGTAAGTAACAGTGTCCTCAACCAAGCCCAGGACCTGTGATTCCAAGTACACTCCACTTCTGCCTCACTGCCTGCCTTGTCTCTGCCCGAGCAAGTCCCATTTTTTTCTCTGAGCGACACTGCAGGTTAATCATCAAATGATTCCTGGCCCCATCCTAACCCTCCTTGCTCCAGTTAAAGTCTGGGCTTGGACTACCCTGATCCAGTCTCCCTCAATTGCCAATTTCCCCAAGAAATGGTGTTGCCCAGCCAAGAGAGGAGAGATCTGTCCACGAGAACCTTGTCAGCAGCCTTCTCACATGAGGAGTGACGAGAACTGAGAGACCCAAACAATTCCCCGCAAGGTTTTATTTTTGGTATTTTTCGACTGAAATGACAGCGGACAGGTCCACCTGAGAAAGCAGCTGCATCTGCCTGCCTTTTACAGAAACTGGGGTCACCGGAGCAGAAAGGGTTCGCAGATACACTGTGTCCCAGGGTAGGGGACAAGACCAAGAGACCCCTGGCAGAGCATTCACTGAACAAGTACTTGCTGAGCAGAACAGATGAGGTTCTTGCCCTCTTGGAGCTTACAGTCTAGTCTAGTGGGGTACACAGACTTTAATCAAATAATTGCACAAACAAATTTAGAATTACAAACTGTGACAGAGCTGCATCTGCCTCAGAACTGAAGTGGTTCTGGTTTGTTTGGTTGGTTTCCACCTACACCTGGTTTAGTAAGGCTTGAACAAGCAGCAAACTGGGGCCCCAAGTCTGTAGAGACTGTATAGAGGTGAGTGCAAGAGATATGACTGTTGGATCTCCAGTGCAGAGGGGCTGGTCTGGGGCCAGAGACTCAGGCCTCACCATGAGCAGACCCTTGTCCCAGACACTCTAAGTGGCAGGTCCTGAGTGAATCCTAAGGGTGTGTCACTAGCTGGTCCTATCCTATCTTGGCTGATTGGCCCACCAAGAGAAGAGGAGTCCAGGGAACTCAGATTCTAAGATGGAAATCAGTAGGTTTCAGAGCTTCCATACTGAGTCTCGAGCGTGACTTGCTAAGATCCAAATCTGCAGAGGCTTTTGTGCCAGGCTAGAGCTACCCTTGATGAAGTCATAACCTGCCTCCATCTAAGCGAGGGCCCTCTTCAACTGGGAGAGGAAGAAGGACCCAGTGCAACACTAAAATCCTTGTCATTGAGAAGCAGTGTGGTACAGTTTGGGACTAGACCTAGTTTAGAAAGCCTGTTATGTTGCTTATCACCTGTGTGACTCTTGGCAAATCACTTAACCATTGTGTGCCTCAGTTTCCCCATCTGCAAAATGAAAGTAATAATATCCATCTCAAAGGGTAATCATGAGAACTGTATGAGATTAACACAATGAAACACCTGGTGCATAATGAGCTCCCAACAAATAGCCCTTTCTCCTTGATCTCAGCCAACAATCCATGGCCCATCTGTCATCGGAGAAGTAGCCTTGGTACAGTGACCCTAACTTGCCTCCATTCAGCTACATCCTGATACTGAATGTCTCTGTCTTCAGCATACCCAGGGCCTTCTGTTGCCTGCCAGGCCTGTCTCTACCTGCCTTCATTATGCTCCTGGAATTAATCCCTCAGGTACCTGGAATCCCCAGGCAGCAAGATACCCCTACTTAGGAGACAGGGAAGCCAATGATGCTGCAGAGGGGCTGGTAAAAGACTTCGCTTTCGTACAGCAATCCTAGACAGGAGACGCCAAACCCTGGAAATGGCCTTTTATAAAGATACGATGAGCTGAGCAGAAGACTTCTTTCTTTAGAAGTCACCAGAGGATTAGGTTTGCAGCAGATGTGAGTTTTTAAAGTATGACTTCAGAAATGAAAAACCTTGGATATTTTTGAATGGCAGCGATTAGGTTGCAGACAGAGTATGATGGCATTCCCTTGTCCTGACCTCAGATGCAGCCCCTTAAGGAACCTATATGTATCTCCTAAAGGCCAGGGACACAGCCATGGCTGAGGCTATGTTGTAGATACTCCCTCAAGGGGGCTAGAAACCTAGGAGCACATATCGCATATGGAATAGAAATGTGGCAATGGGCAAGGGAGGGCTCTTCAGTGCCCATAGATGGGAGTTTTATCACCTTGTAGAGCAAAGCAGATTCCTGGATTACATATTTGGCATTGCCTCAAATTTGCTGAGAGTGGGGCATCAGGAAAGAGAAAGGGCCTAAACAGAGCTCCAGACCTACCGTCCCAGACCAGAAGGTGAATGAGGAGAGTCCACCTACCCCAGTGGCCACCCCAATTCTATAGCAAG
This sequence comes from Homo sapiens, assembly GCF_000001405.40. Taxonomy (NCBI): domain Eukaryota; kingdom Metazoa; phylum Chordata; class Mammalia; order Primates; family Hominidae; genus Homo; species Homo sapiens. The sequence goes on from NC_000011.10 coordinate 111,369,774, forward strand.
GCAGTACCATAGTGAGGGATGGAGCAGAGGAAAGGGCTGTCTCTTTCCTTATTAGATCAAGGCTTGAATCTAGAATTGCCCATCTGAGCTAGGATGGGAATAACCTGTGGTTAGGCAGCTGGAGGAGGCAGATGGATATCCGATTTTTTGTTCCTTGATTCAAGCAATATCTAATTTTGGCTTTTCAAGACTAAAGAGCTTTATTGAAAAAACTTAACTTTTCCTGAGACCATCATGTAAGGACCACTTTCTTGGAGAATGGACTCTTCAGATCCCAGCATTAGTTTTGTATTTGGGGTCAGACCCAACTGCCCAAGTTCCAAGGCTCATGGTGGCCTGGGGTGTAGCCTTCGCAAGTGAGAGTAGCCCTAACAATGGATTCATGAGAAACATCACAGCTGGTCAAGAGGAGCTTTCTGGATAATGTTCAGCTTTGCTAACCAATGGCCCTCATGATGCAAGGGATTCCTTTATGAAAGACATTGGAGAAGGGGAGTGGTTGTTAGTATCAAGCCTGAGAAAGAAGTCACTTGGTCAGTTTTTTAGGAATTTACCTCCTCTTTATTCACAAGAGACCCACAAAGACCGAACACATAGTCTTCACAGCTTCAGAGCTTGATGAAGACCAATGCAATATGTTTCACAGCCACTCACTGCCACTCTCTGTGACCAGCTAGCAGGGATCTTGCTAAAAAGAGGGGTAGATTGGCCAGGTCAGGGGGATCCAGCTGTGACCTGAAGAACCCTGGAATATAGTTATGGTGCCTGCAGGTGCCAACAGAGTGAGAATGGCAGGGAAATGTGGGGGAACATGAGCAATCAGAGCTCCAGATAGCCCCCCAAAACCGCACGATTTTTATTCTTATACTGAAGTTCTACAGTAGATTTGGTTTGAATAAGGGAGTTTGTAGCAAAAATGTTATAGACATCAGCCTAAAATCCTTGGATTTTCTTCCCAGTGCTAATATTTTATGTCCTAAGATGCATCTGCACACCCCAGGATCTAAGCAAGAAGTCTGATTACCATCTATTCTTCAGGATCCAAACCCAATGCTATATGTTCCATGACACCTTCCCTGATTCCATCATCCCCACCTTCTGCTGAAGATAATTTATTTCATTGGTTGGTTTCTCTAGCTGGAAATAATTCCATTATTGGATGGATGCTTAGAGGGATGCATACCTGCATGGGATGATGAATAGATGGTTGATTTTCCTTCTATACCTTTCCTTCCTGAATTGGTGTACCTTTCATCCAACATTAAGACTTGCTTCTATTGTCAACTCTCTTGCCTCTCTTCTTTTCTTTCCTTTCTGTCACCTCAGCGTTTCCTAGTCCTGGAAAGTTTTAACAATGTCCTGTATGCTTGCTGTCTTCCAATGAAATGTATGGCTCTTTCTAGTGCATTAAAAAGTAATTCAGTTTAAGACTGGTCAAATCCTTTTTTGTCCCAGCACCTGGTCTGAGAATGATTCTGGTTTATAATCTTTTGGTGACCAGCTCTTCCCAGAAAGTGGTACTAATGAAACTGTTACTAAGAAAAGGAGGCCACACATTGTTGTTTCAGTTTTCGGTATCTATTTCTTGCATATTTCAAGTGTCATTCTGCTCACAACTAGATTACAAACACTCAGTCCAATCTTGTGAATTAAAAAAACAAACACGAGTTTGCCAGTCAGTACAAGTCTTGCCGCCACCCTACCTTACAAGGTCGGTAGGAAAATTGTGACGCGAGTTCCAAGTTTGATCACAGAATGGTCAGATTAATCATCAGAAGTAACCATGATCACTAACCCACCACAAGTTACAAGACTGGAGATGTGTGCCCTGCCATTTCACAAGAAATTCAGAACTCAGAGGACATACAAATTGTAATCTAAAATTAGCCGGCATAACCTTTGTCTTCAGAGGTAGATTGTGACAGAATGGGAAAATAATAATAGCAACTAATATTTATTGAGTGTTTACTTAATGCCAAGCACAGCAGAAAACCCCTACCACAATCCCATAAGGTAAGAGTCACACCTCTGGTGCATGCCTATAAAGAAATGGTGGCAGAAGGAGGAAAAAGGACTTACCAGTGTCACACAACCAGTAAGGCATAAACCTAGGACTCAAACTCAGATCTGCCTGCCCCAGAAGCTAAGCTTTAACTACTAAAGGCAAAGAAAGAACAGAAGTGTCACTCTCTAACTCAAAGTTAAACCCTACTCTCTACATCTTACTCTCCACACCCCACCTAAACACACACAAATACACACACACACACACACACACACACACACACACACACACAGAGAGAGAGAGAGAGAGAGATGAAGGAGCAGCCTGACTTTTCCAAAGTCTAGAAAGTTCAGAATCAAGGAAGTGCCACGGAGGCAGAAGCCTTGGCTCCCAGCAAAGGCTGCCTGCTACATCGGGCTCTCTACTAAAACTGCCCAGAAAAGAGTAGGGCTGGGTTATTTGGGGGCAAACTCTAGATCCTTCTCTGAGCCTTTTATTATAGCTAAAATATCTTCAAACTGTCCCGCAGAAGAGGCCCAGCAGCAAGCAGAGACCTTGTTTTCTTCAACAGGTAAGCTGAAGTAAATGTTAAACAAAATGGGTTCTCATGGTATGAACTACCATCTGCAGGGCTTTTTTTTGCCATTGGTCCCTTATCTGACATGGAAGGCCTGTGCTTTTACCAAGAATACTTCCTAAGCAATGTGAGAGAGACAGGCACTGTGGCAGGGAGACAGGACAGCTTAGCAGGCCAACACTTGAGGTCTGTTCACATGAATTTTGCTTTGTAGGAGAGTTACTAACTTAATCTTCATGATTCAGTTTCCTCATCTATAAAATGAACCTTACAACAGAATCTGCTTCATGGAGTTTTTATGAGGATTAAATGAGATAATGCACTCAAAGCATAGTGAAGACTGGCAGTTGTTACACTCAACATCCACCTTCCCTTCCTTTCTAACAGCCCCTGCATTATGGAGGGTGGCAATGTGCCCAGCTAAACAATTATGCTATTCTCCCTTGTAGATAGAAATGGCATCAGATGTCAGCAGAAGTTGTGTGTTGGGAGGGAGAAGGGGCAGCGATCAGGAGGCATGATCTTTTGCTATTCCTTTTTCTTCTTCTTGCTTGTCCGAAGATGTGATGCTCACAGATGTAATGGCTGGAGTTACAATGGCAACTATGAAAAAAATCTTGAGGACAAGAGCCACATGCCAAGGATGGCAGATTAGAAAGGAAAAAGGAGCCTGGGATGATGTTGGCACTGTGAGACTCCATAAGATCCTGAACACCCTACTGTGGACTTCTTTTATGTGAGAGAAAGGACACCACTGTCTTACTTAAATCTACGTTATTTCAGGTCTCTTCACCAGCAATCAAATGTAATCCAAACTGATCCAACAGAACATTTTGTATACTGCATAGCACCAAATAAGTTCTCCATTCCCCAGAGATGTTTGTTTATCACTGTTAAAAGGATTGAGCATTCTTCTGCTCTTAGCAATGCCCAAAGGTTTATTAGAAGCCATCCATTTCAACCTCCAGGTCAGCAGTTCTCAGCCTTCTCACCTGGGAGCCATTTGCAGCTCTCCTTCAATGCCCAAGACAATTTAATCAGAAGCTCTAGGTTGAGATCCAGGCATCTGTGTTTCTTAAATCTCCTCAGAGCATTCCAGTGTGTAGCCAAGGTATAAAAACACTGCCCTAAGCAGATAGAAGAATCCCATCTATTAAATTAAGGACTTCTGATTTTAAACTTTAATTTATTTTTTGTATAAACACTCAGGAAAACTCAGCAATTAGAGCTGGCAAAGAACCTCAATCAAGTTCAATCTCCAGGAAAATTAGCCAGGAAAAGGCAAGTTCCATTCCAGCACTAGAACATTTGAGACCCAAAGTGGTTAGGTGGCTTGCTTAAGGTCTCTCATCTAATTATCTGTAGAATGGAAAGTAAAACCCCTGGCTCCTGCCTACAAGTGCTTGTCCCCAGTATCACACAAGCGGGACAAGAGGGTTTCAGAGAAGGCCTCCCCATCCCAGGTAGGCTCACTTAGTTGTCAAGCAGTTCTACAAAAATGAGAAAACTAGAGTGTTATTAAGCATTTCATAAAGGTGAGAATTATGTTAATGTTCATAATCAATTAGCCAACTTTGGTTTGGTTGGCTCAGAATAAGAAATAGGTGGACATCTTCATTAAGTGGGAAGATAAACTACTTTAGAAAGATGTCAAAGGGGGAAAAAACACTTTGTAATGGGAAAGTTAAAAGCAAATATTTATAAGACTTCTTTATGAATTAAATGTCCACATATTTAATGAACAGCTGTAGGCAAACTTGATTTTTTTTTTTTTTTTTTTTGGTTCCTCATGAAAGAACAGAATCCCAAGTGTGAATTGGGAGAGAGCTTTCAAAACTTCTGAGTCAGTAACTTTGGGGACAAATCTGGCATTTTCTTTAGTAAATAAATATAAGGGGCAGGAAGTAAAATATCCATCAAGAACATCATCTGCTTTTTTACCAATTAAATCTGTGTATTTGGTTGATGTTTGTCCTTTATTTCACCTCCAGACAGTGCACGTGAATTTGTGTCTCTCTTTTGGATTCTACTTGCCCTTAACAGCAAGAACTGCTTAATTGGCCAGGCGTGGTGGTTCACACCTGTAATCCCAGCACTTTGGGAGGCCAAGGCAGGTGGATCACTCGAGGTCAGGAGTTCGAGACCAGCCTGGCCAACATAGTGAAACTCCATCTCCAATGAAAATGCAAAATTAGCTGGGCATTGTGGCATGTGCCTATAATCTCAGCTACACAGGAGGCTGAGGCAGGAGAATCACTTGAATTTGGAGGCAGAGGTTGCAGTGAGCTGATCTTGCACCACTACATTGCAGCCTGGGTGACAGAGCAAGACTCTATCTCAAAAAAAGAACTGCTGAATCAATGGAATCAACTTGGTAAGAAGTAAAGGTGCTCACTAGGCTTATTAAATAAGCAAAGGTTGTAACATAGAATAGAAATATTAGAGGTTGTCCAGAAACCTAAATTACCTCTCATTGTAAGTTGTGCTTAAATTTATGTAGGAGATAGGCTTCCAAAAATTATATGCATAGTACACATTTTACTTATCTTTAACTGCCTCCCAAACAATATTGGCTCTTTAGTGGAACCCTAGAGTACATCTGAAGAGCAGAGTTCTATGTTGATGAGAATTTTAAGTCCTTAATTTTTCTGTTTGCTAAATCTCTGCTCTGTTCAAGTTGTCTGAAAGCAAAGGCATATCCATGACATAATAATCTGATACGAATTATTTCCTGTTCCAAGGCCAAGTCCACAGGACACCAAGACAATCAGCCAGTCCAAAGAAAATCAGTCAAGCCTGCCTTTCATTAGCATGTAGATTGTTCCCTAATACAAACAACAACAATAAAAAGCAACTGTCCAATTTGTTCACTTTCTAACAAATGGAGTTCAGTTTATTATACACAGTTCTATCACTTTTAAGGAAGAAATTCAATCAAATCAGTTTGGGGCATTGTACAAATTATTTAATGAATTGGCTGCAAGTTTTATTTCCCATTGGTGTTGGCAATGTACAACCCCAGGATACTGAGTATCTTTTTTTTTTTTTTTTTTTTTTTTGAGGCGGAGTCTCGCTCTGTACCCCAGGCTGGAGTGCAGTGGCACGATCTCGGCTCACTGTAAGCTCCGCCTCCCGGGTTCATGCCATTCTCCTGCCTCAGCCTCCCGAGTAGCTGGGACTACAGGGGCCTGCCACCACAACCCCAGCTAATTTTTTTGTATTTTTAGTAGAGACGGGGTTTCACCATGTTAGCCAGGATGGTCTCGATCTCCTGACCTCGTGATCTGCCCGCCTTGGCCTCCCAAAGTGCTGGGATTACAGGCGCCCGCCACCGCACCCGGCCTGATACTGAGTATCTTAAGGAAATGAATGCCTGAAGAACCAAGCAAATCATCTCAGACCAGAGGTTGGCAATGTTTTTCTATTATAAGCCAGAGAGAAAATATTTTAGGCTTTGTATGCTGCACAGTCTCTGTCACAACTACTCAACTCTGCAAAAGCAGCCCTAGACAATATTCAAATGATAGACAGAGCTGTGTTCCAATAAAACTTTATTTACAAATGGAGTGGCAGGCCTGATTTGGCACAGAGGCCATAGTTTGCAGACCACTATTTTAGACCCTTGGAAAATTTTGCAATATCCTATCACCCAAGAATATTTAGACTGTGGCTTTTTAACTATTCTAATCAAAGTGTGGAAAAGAATATATGAATTTAACATAACACTGATCATTCAAGATGGGCCCACAGGTGGTTTCCAGGACGGAAGGTACTAACTCATCCCTACCACTACTTATCAGGAAACTTGCTATCATTTTACCTACATTCTCTACTTTAATTCTCACAAAAACCTTGGGAGGCAGACATTAGAATCCCCACTTCCCAGATAAGGAAATGAATGGAAATTTCCTTCTCACAAAGAAAGAACTAAGTTGCACAGGCAACTTTCAGACCTGTCTCCCTCCAAGGTTCCTGCTATTTCCACTACACTGTTACTAGCTGGGGAGGGATGGTAATTCTTCACATGTGCACCTGACCAGCAGGTCCAAGTCCAGAACCCAGGGAGAGAATCTACAGATGGAGTGACTTCTTCATCCAATTGGCCCATCAAGCAAATCTCAAATCCATTGGTTGGGGCTTGAAGATTTCTACTTCTCTGTGCCAGCAGTTCTGGGCTTTGTCACTTTATGCTCTAATCTTAACCAAAAGCCAGGGTTCACATTTAGTCCACAAACTAGGGTCATGGGCTAGGTAGGGAGGAGGTAACATTCACAAAGTGAATGTTTTCTTAACCCTTTCCAGAACCCCATAGTACAGTCATTTCAGCTCATGCCTCGAGGGTGTTTTCTGAAAAAAGAAAGTGCCCTTTCAGCACTCTTGGTGTCTGATTTCAAACCCTGCCCTTCCATCGGGTGACTCTAAGTGGGCTGACATGCTGCCCTGTTTTTACTGATTTTCCCACACGGTTTAGTCACCCAGGTGCCCTCTATACCACATACTTGGGTTCAGGCTAAGGGGGTGGGTCCAGAGCCCAGGGTCTCTCCTACTTTTCCTTTAAGGCTTAAAGGACAATTCAAGATAATTTTGATTTGTGTTCATCTGAACATGTGGAAACATTCACCCCAGTTATTCCATTGATGAGCTTACAATGTGGTCTCCCTTACAATGGAGTTTTGATCTATCTGACTGGTCTCCAGGGTGTGAGCAGGAAGCATGCCCTCCAGCATCCCCTTTAAAAAATTTGGGGGACAGGTGCAGTGACTCACACCTGTTTGGGAGGTCAAAGCGGGTGGATCACTTGAGTCCAGGAGTTCGAGACCAGGCTGAACAACATAGTAAAACACCATCTCTACTAAAAATACAAAAAAAAAAAAAACAGCTGGGTGTGGTGGCGGGCACCTGTAGTCCCAGCTACTAGGGAGGGTGAGGCGAGAGAATCACTTGAACCCAGGAGGCAGAGGTTGCAGTGAGCCGAGATCGCGCCACTGCACTCCAGCCTGGGCAACAGAGCAACACTCTGTCTCAAAAAACAAACAAACAAACAAAAAAAGTCTGTTCATCTCTTAGAAGGAATTAGAAATGAAAAAATGTACTACAGAACCAAGAGGGGAGAATATGGCAGATGGTGAATGCAGGGAAGCAACTCATATCTCAGAGGCTGATGCAGACAGAGCAATGAACATGACTTCGGTGGCACCTCACTTACTAAGGATAGATCCTCAGTGTGGATATGATTTTTACCCCCACTTAACATACAAAAAACCTAAGGATTGAGAAAAAGGAAAGTGGCTTGCTCATAGAAGGTAGGAGCTGAGGCAAAACTCCTTCCAGGGGCTCACACAAAAATCAAATGATTCAGCCCTGAGTGAAAGGGCACACAGATGCTTAGGGGCCCCCAGTAAAAAGATGAATGCCCACCTGCTCTCATCCACACAGCACTCACAACAGGGTCAGCTGCCATTGTCCCAGAAAGGATAGGCTGCCGCTGCTCCATCGCCTGTTGGGAAGAGTGGCGTGCCAACAATTCTTGAATATTCCTAGTTATCTTGGAAGGAGTCCATAACTCTCAAACCCAAATTAAAGCTCATTTCTCTTTATTTTTTTAAAAAATTGACCTTTTGATATCAAACAATGGTGGGTCTTCACAACCTGAGAAATTTTGAAATCACTCTTCTGTGTTACTGGTTAATCAGCTTAATTCCAGAGAAATTTACATAAGACATAAAGCAAACAATAAATTGGTGATGACAGTGTCACATTTTAATCAATGAAGTTATATTTTCCGAACTTTAGTGGATCCAATCAAGTATCTTTCCATAAAATAAAAACATTCCCTAATATATCTTCTTCTGTAAATCTAGATTCTCTTATATTAAGCTTGCTTGAGGCACAGCATACTAAAATTAATTAAAACGAATTTTAAGGAACCAAGAATCTTTAAGAGAAAGACAGAGCAATTTTTGGTCATTCTTCTTGCTTGAGGAAGTATAGAACTAGCCCCAATAAGGTTCAACTCTCAGAAGCTGATGAGTTGACGCTGTTTACCTCGTGAAAAGAATGTTGTAAATAATCTGTATTATTTCAGTTATTAGTAAGGTAAGTCGCTGTTTGGTCCACATAAAGGAAAATAAAGTTCACAATTGTTTCATCCAACTCCGGGGATAAAAATCAAGGCCAAAGATAAACCCACTGCATCCTTTGCAGTGGGATGGACAAGCCTTGTCACAGAAGGGGAAAAAGAATGACGAAAGGCAAGACAGTGGAGCAAGTGAGGACACGCTTCACCGAGCCAGATCTCCACTCCTCCCAGGGTATCCACAGGGACAAGTCACACCTGGCAGAAAGCTAAGTCACTCAGCTAGAAACAGGCCCAGGGAATTCAACAGAAGGCTGAAGAGCCACTGCTTATGGAAATAAAGCCCCTCCTGTAAAGAACTGCATGGCTTTTCCCTCCCAACCCCAAACCCATCCCACATCTGGCTTTTGTTGTGTGAATCATAAACTGCCCTTTCTTCACCACAGTGATTCATGCACAGAAGCGGAGGTACCCTGAGCCGTCCCACCTTGGAACACTAGTTCGTTCCCCTCCAGCCTGGAAAATCAGCATCACCTCTGACAGGCTGGTTTCTCCACCAGGCTCCATCCCGCCCACCTCCCCCCTCCCTGCTCCGGGGCTTGGAACCCAGACCCCCTCCCCCCGTGGCCCCATCACCTCCACCACCAGCTCCCCAATTCCAGACCAAGCTGTGATCGCCCTGCCCCGCTGGCACTCGCTTGGGTCTGACAGCCACAGCCAAACCACTTACGTTTTTGCCAGAGCATGGCCTGTGACAGGATGTTGCCTTTTCTCTTTGAAGCCGACAGTTTGGCTTCTTTAATGTGAGACCGGGGTGTGTTTTCCTCCAGTGGAGCCACCGCTTGAGCTGAGGCTGTTTCCTGGGCTTTTTAAAGGCCTGGGTTCCCGCTGCGTGGGCCGCGTCATCACATCCTCCCACCTCAGGCACCGGTGCAACGTTTCTGCAGCCAGGCCGCCTGTCACCCCACTGTGCGCGCCCCAGCGGCCCCGGCCCAGAGCGCTCCACACTCGGAGCTAGCCAGCTGGGACAGAGCAACAGCGCAGCGCGGGCAGCCACAGCCTGCACCGGCCCCGCGGGGACCTGCTGTGTGTGGGTGTGAAGGTGGTGTGGGGCAAGCTGTGGGAACCCCGTGTCAAGCCCTCCCCAGGCCAGTGATGAGCCCAAAAGCTCCTCTGGAAAACGTTGATCTTTGCACGGCGCCCATGCAGGCTTCCAGGCCACCAGGGCATGGGCAGGACTCAGCCCGCCATGGGCGCCTGCTCAGCGGGAAATGCGATTCCCAGGGGTCACTGGTTCTCAACTGGGAGGAAACACCTGTCATCTCTTCAAGCCTCAGTAAACAACCTCCTCATTCTTTCAATATTGCTTTTCTGTTTATTCCATTTTGAAACACAGTAGCCCCTCCCCTCGCCCCCAGCCACCCCCAAAATGGCAAGGCTTAATCATGCTGAAATATGGGGGCGCTGGCTCTGATGTCGGCTATGCCCACGGAAAAAGAGGCCAACCCTCAAGGAAGGAAGGAGAACATGCCCGTGCTCTTTGACTGGATCTGGGCTTGTAGGCACAAGATGAACAGAGCCTCTTTGCGAGTGCCCACCCACTGATAACAGGAAGCTTCTTTAAGTAAGTCATGGGCTCACCATCTGGAAGTGTAGATGGTGTTGGCTACCGGTTCCTTCACAGTTTGGAAGCCTTCTGCCACTGCATATCTGAGGTCCACATGCTCAGGCTCCAGGGACTCAGTCAGTTTGGGGTCAAGACCCCTTGGCACACCCCCTAGAGCAGGTGTGGGGCCTTGCTGCTCTGCCATCCATACTGCCTCAGAGCCATCTTGCACCACCTAGACCTGATCATGCTATCCCCTAGCCTACAAAGCATTCACCTTCTCCCTTCAGCCACAGAGCTGGAGGCCTAGAAGGCCTCCCACAATCGAGCCGTTGCCTTCCTTTCCAGCCTCACCACCAACTGCCCTCCTACCACTGGTCCCAGTGCCCTCTAAGCACCACCAAACACCCATGCAATTCCCTGCCTTTGACCTTGCCGTCCTCTCTTGCCGGAAGGACAAACCCCCAGCCCAGAGAATACTTGTTCGTCTTCTCAGATCTTAGAGCACTTTGTTCATTATGTGATGGTGAATTGTCACATGACTCTGACAGTTTCTCAAGGAGGTTTCATCTTTGCCTCTCCAGTGCCCCACACAAGACCTGGAGCATAGTGACCCCCAATAAAAATTCATCTGATAAAGTTATGAATTACTGTCTCTAATCGGTTGCTGATTTGAGGGCAGGTCTTGAGGAGAAATGCTGTCAACATTTTATAAATGATTCACTTAAAAGCCAGAGAAGGCTGTCTCCTGGCTGCCTATAAGCCCTCCCCGCAAAGCCTCTGAAGTTCAGGACAGTGGAGGCCCCCATGCTGTGGTGGCTGGCAGCCCACACCCTGGCCTGGCAGGGGGCAGCATCTCAAGGCCTTGGGCTGCGCCAAGGAGTTTCCATGAGAAACAGAGGCACATCCCTCAGGCCTGCCTCAGTCACAGGAGACGTGGGTTCCCATGAAGGCTCTGACACTCACTCACTGTGTCCCCTTCAACAAGTCACATAACTCTTCTAGCCTCAGTTTCCTCATCTATAAAATGAAGAACCAGTTCTGTGAGTGTCTCACAGGTTCGTAGGAGGATATGTGGCCTCGCTGGTCCTCTCTCCCACGGGTCTGTCTTTTGTCTCTTTTGGTCATGTCTTATTCTCTCCAAGTCCGTGAAATTCAGAACTTTTTCTTATTCATCTCAGTTTCTCCCCACAGGCCTAGCATGATGATTTCCACAAAGTAATAATATAACCACTTACTGTGCAAGAGGCTCCATGTTAAGCCTTAAATACATTACCTAATCTAGTCACCACAACAACGCTGCAAGGAAACGTCTACCTGTATTGTTCAGAGAAACAAACAAATGCTTAGGGAATTTCATCTGTCCAATGTCACCAAGCTATCAGGTTATAGGCTGGTGCCAGACCCAAGTTCATCTGACTAGAGCCAGAGCTCTAAATCATTAAAATAAAAGATATTTATTAAGTTGAAAGCAGTAAATGCCAAGTGTCAGCCATGTTTGTTAGTAGTAATATAGGATCATTATTATTAAAACCTGAAGCAGATCAACAGAAGCTATATCCCCCGGAATAAATTTCTGTCCTCTGGAAAGAGGGAAGGAAAAGGTGAGACCCAGAGCTACTCTGACAAATCAGATCTTGTACAGTGGCAGAAAAACAAAATGTCAGTGGGCAAGCCCACCATCATGGCCAGCGATAAACCCATCACCTCTTATGGCCTCACAGCTCATGAGGCAGATTCCAGCTCATTTCTTCCAGCAAATACCCTGCATATCAGTGACCACATACAGGCAGATGCTTTGGAATCAAGACTTGATCGAAACAGCAAATATTTTCCAGGAAAACATTTTCTGTGACTTAGAATCAAAAGTCAAACTGCATGGCATAGTTCAAAAGAGGCGACTATGTTTATGCAATGTCTCAAGAAGTGGAAGAAAAGAAGAAAAAATCTGTGAACATGGTCCAGATGACTCCAAATACAGGTGTGCTCACATTTTTAAAGAATCTGATATACAAACATCAAAACTTCTAAAATAATTTATTAAAGCGCACTGATTCATATTGTGAAATAAATTTTAGCTTTGCAAAAAGATTCACCATCGACTTCATTTCTTCCATCATTTAATAAATATTTACAGAGTGCTTATTACATGTCATTACCTCTGCCAAGTCTTAATCTTTTCTTTTCATTTAGCCTTTAATCATCTTCATTCTCATCATTTTTGATTTATGAAAAGCCCCTATCTTATTTTGCTCAGTAATTTATTTATTCATTCATCTACTTTCCCCCTCATTTTCCATGTCTATTCTTTTTCCTGTCCCCTCATACCCCCATCACCCACCCACCATTCCAATCAGGGCAACTCTTTTCAGTGGTTGATGCTGAAGCTTTTATTTGTAGACATTTGTGCCTGTTCTTATAAGATCTGTATTGTTTGGCATGTATAGATTTTTAATTTATGTAGGTGATGTTATATTACACATTTCACGCTGTTTCTTATTTTTTAATTCAGCACAGTGTTGTAAGATCTATCCACATTGATGTAGACATTCTGTGCACCACTTTTAACACCTGCAAAGTATTCTATGGTGTGTGAGCGCTGCATTTCACTTAAGCAGATTGTCTCCAACTTCCTCTTCCACAAACAAAGCATTGATGAACATTCTTATATGCATCTTTTTTCAGAGGCATGTGAAAATTTCATTGAGGTTATATGCCCAGAGGTGGAATTACTGGGCCAAAGAATAGGTGTATATTTAATCTGACTGAATACTAATCTGTCCAAGACTTCCACCAGCAGTTCATTTTTCCACCAGCTTCTCATATTTCCACTTTACCACCAAACCTGACATTATCCAAGGTCTAAATGTTGCCAGTGTGGTACATGTAGTGATAGCAACAGTGTAGTGTGTGTGTGTGTGTGTGTGTGTGTGTTTTAGTGTAATAGTGTAGTGATAGTGTAGTGGTTTATTTTACATTATAATACTAATAAATGGAAGCATGTCTTCATATGCATGTTAACCCTATGGAGTTTCTCTTCAAAATACCTCTTCAATCACCTCTTGGCCTTTTGGCTAAGATCAAGTGTAGTATTTGTTCTTGCCAGTTTAAAATGTCTGTTCATTCCTTTGCCAATTTCTGTACCAGGATTGCCCTTTTTCTTGTTGATCAGCAGAAATTCTTTGCACATCTGTGTTCTAGATGTACAATTCTAGATATTTTCAGTTTTACTCAACACAAATTTCTTCACTCTTGTCATCTGCTAACTTTATTCATAGTGTGCTTTTTTTGAATAGAAATACATACTTTAGGTACATGGACCTATTTTATTTTACTGGTCTCGTTGTTCTTGTACCTTAGTTTTTATTGTTATTTATTATAGTACAGCTTAAATTTTTCAGATAAGTCTATCAAGTTCCTCAAAAAATTCCAGCCAGCATGGTGGCTCATGCCTGTAATTCTAGCACTTTGGGAGGCCGAGGCAGATGGATCACCTGAGGTCAGGAGTTTGAGACCAGCCTGGCCAACATGGCGAAACCCTGTCTCCACTAAAAATACAAAAATCAGCTGGGCATGATGGTGGGCACCTGTAATCCCAGCTACATAGAAGGCTGAGGTGGGAGAATAGCTTGAACTCAGGAGATGGAGGTTGCAGTGAGCCGAGATCGCACCACTGCACTCCAGCCTGGGTGACAGAGAGAGACTCCCCAGCACCCCCCCCAAAAAAAACACTGAAATTTTTATTGGTTTTCATTGAATTTGTAGATTACTTCAAGCAAGAGTAATATCATTATAAAATTAATTTGGTCCAGCTGAGCATGGGACAGCTCTCCATCTCTTCAGATCATATTCCATGTTTTTTATTATTACAGTTTTTAAATTTTCTCCGCAGAAGTACAGTATATTCTTAAATAAGCTAATTCTCAATTATGTTATAGTTTCTGTTGATATTGTGAATGGCATCTTGTTTTTTATATAATTTTCTAGTTGGTTAGTGATGCTATAGAAAAATTCTAATATTTGAGAGTTTATCTTATTTCTAGAAACCTTGCTGAACTGTTTTATTTATTCTAATAGTTTGTTGGTTATCATAGTCTTTCTAGGTAGAAGACAATCTCTTCTGAAAGTAACGGCAGTTTTATTTTTTCCCTTCCGATTCTTCCATCTCTTGTTTTTTTCCTTTCCTATGGTGTTGGCCAGTACTATGACAAGTAATAATGCTAATAGTGGTTATTCTTGCCCTGTCCTTGTCTTACAGAAATGACAAATTCCTAAAATTAAAAAAAAAAGATGAAAAATCTTTGAAAGGCCTCATGGACAACAATAGAGATAAGGTAAAACAAACACTTGGATACGTTATAATGAAACTTTAAAACAACTAATACAAACAGGACATTCTAAAAGCTTACTAAGAAAAAGAATATATTTATAGCTAAGGAACAAGAATCAAAATGACAGTATACTTTTCCACAGCAAAACTAGATGCAAGCGGATAATGAAGAAATATTTTTAAAGTATTTAAGAAAATGAACACTGAACCTATAATTTTAAATCTAGCCAAATTGTCATTCAAATATTGTAGCTAATGAAGATGTCTTCAGACCTACAAGACTCCCATTAAAATTGCTCTTAGAGAAAGCATTCAAATGAAAAGAGTGACTCAGGAGGATGTTGCAAGAACTATGAGAGCAAAAGGTAATCAAATACTGGGTAAAGTTTATTATAGGAATTTTCTTAAAGCTGGGAAAAGGAGAAAATTCATCCATAACAACACAAAACAAAATATCTTTAAAATAACATGATTACACAAGTCCAGAGAACACCATTTATATTATATTTAATTTTCCAAAATGTGGCCCTTAAGGAGATCAAAGAGAAATCAAAATGCACTAATGCTTTCGTTTTCTAAGGAGAAAATATAGCTATCAATAAATTTAAGAAATCAATAGGGACAAATAAACATAAAAGTGGATCTGAAGGACAAATAAACATAAAAGTGGATCTGAAGTAGGAGGCAACTGCCACTTTTGTTCTTATTACAAAAAAAAATTTTTTTATAACAAAAAATAAAACAAAAGTTAAACTTTTAAACATTCTGTTTAACTTTTTCATAAATGATGTGTTAAACATTCTGTTTAACTTTTAATGTTTCAAAGTTTAGCTTTTAAATTTTAAACATTTAACTTTTGAGCATTCTGAGAGAAACTGAATCTTTCTGTGAAAAACAGGAAGGATGTATTTAAAAATTACAATGAATGGAAAACAGGAATAAGTTGGCAGGATAGGTTCAACTAGCTCAGTAATGATAATGAATTTAAGAAGATTAAACTCACCAATTAAAAGACAGATTTCTGCATTTAATTTAAATTACTTTAAAGAGCCAATCATGTAAACTTGATTCTAAAACTAAATAAGGTCAATATAAGAAAAGAAAATTATAGGCCATCTAATTTGTGAACATCGATTCAAAAATCCTGAACAAAATATTTGCTTGCTGAATTCAATAGTATATTAAGGACTAATACATCATGATATAATAATAATATATTATAATATGTAAGATTTATCCCAGGAATGCAAGGATGGTTTATTCTTAGAAAACCTATCAATATAATTCACCACATTGATAAACTTTAGGAGAAAAATTATTAAAGTATCTCAATCAAATATCTAAACATTTGATAAAGTCCAACATCTATTTGTAATTTAAGAAAAATAACTCTTAGAAACTTAGGACTAGAAGGAAACTTCCTTAACTTGATAAAGTTTATATGCCAAAAATCTAGAGTGATGTTATACATAATAGGGAAATTGTAAACAAATTCCCTTTAAGAACGAGTTGCTGGCCCAGTGTATTGGCTTACACCTGCAATCCCAGCACTTTGGGAGGCCAAGGTGGGAGGATCGCTTGAGCCCAAAAGTTCAAGACCAGCCTAGACAACATAGTGAGACCCCATTTCCACAAAAAAATTTAAAAATTAGCCAGGCATGGTGGCATGTGCCTGTAGTCCCAGCTACTTGAAGGTGGAGGTTGGAGGATTGCTGGAGCCCAGGAGGTCAAGGTGAGCTGTAATCGTGCCACTGCATTCCAGCCTGAGCAACAAAGAACAAGTTGTCCTATTGCATTTTCATAATTAATTTCCAAACATTTTTTACACACAATTTTACACATAATTTTTTGTATATAGGACACAAAAAATAAAACATATAACTTACATCATGTAATTGTGCCAAGTTCTATTCCAGGCTTTAGGGCTATAACAATGAAAAAAACAGAAATGTTTAGTATCATATAGCTAGACACCTGGTGTTAGATAGAAAGAAAATTCATACGACCTTTCAATAAATGATTTGTCATCAACTCAGACATGGACTAGTGCATAGAAAAATTGATGGCCTAGAGGCTCAACAACCTCTAAACTATGAAGATTTTCTATGGCCCAGAAATTCAGGGCAGTTTGTAAAGTCAGACTTATAGAGGATTTCTTGACCCTACAGATGGGAGCAGAAGAGAGGACCAGGGTGATTTTAAAGGAGGGCCATGAATCCTGTGTGTATATACATATTTTCCTTGGAAGACAGTTCATAGCGTTCATGAGAGTCTCAAGGTTAAGAACCACTGTTTATTATAGAGAAATACTATGATATCAAATTTTAAATATATAAAAGATAAGTTGCTTTAGGTCCAGTTAGGACAGTAATGGGCTCCGAGGTAAAAAGGGTAATCCACAGGTAAAATACCGAAGCCCATTGTTGCCTTCAGGCAATTTCCCACATATTCTTTACATAGTGAGCCAGCTAAGCCCATTTCTCATTTCTCTGGCACATGTATATCATTTCATTCTTATGCATAATTTCCCTCTGGGTTAGGCAGCAGGATATAGTGAAGAGATTATGTAATTTAGAGTCAGAGAGCCTGGTTTGGAATCTGGCTGCAGTGCTAGCAGTGTGGCCTTGGTCACATTGTTTAAACTCTCCTAGCTTTAATTTCCTCCTCTTCCAAGTTGAAATAATAATAGTAACTGTTGCATTGATAGGCTAGTATAGAGTTTTCTACATACGCTAATTTTATTGTACCATTCAGATCAAGAGAATATATCACTGAATTCTCTTTCATATCTTTGCTCTCAAAATTCATGCACACTAGTGAGCCCTTCAAACTTTACCAATTTCTAGTTTTCCAAGAAAAGATCATGCCCTGCTACCCTTATCTGAAGAAGCAGTAAGATTCAAACCACCTCTCATCTTCTCAAGTTCCCAGACATCATCTGCAAATATGGTTGACAGCTGGATGGCAGGTTCTTATCTAGGAAGAGGCCTAATCATTGGAATTTTAGTTTTATTGTGCCTTCAATAATTAGACATTGTGACTAGGCACAATGAAAAGGAAATCATATTCATGTGATCAAATAGAGATTGCATCAACCCAAGTGGCGCCTGGACGAGTGCCAGTGTTCAGAAGCCAGGGCTTTACTGTGTGTGACAGCCTGGCCTCCACAGCAGGCTGGAAGGTGCCCAACTCTCTTTATGACCATTTCTGAACTCCTTCTGGTACTAGACAGATGGCCTCTAGCCACTCTGACAAACTTGCATTAATACAGGCAGCTGGCAAGTGTCCATGCCCCATTTTGCAGATGAGAAAACCAAGGACCAGGTAGCTTTAATTATTATCTATGGCCTGAGACTGCCATAAATGATCTTGGAAGATAATCAAGAAAGCCTGATAGTTATTACTTTTGGTGCTATTATGTCATGGAGCTTGGGGGAAAAATAGTCTTTGCAAAAAGAATATGTTTCTGGGCTATTCTACTCACCATGTGGTCTGTCCAAGGCACAGAGACCTTTTTTTTTTCTTCTTTGCCATTACTGAGCACCACACACTGAACAATGGGCTTTATTTGACAGTTTTGCCTCCATATTACCAACATTATTTTTCCCCACTTCCCACACAGTCAGTGGCCACCTTTAAGAAATATTTTCCATGATACTTCTAAAAATACTTATTGAGCACAAACTTTGTGCTGGAAATAATGTTAGGGATAACAAGGTAAGAAAGTCCCTATGCTCAAGCAAGTTATTGCTGGTATGAAAAACCTGATATATTTTTCTTATAACTGAAAGTCCCACAAGAATTCCTAGAGAATTTCCATCTAAATTACATGGGATACTTACTATAAAGAGATATTCTTTGGGCCCCACTTGTAGAGAACCTGACTCAGTAGATCTGGAGTGGCCATGACTCAGTTGGTTGGTTGGTTGGTTGGTTGGTTGGTTGGTTGGTTGGTTTGGAGGTGTGTGTTTTTTTTTTTTTAATTTCATGTGACATTGCTTTGGGATTTTGGAAGCACAACCCTAGACAACCAAACACTAGTCCTTCCTTTTTTCTCATGATCTCCTTTTCTATCTATCCCCTTTCAAGTTTTCTTCATTGGAATGCCCCTAGAATGCCCTGATTACCAAGAAAAACAAAAGCCTCCAGCTTAAGTGTAGCATGGAACATCCTTTGTCTAGCTAAACACATAACCATCATTTCCCACAAACAGGAGGGATCTTGGCTTCACGCACGCCCCACACCCAGAAACAATCGCATTCCTGTGGTTCTCCCAAGGAATAGTGATCCAGTGACCCTATGACCTGGCACACACTCTGCCTGTCCAGGACTCAAAGCTCTCAGCCTCACTTCTTCTCTGTGCAGCATTTAAAAGCCCACAAGGGGCCAGAGCCCCCCAGAATTCATATATCGGGGATGCTGGTGGTTTGATCAATTACTGACCAATGCCCTGTTCCCCTTGAG
Source organism: Homo sapiens (assembly GCF_000001405.40). Classification (NCBI taxonomy): domain Eukaryota; kingdom Metazoa; phylum Chordata; class Mammalia; order Primates; family Hominidae; genus Homo; species Homo sapiens. The sequence continues at coordinate 111,388,832 of NC_000011.10, forward strand.
CTAAAGGCTCAAAGGAGTAAAGTGAAAGGAGTTTGTCCAGTGATGGAGGTAATACTTGCCAATCATCCTTCTTTCTGAAGATGCCACACAGGAACCTCCTCCTCTTCCTCTTCCTGAAACTTTAAGCCCTCCAGTGACTCAGGAGTTTCACCAGGTGTATTTCATGATTTGTGCCAAAACACCATGAAAATAGGAATTACAATAAAGCCAAAGTCCATTTCCTTATGAATCAAAGGTGTAGTTTCCTATAAAAAGGAAAAGGATCCAACATGCGAAGGCAAGTCTATTTGCATGCATGCCATGCTCCTGGGCAACTTTCTGTCATGGGTGGAGCTATAGGGCTGGCAGCTGCACTGCTGTTTTTCAACTACCACTTCTGTAATTTGGTGGGAAAGTAACTTGAATAAATGAATGAATGAAGAGACAGAGAAAATGAAAACGAGATATAAATAGAAATGTCAGTGTAGGAAGAAAAAAGAGGAAAGAGTGAGAAAGAGATAACGACAACTCAAAATTTTAGACACCTTGAAGGTCCAAAAGAAAAAAAGAAATCTGCTTCCAAAGATAGAGCAGTCAATTCAATTAAGGATTAACTCTACCTGAGGCATTTGTTGGCCATAGTAACACTAGAGTGAGACTAATGAACAAAGTAAGCTAAGCCTGGCCTCAGTGAACCCAGAGACAAAGTCTGACATTCAGTCAATACCTGGGTATCCATGATCCGTGGTCCACCAAAGTGCACAATGCCCAGAATATAGAAAAGACTCTATAAATGGTAGCTAGTTCTGTTATTACTACTTTTTCATTAATAATGAATGTGACAGATTTTGACTTGAACCCAGTGTTGCTATCACTATCTGTGGGAGAAAATACTAATTTTCTTTTAGAAAAAGGTATAATAAATGTAACAGGTGCACAATAAATATAAACTGATCGGCATGAGTACGTTTTTCTTTTAAAAAAACTCTCTTAATTAATGTGTCCCACAACTAGACACAATCACACCATAAAAAAACAAAAGTGGAGGGAGGCAGAAGGAGATAAAACAACTCCAGGAGTTCCATGTGTGCCTTCCAGCTCACAAAGCCAACGAAAGCTAAGACTTCTGGAGCACTGATCATATAGCGAGGAACTGTTCTAAATACTTTACACATATTAGTTCATTTAATCTGCATAACAATGCTTTGAAGTATTAGCCTCATTTTACATATGAGGAAACACAGTGAGGTTAAGAAACTTGGCTAAAATGCACAGTTTATAAGTAGAAGAGCCAGGATTATAATCTGGGCAATCTGACTCCATAGCTTATAATCACCACATCACATTATTCCCCACAACATGCACACACACAAGAAAGTTAAGTCCCAAACAGCTGATCATTCATCCATCCATCCATTCATTCATTCATGCACTCATTCATTCAGCAAATATTTGCTGAATGTCATCCCACTGTCATCCAGTCTGTATTTGGCATTAAGGATGGAACAGTGAACAAGGAAAGTAAGTCTCCTGACTTCTTAGAGCTTACATTCCAGTGGAAGTGGGGAGAGGTAGAGGAGAGGCAGCCAGAACAAATATCTTCCCATCAGAACAAAGAAAGCAGTGGGTCATAAAGTATCTTTCAAAATCAACATCTTGGGCACATTCAGAAAAGCATTTCTAAAAACCCAGCTAAGGGATAAAGATAAAAACTATCAATGGCATCCAACCTAGATATTCTACATGCAACAAATTCAAGAAATATCAGTTGAACACCAGCCAATGCCCTCACAATAACAAAGTAAGAACTGAGCTCAGGGAGCCCTAAGCTCAGTCACACCACAGGAAGTGGGCACTAAGGCTCTGGTGGGCTTTCCACTCTGCGACAGAGACAGAAGGTTTTTTAAGAGTCCAACAGGACTCTGAGCATCTTGACTCTCCCTCTTTCTTCGAAGCCTTCCAGTCCCACTTGAACATCTCATGATGCAACTCAGACCATTTATCTTCCCAAAACAAGGCAACCATTTTGCACCAGTTGAGGCAGACTTCACAGGCAGATGCACAGACTCCAAAGCAAAGTTCCAGGCAGATTGCTAAGCTGACTCAGACCCACCTCCGATGGAGTTTGGATGGCCCAATTTATTAAATGATGCCAAGCCCTGGATTGCAGAAAATTTGGCAGACTTCTGGTGCAAGGAAGCACCTTAGGTTTCTTTCGTAACCAGCAAATTTGGCATAAAAACAGTAATAGAGTATGTGCTCGATAAAGTCTCATTGATTAATTGATAACAGTTCCTTTACTCTTTTTCAGGGGTAGACAACCATATAGACATCAGTGGCTGCATCTGAAGTTGGAGAGCAAGTTCTCCAGCCCAACTATGTTAACGGCAGTCATCAAGCCCCAGGGACCCTATTCAGGATGCTGGTTTTTGAAGACAATGGCCCCAGTTGCTGCGACAAACTCCAAACTCATACTGTTCAGAGTCTTGAGTCTTGAGCCAACACACCCATTTTCTGTCGCTCCAAATTTTTTGTAGGTTTTGAAATACAGGCAGGAATTTAGCCAGGTTTATCTAGGAGAAATGTCACGTGAGGCTCAAGGAAGTGTAGAGTTTTGCCAAATGTTACATGAGAATCCTAGTCTTTTCTTTTTTTAGCCACTGGACTCAGGTTACGCAGAACCTAGAACCTCTGCTGGCCGGGACTTCTTCCTCCTCGCCATCCTACAGGCCTGGGCGGCACAGGCGGAGTTATGCCTGAGGCCTCTCACATTTCCAAGGATCACAAGCAGCTTGGAATTGTGTTCCATCTCTCTGGTCCTTGGAACTGTGTTCCAAGCTGCTTGTGATCCTTGGAAATGTGTTTCCAATTGTGTTCCATTTGTGTTCCTTTGGGAAAGTATGGGCAATAGGGAGCCATGGAAGGTTTTTCACTGAGGAGTGACGGGGTCATAGTCACGCTTCTTTTAAAAGTGGCTTTGGCAACAGTGTGAAGATAAATTAGAGTTAGGAGAAAGGGTGGGAGGTTAGAGAGAGTCTTTCTAACAATTGTTTCAGCAAGAATTAACTACGGTTGAAACTGGAGTGGTAACCACAGATGATCCCAAGCCACCTGGCTCTCATTGCGTTCCATTCTGAAAGCTTCGTGTCTCTGCATTCTCGGAATCAGTCACACAGTAAGCACTCAATAAATGTTTGCTGGATTAATGAAAAGTGAATAAATCTAGAGTGAGCCCTTCATTTTTAAAATGAGGAAATAGGACCAGAGAGATGAAATTACCTGCCTATGGTTACCTAGCTAGGCAAGGGCAAAGATAGACCTAGAACCTAGCCTCCAGCTTCCCTTTTCCTGTGATTTTCTTTTTTTTTTTTTTTTTTTTTTTTTTGAGACGGAGTCTTGCTCTGTCACCCAGGCTAGAGTGCAGCGGCACGATCTCGGCTCACTGCAAGCTCTGCCTCCCGGGTTCATGCCATTCTCCTGCCTCAGCCTCCCAAGTAGCTGGGACTACAGGCACCCACCACCATGCCCAGCTAATTTTTTGCATTCTTAGTAGAGATGGGGTTTCACCGTATTAGCCAGGATGGTCTTGATCTCCTGACCTTGTGATCAGCCCGCCTCGGCCTCCCAAAATGCTAGGATTACAGGCATGAGCCACCGTGGCTGGCCTCTAGTGATTTTCAAACTTTGTCATGCATCCAAATCACCATTCCCAGGGTTTCTGATTTGGTAGGTCCAGGACAGGGCCAGAGGACTTGCATTTCTAACAAATTCCGAGGTGATGCTGAGGCTGCCGGTCCAGGGATCACATGTGAGAACCACAGCCTTATCTAGTTCTCTTCTATAACACCTAGCTATCTTGCTCAGAAAGCAGGGCCTCACCTGGCTCCTTCATCCCTCACTGCTTGGCTCTGAGTTTTTGGGAGAATAGACATTCCAGCCTGCACAGTGGTAACATAGTTTGCTAGCTAAGAGCCCAGACCTGCGAGTCAAGTGCCTGGGTTTGATCCTGCCGCCACCAACCTTGTCTCCTCTGGGTATGTACATTATAGAATTCTTGTGAGGGTTAGATTATTGGATGTGTGTAAAACAGTACAACAGTGCCTGGCAAATAGTAAGCACCCAAAAGGGATAGCCATTCTTGCAATCACGGATAGGCTTGAGCCTGGGCCCTGAGGGGAGTCTTATGGTACTGCCTGAACTACAGAGAGGAGTGAGAATATGCCACAGAGTGATGACAGATTATACCATATCGTCACCTAGATTCATGAACATACAATACACATCAACAATGAGTGCAAAGATTGCTAGGAGGGATAGCACTGTGGGCTGATGCTATCTGGATCTCCCCCAAGTTTCCTCCAAATCCACTGTTATCATGGATCTCTTATTACTCTGAGTCAAGGAACCGGATTACTAAATCACAGTTTGTAAATTACGATGAGTCACTTTATCTAATCTAGACGGTCATATGCACTCACCTCTCAGAGGCTGTGATGTCAGCTTGGACAGATTAGAGCATCCAAAGCAAAGGGCAGCATTGAAACACCTGTTCCTTGCAGCCCTCCACACCCTCAGGCAGCAGCAGCAGCACCTGACTATGGTGCACAGAACCCACGGGTGCCTGAGAAGGACACACTGAAGACCGGTGGTAGCTGAGTTCAGGTCTCCAGGATGCTGGTTGCCCAAAGAACTGTATACTTTGAAATCTACTACTCTAGTCCCAAATACAGGATGCACCATCATGATTTCCTCTTTAGCCACTCTCAGGGTTGGGAACAGCTGGGAAGAGGTTGCAGAGAAAAGCCAGGAGGAAAAACTCCCCAGTTACTAAAGCAAAACCAGAGTGTTGAAGGTCTAGCATGAGGAGGAGAGGGAGATGCTCTAGGAGGGAAGGATGACTGACCAAGTGACATGACCTGTCCCCAAGCTCCACTTTATGCTGATTGAACTCTGGGAGCTCCACTACCCTTTGAAAAGCTTCATGCAAATGTGAACTTGAACTCTGCTCTTAGAAATACTCAGCACAGTTAAGACAAACTGGTACTGTCTAAAAAACTCCATAGCAAACAGCAATGAAGAATTTTATCTCTGGAATCAAATAGATCTGGGTTCAAATCTCAGGTCTACCTCTTAAAACTGTTACCTTGAGCAAAAGCACTTAATGCTCTGTGTCTTGATTTCATCACCTGTACGATACAGATACAAGAGTTCCTCACCAGGCTGTTACAAGGATCAACTCAGATACTGCATGAAAAGGCACATCATGAAGCCTCACAATAGTAGAGGACCAAGAAATGGCCATTGTATTACTAAGCACTGAACAAGAGAGAGCACACTAGGAATGACCCAGGGAACATTAGGCATGGGGAAGAAGTCAAGTTGATGAGTCCAGCTTTCTGAACTTGCGGTAGCCAGCCCATTCCTGTGGCTTGAAGTTCCTGCCCTTTCCATACTGATATGGTTTGGCTGTGTCTCCACCCAAATCTCATCTTGAATTGTAGCTCCCATAATTCCCACATGTTGTGGGAGGGACCCCATGGGAGGTAATTGAGTCATAGGGGCAGTTCCCCCCATACTGTTCTTGTGGCCGTGAATAAGTCTCACAAGATCTGACGGTTTTATAAGGGGAAACCCCTTTTGCTTAGTTCTCATTCTCTCTTGTCTGCCGTCATGTAAGACATGCCTTTGCCTTCTGCCATGATTGTGAGACCCCCCCACCAGCCACATGGAACTGTGAGTCCATTAAACCTCTTTTTCTTTATAAGATACCCAGTCTTGGGTATAGCTTCATCAGCAGCATGAAAACAGACTAATACACATACCCAGTGTGAAAATTAATGTCTGGTCCACCTCCACAGCCTCCTCATTTCTACTGTTTATCTCTATATGGGCCCACCTTGGCCTCCTCTTTAGACACTTGTGCCCAGCCCTGTGCCTGGTTTGAGAGACAGACCTCGTCTTTAAGTAACTGACACCAGGAAATCATCATCTGGTGATAAAAACGACTGCCACTTACCAAGATATGGTCCTATCTTTGTTGGCTTAATAGTCTCAGTAGAGTGGAAAAGCCTGAGATGCTCATAAAATCATTCATTCCACATATATAGATGGAGAATCTATGAGGTGTCATATCCATGAGTCCTCTCCCCCTCAGAAGCCATTTTATTAGAACGTATTCCCTCCAGCTCAGGGAATCTGGCTCCTGGATAGTGAGTCCATGAGGTGACTAAGGAAGAAGGCCAAATGGCCTGAAAATAGTGGAGAATTTTTTCCTGGAGCAGAGAGGGCAGTCCTCATCCACAACCAGGAAGTAGGGAAGAAATTGGCCCAGGCCAGGTGGGCTTGGCCATCCAGCAACAGCTCCTCCATCCTGAAGGCACCCAGGGGCTCTGCTGCAGGTGCGGTCAGGAGCTGTGCCAGGAGAGACCGGCCTGAGGTCCCATGTGGCTTCCTGCCTGGACAAACACGCCTCCACAGCCCCGGTGGACTGTCACCTCCGCAGGCCCCCTCAGGCAGCACTCACACTAGCCCATTGTTCTTCCTCCTGCTGGCAGTTCACTGGCTCCTGCTCCCATCCCTGCTCCCGGCAACCCCAGCAGAGCCTTGCATCCCAGCACTCCAGCAGAGTATGTACACACTGAGCAGGTCCTGGGATCAGCACCGTCACCCCTGTGGGTGTCCGAGAGTCAGGGACCTCCCCTATTTTAGGGACATGCCTTCAAGCCTGGTAGCAGGGACCAAAAGAGTATGTTATGAAAAGGCTGTTCAAATGACAAAGATTTTCAACTGGTTTCTACCAGCAGCATCCTTTTCTTTTTCAAATAAATTATTAAGCAGTTCTCCAAAATATAAAGCTGATACAAAAGCCCCAAATTCAGTGAAGAGGGAGCAGGTGGGGCCCACAGGCTGTCTTTGGGGTCTTCCCACTCCTTTGGCTTCCCTAGCCCTCAGTCCAGGCAGCCCCACAAGCATCTCCAGAGAACACACAGAGTTGGAGATGCGCTGCCCTAGGCAATGCCCCCTTTGAACTTACCCTGCAGACAAATGTCTTCCAGCCAAACTTAGAGGCACGCCTCCTGCATCACCTTGATCACTTTGCACAGCCCCTCAACCTGGTCCACCAGCCGGTGCAGCTATCTCGCAGAAGCCGCCCCGGAGGCATGCCTGCCTTCTCCAAGCCCAGCCCAGACCTGACGCTGCTGTTGCAGGACAGTTTCAGTCCCTGTGCCCCTCAACCTTCTCCTCAGCCCCTGCCCAGGATGGTGGCAGGTGGCCATCAAGTAGCAAATGATACTTGAGACTTGAGAGCAATTCAGAGCCAATGTCCCCTTCAGAGCAGTTGAACTCCTACATAAGAACAGATTTTCTCCATGCTAAGGGGCAAATAGTTGGCGCTTTGGGGATACAGATTTTAGAATGGTCCCTCCTGTTATATGTAACTTGTAAACTGCCTTGGCACTAGGTAACGTTCTGAAAACAAGTCACCGTGATTTCCAGGGTGACCAGCCAGGGTTATGGAAGGCCCACAGCACTCCCTGTCCCCTCTGCCCTTTCCAGGCCTCTCCCAAGTCAGCCCCATTTCCCTTCCCAACCAAGTCTACCCACATGCCCCCATTCTGCTGCAGTTCCAGCAGGTGCAGCAGAAAAGTGACCACTAATTACGATGGGAACATTCACTACCCCCTTGTTTTTTGTCAAAAGCTAGTGTGCTTTTCTGTTATGTCTGAGGGTCAGTCGACCTTCCCTGAAAATCAAGATAAATGTAACCACGAATGTGGATGCAACTACAAGGCCTAAGCTCATGCTATTCCCGCCCTCAATGTGTTCTCAGGCATGTGGGCCTGCCCACCTCCCAGCATCCTTCAAAGACTTGCCCAATACGTATACTTCCCTGAAATCATTTCTAACCCTCCTTTTACAGTGTTTATGATTCAATTCCTCACTTTTTGATAATTAATCGCATGTTGCTTGAATCTTCAATGAACAGTTAAGAGTTAAGAGTTTCTGTTTATTTTCATTATTCGATTGTTAGTTTCTTACAGGCAAGGACCAAGCCTTTCTGGAATCCTCCATGGTGCCCAGGAGTGTTTCATACTGTGGTTTGCCCACAGCTAATTTTCAATTAGTATAGGTTGATTTATTCATTGCCACTGGCTAGGAACAGTGTCGAGAACATATAAACTCTGAAGAGAGCTCTCATAGAGCTGTTTCATTCAAAGAAATGAAACTAGGGCTGAAAAAGAACATAAGATGAAGCACACATTTTAATCTTCTAATTTCTTAGTTCGTTTCCTATTTTCCCTAAGCAAACATTTGTAAATTTAATCCGTATGACACCCATCTCCTGACTGTCTCCAAATACCCACAATTCCTCCCCCAATCCACTTTCCAAATGCAGCCAAGAGATTTATGTTTTATGCAAATCTCTCATCTTCTTCCATGGCTTTAAATCCTTCAATTGCCCTTCCAATTGCCCTTAGGCCCCAGTCTAAATCCTTCATCTAACTTCCTAGGCCCTCTGGGAGCTGGGATGGCTGCCTTTCTAACCTCATTTCCTAACATATTCCCCCACACTTTCTAGGATCCAGCATATTCAGCTTGCAGTTCTTAAAATTTCCACACCAGGGTTTCTCTCTACTCCAGGCCTTCACACCAGCGCTTCTCTCTGTCTAGAATGTTCTTCTCCCCACCTTTTCCTTTACTTTCCTTCATCCCTTTGCCTGACTGATTCCTGTTCAATTTTCAGTTTTCAGATTAAACATCACTTACCCAGAGAGGACTTATCTGAGCCCCAGGTGTCAGCCAACTGGTAGGTGTTCACAGGGCATCTGTGTCTCCTCTTTAAGCGGGGGTAAGGGGCAGTATCTTCTCGCTGATTTGTTTTCCTTCTTACATCCTGAGGTTATAGACAGTGTCTCTTGTTCATTGATGTATCCCAATACTAAGAATAGTGCTTATTGACTAGAATTGAAATATCACCACATTTCAGCAGAACGTTCAGGAAATCTTTCTTATTTACGGTGTTTTCAGGCCATAAAGACACTACACTTCAAGTGATGCTTTGGGATCACTGTTTTTAAGATAAATGTACAGTTAAAGAAATACTGTGTGCAAGAGTTCCATGATCTCTAATTCAGTGTAATTTCTCTTAAATAAAATCATTAACTTCCCCTACCACAACCTTATCCTCTGCTTCTGCCCTGTCTACCACTCTCACTTGTAGTCTGTGGCTTGTGGGGCATGAGTGGAAAGAAGAGGGTAGTCACGACCACCATCACCACTACTAATTAGCCACTGTGTTGCTGCCGCTTTAGGTCAATCATCACTGTCTTTCCTACCGAAAGAAAAGGCTCCAACACTGCTGATCATCTGCAAGTCTGAGATAGCTTCAGTAGATTGACAAGCAATCAGAGATAGCTCTATATGTTCACAGAGCGGCCAACCATTGACCAAGTGTAGTTTCAGAGGACACCCCTGCCTTCCAACCACATTACTCCAAATCTTAACTAAAATGCCCCAGTAAGACCTTGGTCCTTTAGCCTAAAGCAGTTGTTTTCAAACTTTGGCATGCATCAGATTGCTAGGCCTCACCTCCAGAGTTTCTGATTCAGGAGGTCTCGTTCAGGCTGAAAATTTGCATTTCTTTTTTTTGTTTTTTTTTGAGACAGAGTCTCGCTCTGTTGCTCAGGCTGGAGTGCAGTGGCTCAATCTCGGCTCACTGCATGCTCTGCCTCCTGGGTTCACGCCATTCTCCTGCCTCAGCCTCCCGAGTAGCTGGGACTACAGGCACCCACCACCATGCCCGGCTAATTTTTTTGTATTTTCAGTAGAGACGGGGTGAAAATTTGCATTTCTATGTTCCAGGTGATGGTGCTGCTGCTGGTCTGGGAATCACACAGTGACACCTTCCCACTTAAACTAGGAATGGCTGTCAGGCCTGGTGGTGAGTGAGATTCACCTGTGGAGTTTTGTTTTTGTTTTTTTTTTTAACATTATAGAGTTTGAATGGGGCCCAGTCTTCTACATTTCATAAACGTATCATAAGTGATATTGCTGCAAGGCCAAGGTTGAGAACCATGTTTATCCCTATTTAAAAGCAATGATTCCTGTAAAGGTCTAATATTTTGACGTGGAGCTGGTGATTTACATGCTAGCATAAAAGAGTTATTGAGCTTTCCTGAGAGAGCTTAATGGTGGGAAAAGGCATGAATACTGAAGATCCTAGACCAAGAGGGATATGTGGATGAGGCACAACCCCAGAGGGAAACTGAGGCACCCAAACCTCACCTTTACTCACGTCACCACGTGGGTTGCCCAATCTGTGGAAGCCCCATGCAGGAGGTGCCCTTGAAGCCACAATTGTAGCCACTTCCTTGGAGGCTTTCATTACCTTTGGCTCTGCTTCCTGTAGGATCCCCAGCTGCGGCCAAGACTGTCCAAATGGGCAATGTGAAAAATCCAGCCAGTCAGATATTTTGACTGAACCCCTGGATACCACTTAGCCTCTGGCATGAGAAAGCTCTTCCCCGACCTCCTGTAAACTTCATCATCCAGGGAGACACTGGAAAGCATCCCCATATGAATTTGATCTTTGGACTCCTTTTGAACATAGGAGCCCAATGAGACTTTAAGCTTCATTCATTTCATGGGGAGAAATGACATATCTCCTGAGCAGAGCAAATTCAGCCAGATATTTACCCCTTCACTTTCTAGCCCCAGGGGAAGTGGGTGGTAGGGGGAAGGGGGCAATGTTTTTCCTGTTTCACCTCCCAAATGCAACCTGTGAGTCATATTGCCTCTTGAGAAGGTAAGACCTACTTGCTTAGTCCCTCCACAGTTTTAAGCGGGCTTGGTCTTCTAAGGGAATTGATCTCCTTGTTCCCGGGACAGCAGTCTCTGAGAGTGAACTCCAAATTTACTAGAGAACTTCCACTTTTAAACCACAGCATCTCCATCCTATAGCAGAGCCTGGCTAGAAGAGGTGTGGGACTTGCAGACCACAGCTGAGGTTGGTGGGATGGGATGCAGGGAAGTGACTGAAGACTGAGAGGTCCTTCTGCCCTCAGGGTGGCGGGTGTGAGCTGAGTGGGACTGAGGTGTGAGGGTATTTGCGATCCTGCATCATCCTAAGTATGGCCTGGATAGAGGCCTTATTCCTGATCTACAGAGAGAAATGGGAGGCCCTGGAGAAAGCCGGGATGGGTGAGGGTGGGGTGAGGGTGGAGTGAGGGGAGACAGTGTAAATCCCCTCTGTTACTGGGGAGGTCAGACAGGAATTTACAGCAAAAGAACCCTGAGAAGCAGGAGGCCCAGCCTCCCACTGACTGGCTGGGCAACCTCGGAAAAGTCATGCCGCCTCTCTGTGCCTCAGTTTCCTCATCTGTAAAGGGAGGATACCAGAGCAAATGATTGTGCCAAGACCTAGTGTTCTATGATTCTACAGTTATGTGAATTGAACTACTATTGAGTCTCTTATCTTAAAATACAATAGGCAGTTGCTAAAACTGCTTTCAACTGAGGAAAGCGTATTGCATCTGTAGTACTGGAGTTAATTTACAAATAACAAGAACTTTAGAACCCGCCAATGAAAATCCATCTCTCTCCTTCCCTCCCTCTCTCTGTATTGTACAGGCTCATGTTAAATGATGAAGAATGTTCTAAACAAAGTGCAGTACAAACATATTAAATGTCTGAACTTTAATATAGCATAACTTTAACATCACTTCAAAGGAAAATAATCTTATGATTCTTAAGCCCTTATTCCCAAAAACAAGACACATAAGTGAGGAAAACTCAAGAAGAAAGAAGCCTTCCTCTAGGAGATAGAGGTTAATCTCTCCCACTCCCATGTGAGCTGGTTAATGACTAGCTTCTAACAAAGAATATGTGAAGGGGAAGAAATAACCTCACCATGGAGAGACCTAGCAGACACCACCTTAACCAAGTGACCAATGTTAATGTCATCTGTGACCAGTCATGTTCATATCACATAGCCTTGACAGGATGTAGTGAGAAGCCTGCTTCACCTCTGTAGTAGTCTTTCTAAAAACCCATAGCCCCAGAATAACCATAAGACAACACCAAACAAACCCAAACTGAGGGACATTCTATAAAATACCTTACCAGTACTCTTCAAAACTGTCAAGGTCATAAAAACAAGACTGAGAAACTCACAGAGCAGAGGACACTAAAGAGAGATAATGAATGATTTCATAGGCTGTTCCTGACTGGAACCTGGAGCATAAAAAAAAAAAAAAAAAAAAAAAAAAAACAGGAAAATTGGTGAATCCAAATAAAGTTTGTAAGTTAGTTCATGGTATTACATAAATGCCAATTTCTTAGTTTTGATAAATGTACCATAGTTGCATAAGTTGATAATATTAAAGAAAGCTGGGGCCAGGCGCAGTGGCTCACGCCTGTAATCCCAGCACTTTGGGAGGCCAAGGCGGGCGGATCACGAGGTCAGGAGATCGAGACCATCCTGTGAATGGTGAAAACCCGTCTCTACTAAAAATACAAAAAATTAGCCGGGCGTGGTGGAGGCGCCTGTAGTCCCAGCTACTCAGGGGGCTGAGGCAGGAGAATGGCGTGAACCCAGGAGACAGAGCTTGCAGTGAGCCGAGATTGAGACACTGCACTCCAGCCTGGGAGACAGAGCGAGACTCCGTCTCAAAAAAAAAAAAGAAAAGAAAAGAAAGCTGGGAGCAGGGAGCATAGGAATCTTCTGTGCTTTATTTTTGCATCCCTTCTGCAAAGCTAAACATATTTCAAAATAAAAAGATTTTTAAAAACCAGATTGTACATAGGGTGGGCAATGTCATTCATGCAAAAAAAATTTGTCAACTAGCAATGAATATAGCATGACTCTTTGGATGTAAGATTTAAGATTTGTGCATCATAAACTTAAATTAAACGTCAACAAATATCATGGCCTCACTGTCTTTGTTTTCATATTTACTAAATTAGACTATAATCTCTGTGAGGGGTTTTCTGCCCATCACTGTATCCCCATCACCTAACTCAGAGTAGGCTCTCAGAAAGTATGTGTTGAGTGAATGAATGAATGAATGAATGGTATTATTCTGGGCTTGTACAAAGATAATTGGATGAATTCAACCCCTGCCTTCTTGGAACACACAATCTAAGAATGTATAATTATATATTTTTATTCATATATTATTTATATGTGATAGCTTTGGCTCTGTGTCTCCACCCAACTCTCACCTTGAATTGTAATAATCCCCACATGTCATGGGAGGGACCTGATGGGAAGTAATGGAATCACAGAGGCAGGTTTTTCCCATGCTGTCCTCGTGATAGTGAATAAGTCTCATGAGATCTGATGGTTTTGTCAAGGGGAGTTCCCCTGCACGTGCCCTCTTGCCTGATGCCATGTAAGATGTGATTTTCTCCTCATTCACCTTCTGCCATGATTGTGAGGCCTCCCCAGCCATGTGGAACTGTGAGTCAATTAAACATCTTTCCTTTATAAATTACCCAGTCTCGGGTATGTCTTTATTAGCAGTGTGATTAATACAATATGTCAATATATTTAAATTTTATTACATGTTATTTTGTATCAATCTAAGATTTACATATAAAATCTAAGATACATCTACATAATGCACACACACATACAGTCAGAGAGAACAAAATACCAATATTCAACCAACCTGAGGAAAAGTGAATTCTATGTCAGGAGGGATTGTTGCCTATTTTGGCTCACTGCTGTATCCTTGGCACCTAGAATAGGTTTGGCACTAGCAGACGCTCAACAAATATTTGTTCGATGGATGAATGGAACAAGCCTCCTGTACCAGCCAAGGGGATGTGCCTTCCAGATCCTCTCAGGGTTAGTGTGTAGGAAGAGTGGGGGTGCTACAGAGAAAGCTTTAGCCTTCCCAGCCTCAAGGCAAGCTGGCATGTGCTGTATTTGTGCTGACTGTTCCCCTGAGATGTCTTAAAGATTCTCCCAACCGGCCTTCAATGGCCTTTCAGAATCCACATTCTGCACAAAGGTCTAACTGTGTTTTCAGCCAAGACCAAATTAATAATAATAATAATAATAATAATACATCAGAAATGTCTCCACACACTCATTTCCACATTGAAATTTGTGTTGACTTGGTGAAGAATTTCAATGGAACTGATCACCGCTTTGCAGAGTGGAACATTAAATGGGAGCCCCAAAGCAAAAATTTCAGAATAAGTCCCTTTAGCCTTCTGAATTACCAAATCAATCTCACTCCATAGAAAGACTTCTCTTATGTGGGCCCCAAGAGTCACAGGGCTGCTCCAGTGGTATTTATGCCCATCATCCTGTGAGCTCTTAACTCGAGCATGACTCTGGACAGAGCATGGGTGATTTCTCTACTTGAGAAACCCTCAAAGTAGAGCCTCAGGTTACAAAGATGAAACACAATTGTGTACATAGAAATCTGCCTGTGAAGCCAAAAGTAATTAACCTGTGCTTTTTATGCTTCAGAATCCCAACCTCAAACACTTCTGTTGTTTTCCTCCGGGCACTGCGTTAGGTAGGACTGAAATTAAAATGAAGTCCTCCCTTCACCATGACACTGTAATTAATGGAGAAAGGGGAAATGTTGTTCATGGGCTAAGGTCTCCTTTACCTGCATTGTGGGACAAGGGAGAAAACCCAGTGAAGCAGTTTATTTCTGGGCCAGAACTGACAGATGCAGAGGATGGGATCTGGGAAGCATCCAAAAGTCCATTCAACCAAAACTAACTTCCTTTCTCTTCCACTATGGGGCCTACAATTGTCAGCATTAATTTTCAGCAAGTCACTCCCTTGCCCCCTGCAAACTTGAATAAAGATATTCCTGAGTGGGTGACAAATTAAGCCACTCTCACTCAAACAGAGCTTGGCATTTATCAGATTAACCAACAAGTCATTTGAATAGGTCCTAAGGAAATGGCACATGGGATGTACTGGTTAGATGATGATGGTGATGACAGTATTGATGATATTGGTGATATTGATGGTAATGATGGTGGTGATGATAATGGTGGTAGCAATGTGAGGATATTAGCAGTAGAACTAATAACAAAAATATCATTTTAGAAAAATGTATTATGTACCAGTCAGGATGGTAAAGACTCTGTATTGATTATTTCAGCTTGTCCTCACATACACTTTCATATATCCATTGATATGGTTTGGCTGTGTCCCCACCCAAATCTCATCCTGAATTCCCATGTCTTGTGGGAGGGGACCCAGTGGGAGGTAATTGAATCATGGGAGCAGGTCTTTCCTATGCTGTTCTCATGAGAGTGAATAAGTCTCATGAAATCTGATGGTTTTATACAGGGGAGTTTCCCTACACAAGTTCTCTTTTCTTGCCTGCCACCATGTAAGACATGCCTTTCACCTTCTGCCATGATTGTGAGGCCTCCCCAGCCACATGGAACTGTGAGTCCATTAAACCTCTTTCTTTGTAAATTGCCCAGCCTCGGGTATGTCTTTATCAGCAGCATGAAAATGGACTAATACATCCATTTTATAGATGAAGAAAACTAAAATTCAAAAGAGAGTAAGCAACTTACCCAATGTCATCCAGCTAGAGGAGAAAGGGCTGCGGCCCATCAAAGAATTAAGATGATGCCTTACCTGAAGCAACCTAAGCATCTGTGGTTAGGAAGCATTTTCTAGGTCCCTAGAGAGGTGAAGCACACCATGAAACAGGGGGCAGGGAATCATCTGACATAACAACTTGACCCAAGTGCCCTCTGCTCTCCTCACTTTTTCAGTTATTACTCAAAGGGTAACAGACCCCACATTGACTTACCTACCATCTCTGATGAAGAAATACATAGGAAAATACAAAAACACATCTCAGTGAATATGGCAGGAGCTGCTGGGTGAAGAATGTCCTTTTTCTTGGAATTGTTTCCCTAGGAAGAAAGGACAGGTCATTCATGCTAGGAGACATGAAAACTTGGAGCTTTGATATAAAGACCAGGAACTGAATGGTATACAATTAGCAGCATGTTCCCTTTATCTCTCATGGTCTAATTGTCAATATTGAACAATTTCAAGCATCACATTTTCACTTCATGTTATCTTGTTATCTTATTCTGTGGTTTCATCTGTTGGATCTTCCCAACTGGACTGCTAACTCTTTGTAGATACAGACCATAATCCTGCTTCTTATACATCATCCCCCACATCCCAGCACTATGCTGGTCATAGTGTGGGTGCCTAATGCATGTTTGTAGTCTGATTTCTGGAGTCACCTCCATTGCAGTCAGATTCAGCTACTGAGGACTCTGCTGGACATTAAGATGTCAGAACCGGCCAGGCGCGGTGGCTCATGCCTGTAATCCCAGCACTTTGGGAGGCCGAGGCGGGTGGATCAGGAAGTCAGGAGTTCGAGGCCAGCCTGGCCAACATAGCGAAACCCCATCTGTACTAAAAATACAAAAATTAGCCAGGCCTGGTGGTGGGCACCTATAATCCCAACTACTTGGGAGGCTGAGGCAGGAGAATCACTTGAACCTGGGAGGCGGAGGGTGTGGTGACCCAAGATTACGCCATTGCACTCCAGCCTGGGCAACAAGAGCAAGACTCCGTCTCAAAAAAAAAAAAAAAAAAAAAAAAAAAAAAAGATGTCAGGACCATGAGAACCCAGAGAGTTTGCAGAGTTACCTGGCCTCGCACTGAGAACAAAACTGACCCTCTTTATCGTTTTCTGGGACACCAGGCAAGCTTTGGCAAGATTTGGTATCTGTAGCAGACTCCAGATACTTTTTCAGGGGTGGATTGATCTCAGTATGAACAATAACCCAATGTTGCCACTGCCAGAGTTCAGGGAGTGGGGAGGGAGGGCTACCTGAAATTATGCTTATAAAATGTACATGCTCACATTCTTCATAAAGAGGAAGTATAGCGTGGCAGTTAGCACAAACTCAAAGCCTGATTTCAAATGTCGACTATGCTACTTGCTAGCTGTGTGACTTTGGACAATCTACTGAACCTCTCTGTGCCTTAGTTTTTTCACTTGTAAAATAAATGATAGTACTTATCCTATAAGATTGTTGTGAGGATTAAATATGTGTAAAACACTTAGAAGAGTTTCTGGCATATAGCAAGTGCTGTATAGAGATTAGATATTATTATTACTAACATCCTTACTTAATAATAATTATTACAGCATTCTGCAGATATAACATATCTTTACTGCTCTTTGCAATGTATATGCTTTATTTTCTCCCAACAAATCTGTGTAACAGGTTTTATTACTGCCCTTACTTCAGAGAAGATGCAATTTAAGATTAGAAGACATAAGTGACTTGCTAAAAATCAACAATCATATGCCCATTTCAATACACACTAATGTTCTTTTGTTTTTATTTTAGAGACAGAGTCTCTAAACTGGGCTCAAGTGATCATTCTCCCATGTCAGCCTCTTGAGTAGCTGAGACTACAGGCACACGCCACTGTGCTGGCTACACACTAATGTGTTTTGATGATGATGACCTTCAGGTGACTGTCAGCTTCTGCATGCCTGGAGTCGGGGATGAGTGGATGGCTCAGCAGGGCCCTGCTGGCCCACTGGATAGGATACAGAGCACCATCTCTCTTTGCTGGCTGACCACCACATAGCTGAGTTCATGCTTGTGCCCAGTGTCTTGCCTCTGCTCACTTTTCAAGAAGAATCCCTTGGAAAATGAGACCCAATTTTTCTTACTTTAATCATCTTTGTCATCATTTTTTCCCATCACAGTATGACTTGTACACTATAGGCACTATTCCCTGGGGGAAAAAACATCTCCTGACTGCTGCCAGTTTCAGATATAGCCCATTTAGTTGGACCAGAAATGAGCAGGAGGCCAGGGTTTTGGGAAGTAGGCACTGGGAAGCTGGCATCCTCCCTCCTGGGGCTATTAGCCACTGAAGAGCTAGTACATTCTGCTGATGGCATCTCCTTTGTACAGGCATTCCACAAATATCTGCAGACCTGAAGCAAGGCGTTGGTGGGATTACAAGGATGAATCAGACCCAGGCAGTGCACCTCATAAAACTCACAGCCCAGGGGTGGGTAGCAAAGCCCATGTACAACAATCTGTAATGCTGGAGCCTGCCTACCTCATTTCACATCCTACTCTTGCTCTTACTACAGATCACTAGGCAAGTTACCTACTTTCTCTGTGCCTTAGTTGCTTATCTAGAAAATTTGGATAACAATCACACTTACCTTGAAAGGATTAAGTGAATTAATGCATATAAAGCTCATAAAACAGTGTCTGGCACATGGTAAGCATTTAATAAAAGTTATTCCTATTATTATCATATACTATATATTATTATATACTATCAATTATATAGTATATGCTATAATACTATGTAGTATATATACTATAGTTATACATATAAGTATATAGTATATATATATAATATATACCATGTATGTGTCATATAACATATCTAACATATATTATATATACTATTATGAAAATGATTAGATATTAATACAAAGTTCTGTAATAACACCATAGAAAGGGAATTATTTCTGACAAGGCAGGTTAGAGAAAGATGTAGTTATAAAAATAGCATAATGGGCCGGGTGCGGTGGTTCCCGCCTATAATCCCAGCACTTTGGGAGGCCAAGGCAGGTGGATCACCTGAGGTCAGGAGTTCAAGACCAGCCTGACCAACATGGTGAAACCCCGTCTCTACTAAAAGTACAAAAAATTAGCCAGACATGGTGGCGGGCACCTGTAATCCCACCTACTTGGGAGGCTGAGGCAGGAGAATTGCTAGAACCCGGGAGGTGAGGTTGCAGTGAGCTGAGATCGCACCATCGCACTCCAGCGTGGGGGACAGAGCGAGACTCCATCAAAAAAATAAAAGCATAATAGTCACTATTTGTCAAAAGCTCAAAAGCCAGCTCATAAGCATTATTTAATACAGTCCTCCCAAAACACTACGAGCAGATACTTGCCACCTTTTGACTGCAAAAGCTCATCCTCAGAGAGGGTAAGTAACTTGCAGGGCAGTTCCATGGTGGAGCCCATTTGCACCCAGGTGGGGCTGTCTCCAGAGTCCAAGTTCCTAACCACTGTACCTTATTCCTCAGGATATGTGACTTCCAATGAGAATCAGAAGGGCAGGAAAAGTGTGGAGTGTCAGGGTTAGGATGGAGAGGGCACAGAGGCCTCCATGGCCACAGCCCAGTGCCAGGGCAAAGGGGCTCCATCAGTGCAAGTGAAAGAACACTAAGACCCCTCCACTCTGCACAGGCTTACCTCAGCCAGGCCCTTGGAACATGTAGCCTTCCCTGTCCTAAGCCTCCAAGCCCATGTCATAGATGCAAGTCCCAGAGGACAGGTGGAGATGGTTGTGCTGAGTCACTGGAGCTGAGGCCACACTTGATGGGGCAGGAGAAGCAGGAAGCCATCCCCTCTCCTTCTCATTTATTTCCCTTACGTCCTCCCACTTCCTTTTGTCTCCTGTTTGGTGAGATCCCCATTACTACAACCTGCTTAGAGCCCCCTGGGCCTGGCTTACTGCTCCTGGGGAAGAGATGCAGGGGACCTCAAGAAAGGTTCCCAGAAGCAGGTGAGGCTGCTCGGGAATGAGTGGACGAGCAGACTCACTGCGGGGAAAACCAAGAGCTTATAGCTATATGGCTATTGGCCCAGGACCACCTGCCTCCTCCAGCAGCCATCCCTGACATCAGTGTCCTCACCTGCACCATTCAAGAGAGGGTTTCAGACAAACAGGGGACCAGGTGTACAGCTGGAGCAAAGTAGTCAAAACAGAGCACCTTTGCTTTCATTCATTTCTACCTGAAGGTGAGAGGTGCAAAGAGAGATCCTGGATGACCTGAAGACTCTTCTCTCACCAGGAAATTCAGACCCATGAGAGATGGCAACATAAGCTAATGAAGTCATCTTCAGGGCAACCCAAGTGAGCATCGTGCACCTATTCACCTATACAAAGACATTTGTCAAGAACATACTGTGTGCCAGGCACCAGGTAGGTGGGATGACAAATAGAATCCCTACCTTCTAATGAGGGAGGCTTTTGAGTAAGCAAATATTATAAGACAATGGGATTCGTGCTGTGATCAAGGAGACACAAGGTGCTGTGGGAGGAAACAAGATGGCAGCCAATCTGCTAATGGGAGGGTGGATGTGGGCAGGATGCAGTGGACTCTGAGTCGAGTTGAAAAGAAGAAGTGGGAATTGCAGTTAGCCAAGGGAAAAAGTGGGATAACGCCATTTCAGAAGGAGGAAGAGATGGGAATGGGTGTTTATGCAGATGTTTGTGGTTACAGAAAATCAAAGAAGCTCCCATCTGACTGCATATATTTCCTCTGAGAGGGATAGAAGAGGTGGTAGAGGAGAAAAATTTAAAAGTCACCCCTTTAGGAGATGATAGGAGCTGGAAAAGGAGCTGGCTAGGTGCTGTGGTTTAGATATAATTTGACTCCACTGAAACACATGTTGAAATTTCATCCCCACTGTGGTGGTGTTGAAGGCAGGGCCTAATAGGAGCTGGTGAGTCATAGGGGGATCGCTTGTGGTGGGATGGCTTGGTGCCATTCTCAAGGCAATGGGTGAGTTCTTGCTCTTGAGAAATGGATTGGTTCTTGGGAAAATGGATTAGTTCCCATGAGAGTGGGTTCTTATAAAGCCAGGATGTCCCTCAGGTTTGGTCTGTCTTCCCATGTGCCCACTTCCTCTTTGACCTTCTCTGCCTGTCTTGATGCAGCACTAAAGCCCTCACCAGAAGCCAAGCAGACGCCAGCACCATGCTTCTTTTACAGCCTGCAGAACCATGAGCCAAAGAAAATTCTTGTCTTTATAAACTACCTAATCTCAAGGTATTCCTTTATAGCAACACAAACAGACTAAGACACTAGGGATATAAGTCATGCGCACAGGACTCTCCCATGTCAGTATCCTCTTCCTAATGAAGGGTTCAATTGGGATTTCCTATCTTTTGGATGGTTTTGGCATATGAAATGCTGTGTGCTATAGTAGGAAAAAAAGCAATTTCCTGAAACATTTTATGTAAGTTATCTCATTTGATTAACTCTGCTTTACAAATGAATAAGCTAATGTATTGGAGTGATAAGTAACTTGCATAGTGTCACATACTTGGGGAAGTGAAAACCTAAAGAAGGTGAAGGACTCATTCTTCCTGCTTTAGGTGCACGGAAATGATGGAAGTTGAAGACAGATCTCCCTACTCCAAGTCCTAAGTTTTGCACTGTTAAGTCAGAAGACATAGTTCCAGTCTCAGGTCTGTTACTAACCTGCAATAGGCTCTTGAATTAGTCATTTAACTGCTCTAAGCCTCAACTTCCTCATTTGTAAAATGAGTCTATGGGCCTTTCTGAAACTCTTTTTTTTTTTATACAGGGTTTTGGCTCTGTCACCTCAGACTCCCAAGTAGCTTGGACTACAGGTGCACAGCATCACACCCAGCTAATTTTTTAATTTTTTGTAGAGACAGGGATCTTACAATGTTGCCCATGCTGGTCTCAAATTACTGGGCTCAAGCAATCCTCCTGATATAACTAGAGATTCAAGAATGGCCCCTAGAATCCAACCCATGAGCCCTCTAGCCTAGGAATGAGGCTTTGGCAGGAAATATCAAAGATGGGTTTTCTTTCATTTCCACAACCCTATAAGGTTTGGGAATTCCAAATAAACAAATTTACCTTAATAATTTGTTGACCTAATTTGTTGCTGTCTCTCCATGCACGGAGAGATAGCATGCAATGAGTACAAAAGACCAAAAGTAAGCACTATGACCAACTCATTGTGTGCCCTTGGTCAAGGCCACCTCACCTCACTCAGACTCAGTTTATTCAGCTGTGAGATGAAGTAGAAGATCCTTAAAGTCCATCCTACTTTAAATGTCTCCCACAAACCTTAACTCATATAAGCAAATGCATCCTCAACCTGTCTACTGATTTTCCAGTAAGCATTTCTAACTTAACATGTCTAAAACAAAATCCACAATTTTCCCCATCAAATCAGCTCCTCTTGCAAATGGCAATCATATCTAAGTTTCTCGGACAAAAAACTTGGGGTCGTCCTTGGCTTCCCTCCTTTTTTCATCCTCTGCACCCAGCCTGTCAGAAAATCCTATTAATTTTACCTTCAAAATATGTCTAATATACAACTACTTCTCAGCATCTCCGCCGACATTACCACACTAGCCTAAGCTATCATCATTTCTACCCTAGATTAACGTGATCCTTCTCTACCTGGTCTTGTTGCCTCTAATTTTGTTCTTCCACAGTAACAGCAGCCAGAGTGATCCTTTTAAGGCATAACTATGCCCCTGCTTTGTTTTAAACCCTCCAATGGTTTCCCATCCCACTTGGGCGGAGTCTCAAGTTCTCATTCTGACCCACACCCTAATGATCTGGCATCCTCCTGCTCCTTTCTCCTTCTACTCTCCTCCTGTTCATCCTGCTCCTGTCTCCTTCTACTCTCCTCCTGTTCACTCTGCTCCAGGCACACTGACCCCCTTGCCGCTCCTTGAACAGGCCAACCATGGTCCTGCTTAGAGGATTTTGCACTCACTGTCTCCTCTGCTGGGAAAAGATTTACCTGGCATGCTCCTCCTTTCTTCGGGTCACTGAGCAGATGTTGTCTTACCAAGGCAGCCTTCCCTGGCCATCCTATTGGAAATAGCACTCATGCACATTCCACCCCACCTCCACTTTCTAATCCCTTAACGTGCTTTCTTTTCCTTCATATCATGGACACACTATCTTGTACAAGCAGCATGTCTCAAATTGTAATGTGCACACAAATCAACCAAGGATCTTGTTACCTGCAGATTCTGACTGTATAGGGTTGGGTTCTGCACTTGTAACAAGCTTTCAGATGATACCGTTGCTGCTGGCCCATGGATCACACTTTAAGAATATAGAGTATACAGCATTTATTGATTTGTTTATGTCTGTCTCCTCCAACAAAAAAAGTAAGCTCCATGGTAGCCAAAATTTTGTCTGATTTTTGTTGGTCTTTTTTTATTTCTATATTCCTTAGCCTTTATATCAGTGTTTGGCACAGAATAGACATAAAATAAATTCATTGAGGGAATCATGAAGGTATGAGGCAGATACATGAGAACCCCAGAAGGTCATCCAGTAAAGTCCTAGGAGCTAGAGCAAAATCCAGTGGAATGGTGTCCTGAAGCAGACAGAAATATGATAAGTCAGAGAAGGCAACGGTGTCAAATCAGGTCAGCTGAATCCAGTGATTAGGTTTAAGAAATTAATTGGACCAGAAATGAGAGACAAGGCCCAAGAGTCCAGGGCTACAATAGACCAGAAAGCTAGAACAGGGTAGAAAAGAAGTGAGCAGGTTCAAAAGAATTGTTTCAATCAAGACTACAATGCTCAAAGCCCACTTTGTGATGTGGAGATGTTATGGCCTATCAGTAGGCTGCTGTGGTTCAAAGGCACAGAGGTGGGTAGGACAAATTCTATTTCATTTCAATCCATCTTGGAACTACTTGATTTTAGGATACAAGAAACGAGTTTCTTAAAGTTTACTATCTGTATTTGATTTAATTTGTCCTAAGTTTCTTTCTTTCTAGCTTAAAAGATGTCCCATAACTTATGTATTTCAGGGTAATACAATAATTTCATGGTGTATTGCATACCACTTTGATGCTGACACGGCTTTTCTGATGATGATGATACCATTTTCACTTTCAAAAGGGTTTGAGGCAGTTTATAGAATAATAACAACAACAGTGAATAACATTCATGTGGTGCTTACTATGTGTCAAAAACTGTTCTAAGGACTTTACAGATATTCACTCATCTAATCCTTCCAACAGTCTTACGAGGTTGGTACCTTCATTATCCCCACTTTATAGGAAAGAAAACAGAATCCCAAAGAGGTTAAGTGACTTGACCAAGATCACTCAGCTAGCAAATAGCAACACCTACAATAAGACAAAAAAATAAAATCTGTAAGAACCAAGTCATAACGGAAGAATGGCGAGTGGGAAGAAACTAATTTTATCATAAAACTTGGGGAGAGAATGTTATAACTCAACACAAAACTTCATTGTAAGCTTCCTGGAAGCCCAGGGGAGAAGGAAAATGGGTTGGGCTTTATCCAAAGGTTACCTCAGGCAAATTTTAAGAGAGTCTTGTGACACTAGACCAGAAGCATTAAAGACGGGTGGTCGGTGTGAGCAATGCCACTCTAGAAGGCAGAGTCGGAGAGAAGTGCAGAGTCAGAGGCCACTGGGGTAAGTAGATTGAGGTGCCAAAAAGGCCAGCAACAGAGGTGGAGTGAGATAGAGACTAGAAGGAGGTGGAAAAGGTTCCAAACACAGAGAAGGCAAGAGTCAGCGTAAACCATCAATGCAGGGGAGGGTCAGCACTCGAGTGAGTCATGGAAATGCAGAATTCCGATCACAAAGTCCTTTTATACCTTGCTACTTAAAGTGTGGTCCTTGAACCAGCTCAGGAACTTACTAGAAATATAGAATTTCAGGCCCCATCCAGTTCCACTGAATCAGAATCCACATGTTTCACAAGCTCCTCAGGTGATCGGAATGCACACGCCGGTTTGAGAAGCACTGCTTTGGCATGGGCCTTGGTGAATGCCCACATAGCAGTAGACTCTGAACACACACCCAGTGCTGTGATAGGTGCCCTCACATTCATTATCTCCTGGGATCCTCATAACAATCATACAATAAAGATATCCTTTTTGTACTCATTTTACAGATGAGGAAATTGAGGCTTACAGTCATACCTAGTGAGAAACAGAGCTGAGACTTGCCCAAACCAATTACCTTCCATTCCATTCAATTCATTTCTATTGGCATTTCAGTTAGAATTTATCCTGGCCAAGGCAATAGCAGACAAGCTGCTGCTGGCATCATTCTGAAGGGTAGAAGCAGGGGACCTATATCAGAGTGTGTTACAGCAAGCAATGGAGGAAGGCTCAGCAGTAGGTTCTGATCGAAGAGAAGGGGACAGATGAGAGCAGGTAGGATGGATGTCTTCCAAGAAGGTACAACCAGAGCCTTCCGGGAACATGGCAAATTTGGCCCTGAATCCATCCAGAAAACAAGTCCTTCATATTACAACTGGCGTAGCTCCAGCCAGGCCACGCTGCCCTATCTAAGACCCTCCCCTTCCCGCCCCCACCTCAGCTAGCTGCAGTGGTGTGTTACCCTTCTGACTGTTCCGTTCATTCAGCGAAATGTCAGTGTAGGAGCAAACTGAGAGTGAATGTGTCTTTCATTTGCCAATTAGTCATGTACCACCTAACTGCTCATGTGTGTGATTTGAGCACGTGTGTTACATGTTACTTAATTTTTCCTTTATTGGTGATTGGTTTAATGAAGTTGCACATGGGCCAGGATGGTCTTGTATCTAATTGGCTTCCACAGAGTACAAGGTGGACACAGAGTGCATGTTTAATAGATTTTTAATGATGGATCACCTCTTCTAGAGAACAAAACCAGAGCCCTCAGTCCCTCAATGCCCCACCAGGGAGAGCGGTCCAGGTGGAGGAGATGAGTCCTGAGAGCTGAGTGGGTCCACCTACATGGGTTGGCCTGATGGTCCCTTCCTCGCCCAGTTGAACCCTCCTATCAGGGCTCAGGGAATCCCTGACACGCCTCTCCCCTCCTCTTTCATCTTCATGGGAAACAGAAACCACCAAATGTGGGTGTGTTGTGTGAAGACACTAGATGGTGTTCTCGTCCGGGCAGCTGTTTTGCTGTGTTGTTTTCCTGCCCCTTCCTGAGAAGATAAGATCTGGACAGGCTTATGATTCTCTCCCACAGACCCTCAAAGGCAACAAGCAAGCCAAGTTCATTTCTCAGGCACCTTCTCAGAAGCACACCCCACATCAGTATGTTTAATGAGATCCGGGTCACTTGAAAGCAGCAGCGAAAGCAGCTTCCCTAAAACACAGGGCAAGATCAGTGCCTCCTCTGAGCTTCCCTTTCTTCTCCCAAGATCCCCAGGCAAAACTGATTTGCATGGGCAGCCAACTTGTACCTCCTAGAAGG